>NC_000016.10:51532197-51835227 GCF_000001405.40 Homo sapiens
CTCTGAAGAGTAATCAATTTCCATTCATTCTCTCATTCATTCACTTCTCCAATAGGTATTGATGCCTACAGATATTAATTGGTATTAATCAAGCCCCTATTAGACATTGCAAATATATTGGAGATTAAAACAATAAGGTAGTCATGTACTTAGAGCAACTTAAATTTATTTTCAACTTGTCATCACTTCTCTTGAGTCACCTGTGATACTTTGTTATAACCATCCAAGAAAAACAGAAAACAAAATAGCTTCCCACCTCAAGATTGTTGTTAAAAGAGTTAATACATGTGACATGCTTAAGATAGAGATTTGCTTATAATACAAGAAATAGCTTAGTACAAATAATTATTTCAACCACTACTACAATGATCATTTTGTGATGTTTTTAAGCATTGTGATGCTGTTGGAAACATTAGACCAAACTCAGTTCAGACCTGAGTCTGCCTTATAATAGCTACTGATTTTACATGAATTATATAACCTCTCTGAGTTTCAGTTTCCTCATGTATAAAATAGGCATAATCTCAGTACCTGACTCATAAGGTAATGATGAGTCTTAAGTGAGATATTGTCTGTAAAGTGGCTGGTATAGCACCTGGAATGTAGTAAATAATCACTAGTTACCATAATAAAAACAGTAACTAAAGCTTGTGTTACCATTTTGAGTTGTCACAGTACTTTCACTTCGACATTCTCATTTCATGCTCAGGGAATGAGAGAAGGGTCATTAATATTATTGCCATCACTATCATCATTATACCTATTTATAAAATAAGGAGGGGTTCAGTGACTTGCCTAAGATCACAGGGCAGGTAAATGGTCAAGTAGGGTCTCTGTCCTAGTAGGCATTACAAGTGATTTTCAAAGTGATCCTTTGGCCTGGAGAGAATTCCTCTTCTTATTTGTACAACGGATCAGCAGTGATAAGGATGGGTCTGAGCTGGAGTTTCTAGATGCATATTTTGATGGGGTACATAAGTTCAAGAATTGGGGGCTATGGCAAACTGATCAGTCCATGCCTCTTTGTGGGCAAAGCCACTGCTGTCATGAGAAAGTCGTCATCCCTTTATTTACAACAAACATACATTGCCACGTAACTAAATACTCAAGAATCTTTGGTCTTGCTTCCAGAATAATTTAAATCATAGCTGTGCTAACATTTTCTTTTAAAAAAAAGTTGAAAAGGCAGGGCACGGTGGCTCACGCCTATAATCCCAGCACTTTGGGAGGCTGAGGCGGGTGGATCATCTGAGGTTGGGAGTTTGAGACCAACCTGACCAAGATGGAGAAATCCCATCTCTACTAAAAATACAAAATTAGCCAGGCGTGATGGTGCATGTGGTGGTGAATGCCTGTAATCCCAGCTACTCAGGAGGCTGAGGTAGGAAAATCGCTTGAACCTGGGAGGTGGAGGTTGTGGTGAGCCGAGATCGTGCCATTGCACTCCAGCCTGGGTAACAAGAGCGAAACTCCGTCTCAAAAAAAAGTTGAAAAGATGCTACTTTTGGAGAATATCCTCTGGAATGGCTGGTGAGAATACCACCCTCCCTGATTCCTCTAGCCAAACTTCTGTGAGATGTGGGTTTAGCGTTAATGTATCTTCTGATTTCCAAAAGGAGCTGGTAATCTGGATTTTTATATAAAATATACAATTTTTAAAAATTTGGACTCAAAACAAAGACAAAACAAGATGATTGCCTGGATGAAGCCTGGGGTCAGGGAAGAATTCCATGAATAAGTGGCTTTTAATCTAAATGCAGAAAATGGGTAGGTATCTGCTGGAAGAAGGACAGAGAGTTGCTTCTGAGAGCTGGAGTGTAGACTCTATACTATAGGTGGTTGGCTGGTGGGGTGTGAGGAGCAATGAGCCTGGAAAGGCAGGCAGGGGCTACATCCTATAGGGCATTATTGGCTCTGCAAGGAGCAATGGGAATGGTTGTATGGTTGATTCAATCGGCTTATTAGAAACATGGCACCCTGACAGGAATTGACTGGAAAGAGGCAAAAAGGGAGCTGGGAGAGCTTGTAAGGTGTTGTTGGAATAATTTAAGGAGATACTTCACATTCTTAATCCTATCTCATCCCCTGTTAGACCCAGTTCCAATATTCTACCAAACTAGTTCTCTCTTGTGTTTTACTAGAGTAAAGATGACTATCTTTCAACTTCACCCTCTCTAGAGACTGTTTCCAAATCCTCTGACATCTCTCACCTACTCTGGTCCTTTTTTAGTTCTCTCTAATTATTTTCTCCTTGTATTTTCTTTTTATACCTAAATGCCCAATTTTCAACTGTCATTGAATAAGAATTAGGAACACGCTACATTAAAAAATCACTTATCAGTATATCAAACCTTCTGGCAAACATTAGGGCTTGGCTATTGCCATTTCTTTTCTTTCTACCTAAGGAAACATTTCTGCCACCTCCTTACTGCTGACATATTTTTTTTTCAGAAACGCAGCCCTCAGGTTGTTCTTCTGCACTCTTTGAAGTCACTGTGAATTGCATGAAATTAGTTTGATGGCAAAGTGCCAGGATAATTTAAACAACTTGTGAGAGAGGATATTACCACTTTTTTCTGTCATTTTAAATTTCCCAAGGCCATCCCACAGAGTGGTGGGAAAAGGTATCGATCAGTGGTGACTGTCCTTCAATGTGGGTGCTCACACTCCCAAATCATGACTTAAAATTCATGAGAACTAAGACAATTCTCTCCACCCTAGAATTAAAATTTTAAGGTCATCATATTGACTCAATGACTTTGAAAGTAAAGGGATAGGGATAAGTGAAAAAATAAAGTGTTGAAGAAACTGTCTTCCACTGATTTCAGCAAAACAATGCTCTTATAATACACAATATATATATAATAATATGTAATATATAATACCTAATGGGCAATTATTTAGACGGTGTTGGGTTCTTTGTTGACTGTGTTGTGAAGCTATTTTTTGTTTCTTTTTCTTATTCAATGTCTTCAACTTTTTTCCTCTCTTTGCCTTTCTTTCCCATTTTGAAAAACGGAGCAGGCATCTACCTTAAAGAAGCTAAATGCCCAAACTTCTGTGCCCTTGGTATATAGTTGTGGGATTCATGTTACATCGCACTGAGCGATGTATATGTCTGCTTGGGGCAGGACACATTTTTCTGTTGAATCACGGCTTGCATCTGGTCCCTTTGCCATGCACCAACTTTTGCATTTTTTAAAGATGGCAAATAAATCATTTCTTTCAGATTGGATAAAAAATGGGCTATGGTCTTTGGAAGCAGAAGACTTCCAGATAATTCCATGTTTGTACTATAAACTATACCAGTCAATTGCACATTCAGGTTTAGATTTGGGCCAGATTTATGCCCCTGAGAAAGTTCTATTTTTGCATGATTTAGACAAAAAAATGTGTCTGAACAGCATTACCCCGCCTAATTTATATGAAACTGTGATTCTGCCACCTGGAGTTTCGGGTCTGCTCTGTGAGACGTGTCTGGTATGTGACTAGAGGACCAAGCAAGGAGGAGGCGGCGAGGGGGAAGAGAGTCCGCTTAAAAGGGAGACGGCCATCCCAGCCAACTGAATGGGGCGTGCACAACCAGCTGGGAGGGAGGCCTCTTCATTGTGTTTTATTATTGGCTCTTGTGTACAACCAGAAAGGCACCCCCCTCCTCGGGGCATGCTTGGTTGCTACGATCTGTTCCTGGGGGATGGTGTACATCCCGAATGGCATCCCCCTCCTTGCCAGACAGGCTTGGGTAGCTCAATTACCCAAGCAGCATTTTGATACCAGACACTTCCAAGTTCCACCTGCATCTCAGCCTGTGTAAAAAAAGACAAGCTGAGCAGCTCTCCCATCACCATGCTTGGGGAATATCTGCAGGAGAACTCGCTCCCCACTAGACAAATATTGCTCATCTCTTCCTAAGCAAGAGATTCCAAGGTGATTTGGTTTTGCCTTGTTTTTAACTGTCAACATCCTCTTCTAAGGCGCCAGGCATTCTTAGTTTGCTGCTCTAAGGAGTTAGGGTTATGTATCTCCTCATGGCTTGGAAACTGACCCTCCCTGGTCTGTGCATTTCACAGTCATTGGAGGCCTCTGCAAAGGTTTGGCAAATATTTTTTGAGCATTGGCTTCATGGCAGGCCCCTGTCTGGGGATAAATTTCCAGGGATGGAATACAGTGATGAACAAGACAGACATGAGCGATTGGGAGGCTTGCAGTGTAGTGGAAAAGAGGACCATGAATTTAATGCTCACATAAATATGCAGACAGAGAAGTGAAAAGGACAGTCCACAATAAGGGTTTGCCTTACTGGGAAGTAGATAGGGCATGGCAGAATTGAAGAGTTTCCTAAGGAGGGCCCATTTGAGCTGATAACTGTGTGCTGAACAAAGAAGTCTGAAATGCCAGTCTGGGAAGGAAGCAGGGATAACCACTAGCTCAAGAGAGGCACTTTTTTTTCTTTTTTTTTTTTTTTGAGACAGAGTCTTGCTGTGTCACCCAGGCTGGAGTGCAATGGCATGATTTCAGCTCACTGCAACCTCTGCCTCCTGGGCTCAAATGATTCTCCTGCCTCAGCCTCCTGAGCAGCTGGGATTACAAGTGCCCACCACCATGCTCAGCTGATTTTTGTATTTTTAGTAGAGACGGGGTTTCACCATGTTGGCCAGGCTGGTCTTGAACTCCTGACCTAGTGATCTGCCCACCTCAGCCTCCCAAAGTACTGGACTACAGGTGTGAGCCACCACGCCCAGCCAAGGGGGCACTTTTTAACTGGGTAGGGACACTGACTTACCCAAGGGCACTCAGCAAGCCAGTGGTAGGGTCACAGCAAAACTCCCTGCAGTCAAGGAAGATGCTTAAACACAAGGACTCTTCGTCAAAAGGAGCTAGGGCTGACACACTGGAATGCCTCATTCCTTAGTCTTTCTGAGTCTTCATTTCCTCACCTGTGGCATGAGAATGATAGCAACCACTCCACACAGGAATATTTTGAGATATAATTAGAATAAGTATGCAATGTGCTTGAGCACAAAAAATATTAGCTGTTACAGTCATTTATTCTTATTTCGTCTTTGGAAGCAACTCTATAAGACTGAAAGAAAGAGAAGTACCACCTCCCCAAATACTGGCCCAAAAATCTTTTATTTTAAAAGACAAAGAAAGAGCCACAGATCACACATGCATGGATCCATTCAAAATATTTATTTATTAAGTTCTTACTAATGGTAAAGGCATTATTTAAGGTGGTAGGAGAGAGAAAGGGGACTGTGAAATAGATTTCCTGCCCTCGGGGTCAGATTACCTGTTTGAGGAGTTCCCAAGTTTCAGAAAATCAGATGTGAGGGCTGAGACATCATCTTGATTATCCCATCATTTCATAGGTGGGGAAACTGAGGCCTGGATCAGGAGGTTGGTGGCTGATCTTAGCCCTCGGGCCATTTTCCCTGCACCTTCTCTCTGTTTTTACCAGCGGCAGCCCTTTGATCTCAGAATCTGCTTTATGCCCCTCACTGAAGAACTGCCTTTGCGGAATTGTCAAAAGATGCTTGTGGAGAGTTGGAAAAAGCCCCCACCCTTATCTTTCTGAGGAGGAGCAGAGGAGGCTGAGCTCTTTCAGCATCCTCTGAAATTTTATCAGTGCGTATCAGAGAGCCACTGCATAGGGAGCTGGCTGGTGCGTGCTTTTTTATGTAGGCTTCTTCTTCCTTTCAATGGACAGTTCTCAGTGCTTCCCAGACTCCTCCTTCTAATTCAGGTATCCTGTCCCCATTGCAAACCTGCCCAGGATGGGGTACGTTTCTGGGCTCAATTATCACAAGTTGTCCTTGCCTATATGGATATACTGCATTATTTCATCTCTTAAAGGGGGCATGATGTGGCCAGGCATGGTGGCTCACGCCTGTAATCCCAGCCCTTTGGGAGGTTGAGGCGGGTGGATCACAAGGCCAAGAGATCGAGACCAGCCTGGCCAACATGGTGAAACCCTGTTTCTACTGAAAATACAAAAAATTAGCTGGGTGTGGTGGCGTGCACCTGTAGTCCCAGCTACTCAGGAGGCTGAGGCAGGAGAATCACTTGAACCCAGGAGGCAGAGGTTGCAGTGAGCCGAGATTGCACCACCGCACTCCAGCCTGGCAACAGAGCAAGACTCCATCTAAAAAAAAAAAAAAAGTTGGGAGGTGGGGCATGGTGCAAGGCAAAGCTGCTTGAGGTGTATCCTGGTACAAAAATGGTTTCTCTGAGACAATAATCTCCATTTTCCACAGCCAGACTTGACTTAGCTGATGGTTTGGAGGTGCTGCTTGCCAATCCTTGGACTGAAGTTTTTAATTTCCAACAGCATGGCAAACAACATTTTATTTCTGGTTTATTTACAGATACATTTTCAGGGGCTGGACTGAGTGGGAGCGTTCTTGGACTAGGGTGGTAGGGATGCCGGGTCAGCCCACAAAGCAACATGGCCTGGGCATGAGGCTTCTCTGAAGAACGCATTTGGGGAGCCACCCAGGCCCCTGCCTCTGGGACAGTGTTTGGGGACCCTATTCAAATGGCGGAGAGCTGCCTTCCTAGCCTGTGATGCAAGGCTCTGCTGCCAGTGCTATGTATCAACAACTACCCTGGAAGTCCTTCCTGTAATTAACCCCAGCTTCAGGGACACTGCTATTTGCACATCAGTTCTCTCCTAAACACCGCCTCTTTGCCATTATTCCCTAGGAAGATGAGTCACTGAAGGAGATGGCTTATCTCAACTCAGTTTTTAACTAGCTTTTGTCTCCTGGAGATATTTGTCGATGATACTTAACAACATTTCAAACCAGGCACTTCTTTTCCCCTTCAACTTTTTTTTTAATAACATTTTCTTCCTTTCTGCTTTTATATTTCTTCCTCTCCCTCCCATAGCCTTTCATGCATTCAGGATGTAAGAGAACCGGCATCAAAGCCCAGAGCCCTGCTGAATCCTCCTCCCCTATAGTAAGCGTGCCCTTTTCCTGTCTGATCATTGACTCATAACCACAGAACGTCCCAGGCACAGGATGGGGGAGAGGGAGGGCTGAATAAGAGGTACCACGGTCTGCAGCCCCAGAGGAGACAAAAGTTGAGGATTTGTTGAACAGGACTTTTTTTCCCCTTTGGGGATAATTGTCCAGGACACTCTGAGCTGACCCAGTCCAGGGTGGGAGTGAGGGGAAGCCAGCACCCCACCCCCAACCCATCAACTGGTGACTCCAACCAAGTGAGACTCCTGTGGTCAGGCTCCAAGTCCCAAGGCCAGGCCAGTCACCAGCCCATGCCCTGGGCACCACCAAGACTTTTGATTGCATTATTTAATTTTAAAGAGATTGAACATATGTGTATTGATTGCATACTATGTGCTGGACTTTGAGCTGACAGGTGACAAATACAGGCAGGCTTAAACGCTGTGGAAGTTACTGTCCCCCTCCTACAAGACAGAATTTCCAGGCCAGAGACAGCCCCGAGCTCCCCACACTGCCCAGGTCCTCCCTCCCCTTCTGTCTCCATTAGGGATGAATGGGGATCACATCTGTTTCTTTTCTTGCTGAAAAGCAAGAGGCAAAGACCCTAAAATGGGGACAGACCAGCACACACCTGGGTGGTCTTTAAATTAGAGAAAAGGATTTTTTTGCCAGAGTTCCTCATTTAAGCCTGCATTCTCAATATTTTTCATTGCTCTCTGCCCCTGTAGGTTGGGAGAAATGAGGTGGGTCGGGGGCAGGACTCTGGTGGGGGCATAACAGGGTACCCCCCCGCATTGTCCCATTCCTCTCTGGGGTTCACGCATGTTTCTCTCCACCATGTTTCCAGCACTGGATTCCTCACTGGGCTGGCCAAGCATGGTCCAGGCACTAACAGCTCAGTGGGAGAGGCAGCGGCGGGTGCAGGCCATGAGGCTGCAACCATTTCCATTTTAGTATACATGTGCAGTTTAGGTCCTTTGGAAAATTAAATTGTTAATGTTCTGGCTTGGTATTATTTTTATTTTAAGTGTAGAGTCTCAAGCCAGACTCTCTGGGGCAAAATCTCTGTGTTATAGCTGCCTGGCTTTGGAAACTGTGCCTCAGTTTTCTTGTCTATAAAATGGAGATAATAAAAGTCCGACCTCCTTGGGCTGTGAGCAACATTTGAGACTAGGTGTGAGCTCTGGTTTGTTGCTGGGGGCAGCCTCTAATGGTCTGCTTCTGCCTTCCTGCCCCACATTGAGACACCTTCCTCAGAGAGTTGTTGTGTCTCATTGAGAAACCTGGACATCTGTGGTTTCACTCAGCACTTTCTTTGTTAATTAAAATCACAAAGTAAGAAATAAGATGCCCAGGGTGAGTCACTCTCCTGGAGTCACCAGGCTCGGGCTTTCTCAGGGTAGTGGTGTTAGAGAAGTATACACCAAATATTATATGGGGATGCAATTATACTAACAAATTATTTGGTTGCCTGAAATTCAAGTTTAACTGGGGCATCCCATATTTTTATTTACAAAATCTTACAATCCTATCTGAGGATTTTTTTTTTAAACTGGTGATTTGGTCCGATGCCCAGTATCCCTAAAGTAGACACAGGCCAGATGGGCTTCTAGAAATGGCTCTTCTCACCCGGCATGGAGGCTCACATCTGTAACTCTAACACTTTGGGAGGCGGAGATGGGAGAATTGCTTGAGCCCAGAAGTTCAAGACCAGCCTGGGGTACATGGTGAAACCCTGTAGCTACACAAATAAATAAATAAGCTGTGTGTGGTGGCATAGTGGTTCATGCCTGTAGTTCCAGCTACTTAGGAGCCTGAGGTTGGAGGTTGCTTGAGCCCTGGCGGTCAAGGTTGCAGTGAGCCATGATCCTGCCACTGTACTCCAGCCTGGGTGACAGAGTGAGACCCTGTCTCAAACCAAACAAACAAACAAACAAACAGAAAGGCTCTTCTCAGGAATATTTGAAAGCCTTAGAGCAGACGGAAAGAGAAAGGGGTGTCAATGGGAACTCACGTCTTCCCTGTTTCTTATGAAAATAGTGACAGCCATTCTTAAAGTAGCTGCCTATGGCTAAGAGGACAGAAAAATATGCCTTCTGGAGGTGTTGTGGTTTTTTTAGGCTTCAATATAGTTGTGTGTGTGTGTGTGTGTGTGTGTATGTGTGTGTTATTAGGAGAGCAGGGGCCATGGGAGCAATTCAATTAGTGGCTTCTATACATCTGAGGGTCCTATGAACTATGTGATAGGCAACATATATGCCGTTCATTTTTGTATAAACATATACAATGTTTACCCAAACTGCTTGGTATAACAGTTTAACTTTCCAAGTTCTTCTTGCTTAATTAACATATTCTGAGTTACAGAAAATTCTAATTCATTCATGAATGGGAGCGATTAAGTGGAGGAGGAATCAGCTATAAGGCATACTCCTGTGGTTGCTTTTTAGAGTTTGCCAAGGGAACCATTAAGTGAGCCTAGTTAGGCTTTTGTGTTTGTTATGTGAGGGGGGGCTGATAAGAATTATTATTATTACTTATAATTGTGAACAAAAAGTAAAATTACTGTCTTATGGGAGATTTATTGAGTGTTCATTTCATAGACCATGCTTCTTAATGAGCCAAATCGTGATCCACTGGGCTTATAACGTCAATGAGTGTAGCTTGAGTAAGAATGTTGTTTAGAAAACGTGTGTGTGTGTGTGTGTGTGTGTGTGTGTGTGTGTGTGTTTCTTTTTCTTTCTTTCTTTTCCTCCAAAGAGAGTGATGAGAGAAATTTAGTCTCTGGCCACAACAGTGGTGTGATTCAGATCCCAGCATTTATAGAGGCAAATTAGTTGGTGCACCAGCATACTAATGTGGCAGACACCAGCCTGAAGGCAGAGGGGCTAGAGGAGGGGCTTTCTCTAGGAGATGCTTAAAGGTGACCAGAGACCCAAAGACAGACTTTTAGGATGGAACAGCCCCCTGAGTCAAAAGAGGAAGTTTGCTTCGGTCTTTGTATTTTCCAAATGTTCTTTTCTCCTTTCTTTGCAAAACGGCAGATAAATATAATTTTCTATTGTTACATCAGTAAGTTTTGATCCAAGTCCCACAGTGAATAAATAACTATATAAATAAATACATACATAAATGAGGTCATCATTTCTTATTTAGATTTTTAGAGGAGATGGCTAGGAAATACTTTACCAAAATTAAAATTCCAATCTACATTTAGAGTGGCTAGATGATATTTCAGCCACTCCGTGCCTGATCTTTTCAAAAGCATGAGCTCCTTTGCCTCTTAATTCCACAGCTTCTCTTTGAGAGAGAGTGAGGGACGAATTTGTAGGCTGGAGTTTGTGGCATGGCAGGAAATCAGAGACAAACTCTCAGAGATTAAAGGAGCTGGGACTTAAGGGTAAAAATATAATGGAAGCCAGTTTTTGACAGAAACTTTTTCCAATACATGTGCAGCCATCATGGCCAAAAAACATAATTTACATTCACCTCTTTACCTGCAAGACAAGTTACTTTGGTTCCTTTCATTAATTGGATTTACAATGCATCCTTTATGAATTATAAAGTAGTTTGATTTAAAAATACCTCATTTTCCCTTCCATGTAACTTTATCTAGGATTTTCAAATCTCACTTTTGTGAATAAGTCACTCCAGTTTAGCTCCTAGGCATTGCGCAGGATCACCTGCCGCATGGGTTGCCACTCGCCTCACCCTATTTTAAGATTTTTTAAAACTTAATTACGACAAGATGGAATATCCCTCTGTCAACAAGTCTTGGTAACTGCTGGCTCACTCTTTTTCTTCTTACCCAGGGCCCATCCTTTTTCTTCTCAAATCCTATTTAATTTTTGCATTTCCTGATTTTTATCTTGGGAAAACAAAAACCAGCTGCAGTCAGTTAAGGAAACAGCTGAGGGATGCTGGCAGGTAGAGGCCTTGCAGATTTTCAGCCTGAAATTGTGAAAACTGAAATGCAGCGTGTCAGGTTGCAGTGACTTCTGCACCTCCCCAGTTCTCTCCCTTCTGCCTGCAAACACACACACGCGCGCACACACACATACACACACACATGCATACGCATACACTCATGCACACACAAGTCCCTTTTTCTCGCCTCTTGCCTGGCGTCCCCCTCACTTTCTACAGCTGTATTTCTAATCAGCAGAAGATACATCTTGCTTGGAGTCAACACTCCTTTTCTCTGCGCATTCTTAACCTTCTATCTTATGCATGGATCACTGGTTAGCTTAGAAATGCGCAGACACAAAGGGGGAGCTGACATGTGAGGTTTGACGGCCATAATGGCTGTTTATAAGCCTAATCCATCACGTTTAGTGGACACCTCCATTTTTGTCCCTCTGAAAAGGTATAAATAATAAAATGGGATAGCTCCAGCTCAGAGGTGCCTTGGTAAATATTTTAACTATTTACAAAATAGCACCAATAACAAAAGAAGCATCTGTACCCATGCACAGAGGGGCCCCCGGTCATTAAGAGAGACCCAGATGGTTCCTACCATTCAAACAACAATAACATTTCTTGATGACAGAGCTTTTGTAACATGGTTTACATTTTTTTTCCATATCACATTGTGATATTCTGAATTTGCACTGCTTTTTCTTCATTGCCCCCAGCAACCCTTCTAAAGAAAATCTCCCCAAATAGCCTTTGCCCCTAAGAAAAGAACAAGGCCTTGGAGGAACATGGCAAATGTGTGATTCAAAGCCCAATTCAGAGACAATTCTGAACAGTTATAAACCAGGCCTTCTTAAAGTCCAAATATTGACATGGGCCCACTTATTCTGTGGCCCAGTTCAAGGTTAGCTTTCGGTAAACACCCCCCTTAAGTCCCGAATGAGCTGTGCCATCTCAGACTGAGTGCATGAATCTGCCGCACTGGGTTTGATTTTACTCTTTCATGCCAGGCATAAAGAGAGTAAAATGGAGGTCTGGGAACCCCAAAGGAGACTTTTGGAGTTAAATGTCTTTTTTCTTTGAGGACCCTGTGCGTGACTATATGGTTGGGGGCAGAGTGGCAGTGAAGACACTGCGTGGCTTTTGAAATCTTTCAGCAAGTCAGACTTTTTTTGTTCTGTGCGCAACAAAGCAGGGGGTATCTGCAGCCCGGGGCTGCTTAGTAACTGTTGGAAACTTTAGTTCTCTCTGAACCACTGGGAAAGTCAAATTTTTCGTTACACAAAAAACGGCAGAGAGAGAGGCAGAAGAGTGGGGCGGTTAAGGAACCCAGGTTCTCGTGTCAGGGCAGACCTAGTTTTCAGTCTTCTCTCTGTCCACACTAGCTGTGGGGCTCCAGGCAAAAGTTTCTCAGCATTGAGCTTCATTTTCCAACCCATAATACGAGGTCAATAATGAAGTGAGCTTTGGATAATAACTGTGTGAATTACTAGATATGGTATATATTTAAAGCCGAGTGCTAAATGCTCTACAAAGGTTGCTATAATTAATACGAACAAACCTCTCATAGAGAAATAAAATCTTTTAAAACTAGAAGATGAGGCGGACAGCAATTTCACTTCATGCTTTCTAAACAGCACTGGCGTCTGAAATTTCCTATAGGGAAAGGAAACCAAAAAACGAGACCATGTAACCACTCTCTAGGTCTTTCAGAAACCTAAATGTTCATTTTTTTTCCAAAGGCTCTATTTAATTTTGGAGCTCCCACTTTCCAAATTTGGTCAATAAAATTAACAGCCTCCTTTTTAGTGGAACATCACACCTCCAAATGAGCTCAAGCTGGCCCTGCGATTGTCCTTCGGAATGTGAGGTTTACATTTCACAGCTCCTCGCCAAGTAATGAATGAATCGGAGCTCGTAAACAAACGAGATCCTCGCTTCCCTTGTTCTGTGGCCCCCAACGTGGGGTGTGTGTTACAAAGAAAAATATTTATCCTGTTTGTGTGGCGCTGGGTCCCTGAATGGTCCACCAATAAAACAACACCATAAAGGGCATTTCACAGCTGAGCTCGCAATTTAATAAACAGATGCAAACAGAAGGCCTTGGAGGTCAACAATTAAAAATAAACCAGCAGAGGTTCTCCTTGGAATTCCGTTTCTCTATAAAGCAGAGAGGACCAGGCCCCCGCAGCTGTGGTGGGGGAGGGTGAGTGGTGGGAAAGAAGGCTTTCCAGCCCGTATGAGCTTGGGGGTGGGGTGGGGTTGTACCTGCTCTAGATGATTATTCCAATAACTCCCTTTCTAGCAAGAAAGGGAAACTTTGAAAGCAGATGACATATAACTCATGGACCCAAAGTGGGCTGGAGAATGATACCTTAACCTTGGTTGACAGCAAATGCTATATCTCAATTTCTCTATTTTATGCACCAAAGACAGTAAATATTGGAGCCAATGATCTGAAACAGTGGGAGAATCAAAGAATCACTTCTGTAGAGTTGGTTTTGGAATGGGTTTTCTACTTAAATTTGGAAATGTGTGTGTGTCTTGTGTCTGTCTGTGTGTATGTGTGTGATGCCTATACAATAGCAAAGCCACTAACTAAAGTCCTGGAAAGTTGGCGAGAGTCACCGTTCTGTACCCATTTCCAACTTCACCTTGTACCCCCTCTTATTGCTGCTCAAACCAAGGCTGTCCACAGCATGGATACACCTGTCAGATCCATAATCTGCCACCTACCTGTGTGACCTCAGGCTTCTGTGTCAATTCCTCCTGGCTCATTTTTCTGTTAAAAAAGGGTAACGACAGTACCTGGTTACTACTGGCTAAAAAGTGTTGGGTGAAGATTCAGTGAGGTTGTTCACGTGAGTCTCTTAAGACAGTATTTGCACAAAGCAAGGACTCGAAAATGTTAGTTCTTGTTCACAGTATCTGTGCAGTCTGAGAAGGTTACGCTTTCTTTCAGGGACCTCTGCTGGGGCAGATTACACTCACTTGATTTGCGAATGTGTTGAAGGCCTATAAGCCTCCCATTCCCACACACTCACCCACACAAAATCCCAAATGCCTACACTGCTAATGCCTGCAATCTTTCCACATTCCTCCACTGATAAGACGGTGAAGGATGGGTTTAAAGATAACCATTTGCTATGGGGATAGACCTCCCACCAGGACCCAGGTCCATCTGATAGGCAGAATGGAAAGGAGCCCAGTATCATGTGGCTGGTTGCGCCAAGCTCCTCTCCCACATCAGCTTAAGGACCCCAGAGCCACGTTGTGAGTCCCCAGTGTAAATAACCACTATGATGGGTCTGACTTATGCAGTTAGGAGCTTCCCAGCCCCATCTTCTTCACACAGGGGTGGTAGAGGCTGTGACCTCAGCAAATCACTCAAGTACTGGGTATTCAAGTGAATCCCAGTTATACCAGGGAGCTCCCACAGAGGCTTGAGGCAGAGAGAGTGATGTGGCTCACATTTGGAGACTTGGGTGTTTTATGCATATCCAGACCCTCTTTCTTCTTGAATTAGTTACTTGGGAATCACATGGGCTTGGGTTTGAGTTCTTCCACTGCCTTCTTTCTCTCCTTGAAACAAACAAGAGAAAATGCCAAGAGCATTGCTAGGAAACAGGATTCAGAACTAAAGTCTTCCTTTCATCTACATGTCAAATACCAATATTTTCCACCTCTGCATCTAGTTTACTAATATTTAAAAAATTCTCTTCTACACATCTTTTTATCTACCCCTTGGGACGAGCTCGAGTGAGACTATTATCATCCTACTGTCACCAAAGACAAAACAGATATTCAGAGGTGATGTAGCCCCCAGTACATCAGGGTTAAATAGCAAAATTGGATGTTTTTACCCATAACTTTTATTTTTGCATTTTGATTTAGATCTGAACTTTAAAAATCCAACTGTGGCAAAGTATAACACTCATACAGAAAAATGCCTGAAATATAAAAGCACGGTTTAACAAATAATTGTGAAGTCACTGCCTGAATAACCATCATTCAGGTCTAGATATAGATATCTCTATCTTCCCTGGGTTCTCCTTTCTAAACAGGACACCCAGAATAGATAGAGGCACTGTTTTGACTTTTCTGGTAACCATTTTTCTTCCTTTATTTTATGATCTTACTGCTTATATTAGTTTTCATAAACAATGTAGTTTAGTTTTGCTTCTTTTTGAATGTTACAGGAATAGATGCATATGGTATTTATTTATTTGAATTTGCCTGTCTTTTGGCAATCATAGGTTTGTAAGATTCATCCATGTTGCTGAATGATACTGTGGTGCATTCATTTTCTTTATTGCTATAATGTATTTCACTTTGAGACTGCAACCTGATTTATATCCCCATTCTAAGTTGGTTGACTCTAAGCCATCTTCAGTTATGTTTTGTGATGTAGATTGCAAAAATTGTTCACACCTCTATACGTCTAGGCCCTCTGCCAAGCTTTGGGTAATTTTTAAAAAAGGCAATAGTTTGACAGGTGTGAACTATGGCTTCAAGAGGGCTTATATGTCTCTACCTCCTCTCTTGCAGCTCTCTCATCACCATGAGAAAAATAAGGGCAGGCTAGGCTGCCAGCGCAAGGAGGAGGGTGAGAGATGTGGAAAGAAGTAAACCTGAAAATAAATGAACAAGGCCAACCAAGATCTGCTGAACCCTATAAATACGTAAGCGGTAAATGCTTATTGTTATATAATGCTAATATCTTGTAATTGTTTGTTATGCATTATTTAGCAATAGATAAGTGATACAAGCTGCTCTAAGAAATATGCTTACACATCTTCTTGTCAAAATTAGAAATTTGCACAATTTTCCAACTGCAAAGCCTAAGTTACTTCCATCACATTGGACCTTAGCCTTTATCAAGTAGTTTTGGTGAAAAATGTCAGCTAGAATTTAAAATCGTACCCCCAGCATATGAATCTAACTGTGAATAATCCACCCATGGCTCTCATAGAAGTCCCTCTGTACCTTTTTTGTTTATTTGTTTTAGTTTTTATTTTTATTATTTATTTTACATTAGAAAATTTCAGCTTTCAAAATCTCTTCTTTGATTATCTGGGAATACTTCTTGCCCATGGCATTCTCTTTCTTTGTTTTTATTTCTGAGTTCTTCAACAGAAATTGTGGAATGATCATAGAGTAAAGGTGTCTAGGTCAGATTAATACATGTTCTGAATCAACTGGAATCCAGAGGTCTCAAACTGATGGCCCTGATGACAAATTAAGTCCACAGACATACTTTACTTAGTCTATAGAGTTTAAAAGTTGTTACTGAGACAACAAGAAAAACAAAACAAAAACAGACATTTTACATAAAAACAGATTTTACACTTTTCTAGAATTATCATAATATTTATTAACATTGGGCCTGTAGTCCTACTTGGTAAATATTGAACGAAGCTGAGGAGTGGTTTTCCCTTTTGAGGGGTATGTGGCCTCTAATTTGCCACAATCCCCTTATCTCCTATTCCGCCCAATACTGGGACTGGGTACTGGTTGCCATTTATAATAGTCCATATGATTCTGTTTTCTAATGAAAGAGAACTATTTCTCTAACAAAAATTGGGGCAAAAAAGGGGGATTAAAAGGGAATTCTAATTTATTTTTCTGGCCACTATGGCTCTAATAAGTCTTTACTCAATGATTAATGTGCATTAGATCTCGTCACTTACTTCTCAGCTCCAGAACCTTCAATGGCTCCCCACTGTCTATGGGATAAAGTCCAACTCCCTTATGTGGCATTCAGTCCCTTCACAGTCAACTTCCTTGACAGCCACATCTCCTACCCTATACATCTGTGAATTGTAGGCTCTAGAAACCCTGTACAAATCAGAACTTCTGGATCTTCTGCTCACTTCACATCCTCTTCTTTTGGTCTGTTTGCCCAGGCTGGAGTACAGTGGCATGATCTCGGCTCACTGCAACCTCCCCCTCCCGGGTTCACACCATTCTCCTGCCTCAGTCTACCAAGTAGTTGGGACTACAGGTGCCTGCCACAATTCCCGGATAATTTTTTTCCTTTTTTTGTATTTTTAGTAGAGACGGGGTTTCACTGTGTTAGCCAGGATGGTCTCGATCTTCTGACCTCGTGATCCACCCGCCTCGGCCTCCCAGAGTGCTGGGATTACAGGTGTGAGCCACCGCACCCATCCTGTCCATTATTCTTAAACGTCATTTATCTGCTGTTGTATTAAAATGCTGCTCATCTGCTAAGGTTAAACTAAATTCTTCTTCCTCTCTGGGCCCCACTGTCAGTGTTAATTGTCGGAGTTCTTTTGAATCTTGAGCTCTGTGTATCATCATTTTGAAACATAATTCCTTCTGTCCTGATGTATGAGCATGCACAAATGAATAGTGAACATCTTACTGAGTATTCACTCCATGCCAGGCACTATGTTACATGCTTCATGTGTGGTTCACTAAGCCTCACAACTGGTACCTGAGATGATGTGAGCCTTATCCCCATTTTACAGATGAGGACACTGTGATCAGAGAGGCACAAGGTCACAGCCATGTAAATCATACAGCTGGGATTTTCATCCTGGTGTTCTGGCTTTAGACCCCAAGTTTCTAACCACTATGCCACAATCCCTCTCTAGTGTCTCTTACCAGATGACCAGATAAGTAATTGCCTATTATTTATTTCTTTTTCTCAGTCCATCTTAGCATGATGCATTAAACATAATATGTATGCAAAGAATGTTAAATGAATGACGGAATCAGTGACAGAAAACTGTGATGATCTGTTTACCATCTTCCTTTGCTTTTGAGAAACTGATGGCGCTACATTACCCCCAAAGCCTTTGTTGGTGGTTTGGGGTTGGACATCTGAGACAACCTACCCAATCATCATTCTCTAATCTCCTGGTAACACTGGGTAACTCCAGGATTGGCAAATAGTTGGTGCTGAACCAATTGGAATTCTTCCCTTGAACTTTACAGACTGTAAGCAGGAGAAATCAGCAGTCTGTCATCCGTGGTTAGAGCTGTAAGACCTAAAACCTGGACGTTCTTGAAGACCATGTTTCCTGCCATGCCAAGAAAACCAGGCTGCAGACAGTGAAAATTAACAGAATAGGCAAAGAGAAATAGAAAGGTAAAACACAGAGAGATTCTGAATAGCATCCACTATTTGTTACTGTTATTGTTCCTAAAATTAGTCACCTTCCTTGACATTCCCCCAGCTTGAATGGTCAATCTTTCCTGGAATCCACGAGCCAGTATTTTCCCTTTTGTAGCTAAAGTGGTGTGAATAGCATTTCTGATACTTCCAACTGAAACAGCCCTGATGGATATAGGCAGAAGTAGAATGTGGACTGAAAAGGGATTCTGTGTCACAAAGCTATTTTCTTGAACCTCTGTGCCACCCATTAAAGAGATATAAAGAGAACACATTCTGTGTTTATTATTTATTTAGGACTGCAAACGCATTATCCTTGGAAGTTAAATAAATGGATAAGACACTTGCTGTCCATGAACTCATAGCTACAAATAATTAGAATTTTTATTCACTTCTGTACACTCAGCACCTGGCTCCAGGACTGGCACCTAGCAAGATTTCATAAGTATTTGTTGAATAAATAGATAGGATACCCAGGATTATGGAATGATAGCAAGGTGATGGGGGCATAGAAGAGGAAAATAAAATTCTACTAGGGTAGGAGAGTTGTAAATGGTTCAGGCAAAGTTCCCCAAAGAGGAGGATGTATTTGAACTGAGCCTTGAAGGATGTGTAGGTGTTTAGTAGGTAGAAAAGGAAACATGCAAGACGGAAGTTCAGACAGAGGGAAATATACATGTTATAGCCAGAGGCATAAAGTGCACGGCAAATTACAGAAACCAAAGTTCCAGGAGGCTGGCTGATGGTGTTAGAGAAGGCTGGGAGAAGGGGCTGGTGAGGTAGGCTGGGCTGAGTAATGCAAATAGAGAAGATTAAATATTTACATAAGCTCATTAGTGACAATGTGTGCATGTGACAAGTATGATTTAGTTTAAACCTCCAAGGTTTAAATACCCTAAGTGCAACTGTATCTTTTTTGAAATTCATTACATGACATTAATAGGCTCTTTCTCAGCTTCAGTAGTGATCATATTCATGATTTACTCCATCTCTCATCCCTGGGGTCAGGGACAGTCCATTCTGACCTCCATCCGTCCTCTCACACCTTCCTCAGGAACTAAACATTGGCCGCTAGAAAGCTCCCATTTTTTGTCCCATATAAAGGGAAGCAATTTTGCTTCTAAAGATTTAACAGGAGAATTCCCATTATTATGAGAATCAATAAAAAAAGGGATTCTGTGTCACAAAAGCTATTTTCTTGATTTTCTGTGTCACCCATTAAATGCAATTCTATAAGAATCCTTTTTTTTTTTTAAACAAAAAGAGGTTTAATTGGACTTACAGTTCCACATGGCTGGGAAGAATTCTTTAAGAACTTGTCAGGAGTCCTATAACATGGTAGGTATATCCTAGAAATATCTAAGCTCTCAAATTCCTCAAGGACAGAATCTCTTCTTCTAAAGACCTTACAGCCTTATTGAGGGGACAAGATCAATATCATTAAGTTTGATAGAATCACTTGCTTTTCCAAAATGTTTGTAAAATGTTTATAGATTACAAAGCACTTCTGTGTGTCTTCTTACATTTGACCTTATCTGTGCAGTGGATGGTAATTAATGATTATTATGATATATTAGGCAGTGGCTAAGGGCTCTGAAGAAAGGCAACACTGAATCCATACCCTAAATTTCAATTAGGCCGAGGAGGGCAGATCACGAGTTCAATTAGGTTAAGTTTTGCTGCAGTATCAAAGAACCCTGAGATCTCAGTGATTTAAGACAACAAAAGTTTATTTCTCATCTATGCCTATGTCCACTGAGGGGTGGTTAGGTGCTCTTCTTCTCACAGCCTTGTACCAGAATTCAGGATGATGGAGCAACCACCTTCTCACGTGTTGCTTTCAGAGGGGAAGACAGCTCTGGAGGGTCTCAAATCCGCAATTAAATGCTTTCTTTCAGAGGTAGCATACTACCCACTCACAACTCCTTGGTCAGAACCAGGTTCATGACCCCAGCAAAATACTACCAGGTGGACCACTTGCTGAAGATAAGCAAGTCATACTTTTTGCTATGAGGTTTCTAGTAGTTAATGCAAAGAGGTTTATCTTTATGCTGTCTGTATTTTTTTGGTGTCTATCAAACTTAAAAACAAAACATTGCTCAAGATAAGTAGATGAGTAGTTACTCCTGGGGCTGAACAAAATTTGAAACCTGCTGAAAACAGATTCCTGAACCTCACCCCCAGAAAGTTTGACTAATAAGACTAAACAGAGATAGTTCAAGTGGAACATACCAGGACAGATGAATTTATTATTGAAATATTAAAATACTTCTTTATTTGTTGGTAAATACCAAATGTCACAGTCCCTCTGACATTTGTCTACCCTCCAGTCCCACTAACTGTCCTGACCCCAACCCAGGACTCCTTGCAATTCTCCAGTGAATAAAAGAGTAATGTTTTGCTGAGTTGAGTGTTCTGAAGCCCCTTATTGCTGCAGGTGACATACTGCCTGATTCGTATGACTCCCCCCAGTTGTTGAATGTTTCATATATGACCTTTGATGGGGAGGGCTGGGAACCGGAATTATATCAAGTACCCCAGAAAATTCTGATTCAGAAGAATATTGGCCATCCTTTTAGAAACACTGATCACACAACCTGATGAGCCAACCATGATAGTGACTGTATCAGAAATTCCCTAATGGAAGTGTGCAGAGGATGCAACAAGACCACAGGAACAGGACCCAGGCTTCTGGCAATGGGGGACTGGCATTGTTGGGGAATCTTCCAAGGAGAGATAAAGTTAGCAACACCTTGAAAGCCACTCCAGAGCTCTCTAAGACCCAAAATAAGTAGAAGCCTTGGTTGACTTTCTCAGCTTAGCAAGAGATGCAAAATATCTATATATGCAACGTCCAGAGATTATGAAGCAGCTGCCTGCAGAATGAATACAAAATGGCAGCGTGGAGGAGGTATAGAGAGGGACTTCCTTCCAGCTGGTCCAGGAACAGAAAAGGACAATTTCCCCATTTCTGCATCTACCCAACATGCATCACATATGAGAATGTCAGAAGTGCATATTGGAGTACTGTGGGAATTAATGGAATTTGGAATGGTGTGGTGGATTAAAGAATTCCTTTTCAGAAATAGTTGCTCTCTCTCTCTTATACTTCCATGAGAGAAATATACTTCATTTTTGATCTTGGGTATGATCACCTGACTTGTATCTGCCAATGGAATCTTAGCAGACGGGATGTGGCAGGGACTTGAAATGTGTTTGTGTGCTTGGTTGTATAAGTGTACTCTGGTGTGTCCTCCATGACTATGAGAAAGACATGCCCAGACTAGCTCACTGACACCACAAGGAGGATGAGATCAGCTGCCTCATGGGCATGTGAACTAAGTAAGTGCCTATTGTTCTATGCCACTGAGATTTTGTGTTTGTGCGTTGTACAGCTACTGCTAACTACTGGGGAGGTTTATAACAAAATTGTGTCAAGGGCCAGAGAAGTCCACCCAAATGAGACTGAATTGTCTTTCCTATTTTGCTCCAAGGTAGCTGAGCTATTGGCCATGGTTCCAGGATATTCTCTTAAGAATAGAAGAAGGCCAAGCAAATAAAAGCCAAGGGATTTAAAGTCTACAGATAATCATAATATTGTATTTTCACAATTTATGGAGCACTATGGTGTACCAGGTTCGTGGTGTGTGCTTTAGATGGATTAGTTCATTAAATTAAAGTTCCTCTGTCAATCAGTCCCATGTCCGTATACTCTTTTCGGAAAAATTGTGGGGCCCACAGGGGGACCTGTATGCAGACTGCGCATTTTTTGGTTCCTGTCTAGACCATTCAACCCAAAACTGAAATAGCTGAACTGAACAAGGGGCTGAGCTTTAGGGAGTTGAAGTAGGGGAAAGGCAAGGCTGGGGAGCTTAAAAATAGTGGGAAAAACATTGCATAAGGCCTTGGAGATAAACAATGCAGTAGTTTCAGTGTCTCTTCCCATGACTCAAATCACGGGTCTTGGGAGTGTGTGATGCTTGTTTCTGGGTCATGAAAAGGTATTCACTTTCCAGTAAAAGGAAGGGTCCCACACCAAATAGCCTCTGGCGGTCTTATTAAAAGGCCACGGTGGGGTCAGCGTGGGACTCTATCAGTATCAGAAGAAGAATGTAATAGTGGCTGACATGCCCTGAGCTTTAATGTTGTGCAAGTCAGAGGAATAAATGCTTTGTATGAATTATCTGCCTTAACGCTCGGAAGCATGTGTCCAAACTCTCCCAATTGTACCCACAAGGAAACTGGGGTTTGGGGACGCTGAATCACTTCCCAAGTAAATAACTCAAAGGGCTGGAGTTAGGATTTAGAATCAGAATCTGTGATTTTCTAAATTTCATGCCATCATTAACAATTAATTATATATTGAGAAATGATGCATTTGAAGTCTAAAACTCAAAATTCAATTTCAATCATGTGCTTCTAAGGAATAAGGCAGGGGAAAGGTTAGACTCTCAGCAGAAAGTAAAGCTGCTGTTAGCCTCTTAGATTGTACATTTTACCTCATTTCAACTCACATTGAGAATCTCCAAGTCACTGGTGACTGGACAAAGTCTCACGTGAGCCAATTGTTTTAGGACAAGGCAAAAAAGTAGAGAAGCCTTTATGAGTTACATGAGCCCCCAGTTCCTACAGACTCCAGAGCTCCTGAGACATGAGGTATGGTGAGAGCTTTGAGGTGGCTCTGAGGCACAGGCTGGTGTGAAAACCCAACCTCCCCATTTTAGCAAGAGAGAAACTGAAGTCCGAGAGGGGAAGTGATTTTCCCAAGAGTCCGCAGTGAGAGAGCGGGAACCCCCACCCCGAACCCAGGTGGTCCCACACCCAGAGCAGTGCTCTTTCTCCTGTGTCATGCCCCCTTACCTTGTCAGGTCTGGGGTGTGACTCATGGGAGGAGCTGATTTGGGACTCTGCCATCCCAGGGCTCTTTCTCACAAATGTCACTTTCTGGTTTTGAGGAATGAAGGAAGAGTTCCAAAAAATTAAGTGTTTGTAAACTAGTGCACTTTGTATTGTTTCTTAAGTTGACCCCTCTTGGATTTCCTCTCTTGATATTTTTAAATTTTTTTTGGTCAGAAGAAGGGGTTTGCTTGCCACCTCCATCATGACAATATCAGAGCTAGAGCTAACGAGAACATTTAGGGGTGCATCAGCCTGAGAAAGTGAGAAAAAGGAATCCCTGATAGCCATAGCCATATGATTCTTGGTAGAGAAAATTATCAATATGTTCTTCCACATGTAAGCTTGGCTTTATTATCTTTGTGAGTGTGCACATGCGTGATGGTGCTAGAGTCCACCATTCATTGAACATGTGGTTTCTGAGTAGCTATAAGACATTGCAGGGATTTAAGAGATGGCAACGTCGTCCCATCCAACATGTCCATCAAGACTGGCTTCATCAAGGCTCTTTGCTTACAAGGAACAGAAATCTGCTCAGAACAGCTCAAGCATACCAGAGATATTTTTGAAAGGATGCAAGGATATCTCCCAGAAGGAGATATGAATGGGAATCAGGACTGGGCAAGTCAGGAACAGAAGTACTTCAGTGTTTCTCCTAGGGTGTTGTGGTGTCTCAATTTTGTTTCTCTCTATGAAATCTCTATGAATCTCCTTTTGTGGATTCAGTCAGTTTTCTCAATTGCAAATAAGAAATTCTAGCTGTACAGGAGGGGACAACGGTGTTCCCATTGTTTTTAATCCAGTCCAAACTGACTATATGTGGGTCACCTTCCACGTAAAGCAGTGAATGGTGTTTCTTGTAGCTTCTTTCACATTTTGACATTTCACAGGATTTTATTCTATGCTGCCTTCTACCCTTTGCAGGTGCTCAGGCAAGCTGCCCTTGCCATAGGAGAGAAAACTGGAGAGATTAGAATAACGGGTTGAGTGTGTTTCATTTCAGGAGAAAAGTTAATTTGACGATGAGCAGGTTATTTGGAAAGCAACAGCTTTGCAGATGGGAAGTCTTGTGACTACCCTCCTGTAATCTTAACACTTTTTTTTGATAGTGCGCTACGTGCCAGAAAAGACTAAGCATTTTCCACATGTCAGCTCATTTAATCTGCAGAAAAATCCAATGTAGCAGTGTAATTATGGCCTCCCATTTACAATCCAGGAACCTGAGGTACAGGGAGTTTAACCTAATTTGTCCAAAATAGAACTGGGATTTGAACCCGGGCAGTCTAGCTTCAGAGCCTGCATTCTTAACCACTATTCTAGTCAGTATCCTGTGATAGCATTAGTGCATTAACTATTTGCCTGGAATACAGTAGTACCTTGTGCATACAATATTATTTCATTAAATCTACACAAAAACCATGACTTGTAGTCAGAACCAACCTGCATGTGAAGAAACTGAAGCTCAGTGAGGTTAAATGGCTGGAATCAAGTCACGAAGTGAATAGTGACAGGCCAGGTATGTGGGCTCAAGTCTAGCTGGACATAGTCTGGGCTTCTGCCCCCAGCTTAATACTGAAAAACAGAGGCTAGAGTGTTAGCCTAGAAAATGCTAGGGAATAAATAGTTAAAAACAAAAAATGTTTTTAGGGCATTAAAAGAGGAAAGCAAAGATTAGTTTGAAGCAATTTTCTGTGTGGAGGAGAACTTAACGAAACAAAACCCTTCTTCTCCTCTTCGACCTATCCAAAGCAGATGCATCAGAGAGAAAATCTGGTAGATATTGAGCAACTTACAAGTTCCCAACAGCTGAAAAGGGTTCAGCTTCAAACTGATCATTGTCAGAAAAGCAAATACAAATTTGCCCCAGAGCAAAATAACTTTCAGAAAATCAGGAAGAGTAAATGGACAGTAAGTTATGAACATAAAACTCTTTGTACTCGGCCCAATTAACCCTAACCCAAGGCAACCCTGTGCCCCTAAGCTATTCATTTAAGGGTTTTACGATTTATAGGCAGCCTTACTCAGGGGAGGTCCCGCCTGGCTCTGATTTCAGTTTTCACGGCAGCACATGTGTAATCCTGCTGCGTCACAGCTCCATGACTCAGAAAATGCACGTTTCTCAGGATGGAAAGAGACCCGGGGAGTCCTCAGTGGGTGAGCTCTGCTTCCCTCCAAGTGGCAGGAGAGAGCCCTGTGGAAGAGTGTGCACTGAGACCTGCCAATTTCCACTCCGGGGATGAATAAGGGAGCTGGGGCTGCTCCACCCATGGCTCCCATTACACATTATATGCATATTTCAAAATATCACATGTACCCCATAAATATGTACAATGATTATGTGTCTGTATTTGGCAGTATGTTGTGAGTGTCAGACACAGTGATAAATTAAACCCAAAGTCACAACTGCTACCTTCAAAGAGTGGCAGTCTATTATTTGATTAGATAAGAGCACCTAAGACTGCTACACAGACACAGAGGCCAGGACAATGAGAGATGTGCATCTCCAGATCATTCTTTAGCCAAAGTGTCATTGTGGCCACAGAAGATGTGGCTGAGTGGAGGAGCAGAGAGAAAGGGTTCCTAAAGGCTAAGTAGAGGCCTGGAGATAGGATGGAGGCTGGAGAAGAATAGCTTGAGGAGCTTAGACCACATCAGATGCCTCATGCCTGCTCTGGTGGGGGCTGATGCTGAAAAGGCAGGTGTTAACCAGAACATAGGAAACTTTGAAATCAAAGCAGAAACATTCAGACCTGATGGGTTGGGCAAGAGGGAGTCGTGGTAGGCTCTTGAGAAAGAAAGAGAGTCAAGAGCTTTCAATTTTCATTTTACTCACAATGTTGTACTGTATAGGCTTATTTCTAGGTTTTGCCAATTGCGTCAAAGGGAAGAGATCAGTTCGCTGAGAGTGCTCACCTCTGTTGGAGGAGTAGAGGAGATGGGGAGGGGGGAGGATGAGGGTAGGGTGCTGGAAATCAGGGTGCTACTTGTAAGCTGTCATTGGAATCAAGTAAGGACGGGCAAGGACATCAGGCAGTGAGAAGGAGGCTTCAAAAGAAAATTGCCAGGTCGTGGGGAAAGCAGAGTGCCCAAGAGGACCATGTCTAGTTTTCTGGCTTAAGATTTAGAGAAATCTGACCCTCTGGTTTTAGTCTCCTGGAGCTTTGCCTGAATGCATTAAATAATCAAAATGGAAAAGAGAAAAAGAAAGAGGGGAGAAAAGAAAGAGTAGAGATGGAGAGAAGGGCAGAAGAGAGAGGGGTAAGAGTGGAGGAGAAGGGAGGGGAGGGGAAGGAAGAAGGCTGGCAGGAAAGAGACAGAAACATCACACCTGCAGACACCTCCCAGTCAGTAAATCAATCATGCAGAAACAAGCCACGCATAGAAGTGTGTGGAAGAAGATGGTCAAAAATGAACTCCATGTATCCCTCATTTCCCTGGGTCATCACCCAACACTCTAAAGTTCAGCAGAGACTATCCAATGACTACAAGGAAGAAAAGAAACCAGCCTGTGTGTCTGAGTCAAGAGCTTTCAATTTTCATTTTACGCACAATGTTGTGCCGTATAGGCTTATTTCTGAGTTTTTCCAATTGCATGCCTTCTGATATCTCAGGCCAGCAACTTGACTTCATATGCACATCTTCTTTCTGCTATCGGCTTATGCAAACATGATTGAAAAGCTGAGCGTGATGGTTAATTTTTATATTTCAATTTGACTGAGCCATGGGGTGCCCAGACATTTGGCCAAACATTATTGTGTGTGTCTGTGAGAGTGTTTCTGGATGAGACTGACATTTGAATCGGTAGACTGAGTAAAGCAGGTTGCCCTCCCCATTGTGGGCACATCTCATCCAGACAATTGAAAATCTGAATAGAACAAAAAAGTTGAGTAAGAGGGTACCCCTTCTGCCTGACTGCTTGAGCTGGAACTTGCGTCTTTTCCAGCTTTCAGACTCAGACTGAAATTTTGGCCCTTCTTGAATCTCAAGCTTGTCAGCTTTCAGAGTTTAGCTACATATCAGCTCTCTTGAGTCTCCGGTTTTCTGACTACAGATCTTGGAACTGATTTCTTCGCCTCCATAATAGAGTAAGCCGTGGATAGTCATAGGCTGCCTAATGAAGTTTTGGTTAATGATGTATTGCATGTACAATGGTGGTCTCATAAGATTATACGATTCTATCTTTACTGTACATTTTCCATGTTTAGATATGTTTAGACACACAAACACTTACCATTGTGTTATAACTGCCTACAGTATTCAGTACAGTCCCATGCTGTGACAGGTTCGTAGCCTGGGAGTAATAGGCCATACCATAGAGCCTAGGTGTGTCGTGGGCGACACCATCTAAGTGTGGGTGAGTGCACTCTAGGATGTTTGCACAGCCTCAAAATCACCTAATAATACATTTTTCAGAATGTATCCCCATTACTAAGTGACACATGACTGTATATACACAGTATTTCTTTTGGTTATGTTTCTTCTGAGAATTCTAATACACTCAGGGAGATCTCTCTAGAAAAGGGTCAGGGTAATGGTAACAATGGTGCTGAGATCCAAGAAGTATTTGAAATTAACAAATATAGGAAGCTTGGAAGGAAGACAGTCCCCAGCAGAGGCAATGGCCAAGGTAAAGTCTTCAAGAGTGGAGGGAGGCTGGTGGAGGGAGGGACTGACAGGTCAGTGTGGCCTGAGTGAGGAGTAGAAGGGGACACTGGCATGAGATTGGCTGGAGATTCTGCATGCACCAGGCCACTCCAGGCCTAGGGAGGCTGATCGTATAGTTTGTCATCTTCCCGGGACACATCTGAGGGAAGAAGGTGCTATGAAAACCAAAATAACACTTTGAAACCAGAACTATTCTGCACAAATTGAGGCCCTCCCTTTCAGGCCATTAAGAGTTTGTAATTTATTCTACAATCAATAAGGGATTCACTGAAGTGTTCTAAGAAGAATTGTCACATGACCCTATTTGCATTTTAAACTCACCGTGGCTGCCATGTGAGGAATGGATTGAAGAAGGCGAGAAAAGATAAGGGCAGACCAGTGGGGACTAAATCTATTTAAGATTGCAACAGTGAAAGCATGCCTGAGTTTCCAGCCTGCTGCTCTGAGAATTTTAGACTCAAAATTGTACCATCAACTCTTACCTGAGTTTCTAACCTGCTAGTCTGCCCTGTGGATTTCAGACTTGCCAGCCCCTACAGTCACATGAGCCGATTTCTTAAAATCTCTCTCTCTCTCTCTCTCTCTCTAAGTTTGAGTAAGTAGTGTATGTAGGTATGTATTTACTATGTATGTATGTATTGTGGAGGAGGGAAAATGGTTCCCTCTACCTTTCTAGGTTCCTTGGCTGAGCTACAACTTAAATGGACACAAGACAGATCAACAGGAGCAAAACCATATTTATTACATATGTGAGCACAGGAGTCCCGCAAATATATGAGACTCCAAGAGAGGCCAGATGATTGAAGCTTATTTAATATCCTGAGCTACAGAAAGGAATAGGGGTTTGGCTTCCGAGGGGTGGTAGAGACAAGTTTATGGAAGGGCAAGGGGAGGAAAAGTATAGTGAATAAAATTTGTCTTGTTATGCAGGTAAGTCTTTCAGGTAATAAAAGCTGTAATGGAGCTGCTCCTTCTGATACAGATACTAATGCATATTTTCCTTATAGATGTAAATTTCTTTTACCAAAAAAAACAACTTTTCAGAGCTACTCTTGCGTCTGAAGTTTTTCAGAATAACCAGCTCCAAATATGCAAAATAAATATATATTGGGGTGGCATATCTGGTCTCCTATAGTCATATTTGGGATAGTATGTCCTGAGCCCAAACATTATATACACACACACACACACACACACACACACACACAACCATATGTGTACATATCCATATTATATATAGTATGTGTGTTTTGTATATATTGCAAAAGTTATCAGTATCAAAATGGAGTCACTGATGTCAAACCCTAATAAAATGGAGAGACAGGAAGACCTGAAGGAAGGGGCCCCTCACACAAGCCTATGACGGGGATGACGCATGGAACTCCTTGAAACCTCAGTGTTTCAGGTAGGCCACTTACATGAAGAGACTTGGGTAGAAATGGCTGCTTTCACTAATTTATATATAAATATCTACCTATATAAATATATATTTATATGTAAATATATATGAGGTGAATATATAATTATATATGTATATATAATACACATATGTACATAATATGTTGGTGTATAATACATATGTATATATAATTATATATATTCATTCCTCATATATTACATATATAGAGAAATAAATGCAGATATATAATTATAATTCATATATAACTAATATATATAAGTATATATGAGTTAATTATATATATAATTACATATATAAATTATATATATGGTTACATATGTATTTATAATTATATATATATGGAGAGAGAGGAAGAGAGAGGGGAGAGAAAAAAAATACGTGTATGTCTCCCATTGGTCCTTTTTTTTCTTTTCTTTTTTTTTTTTTGAGACGGAGTCTTGCTCTGTCGCCCAGGCTGGAGTGCAGTGGTGCAATCTTGACTCACTGTAACCTCCACCTCCCTGATTCAAGGAATTCCCCTGCCTCATTCTCTTTAGTAGCTGGGATTACAGGCGCACACCACCACACCTGGCTAATTTTTTTTGTATTTTTAGTAGAGATGGATGTTGGCCCGACTGGTCACGAACCCCTTACCTCAGGCAATCCGCCCACTTCGGCCTCCCAAAGTGCTGGGATTACATGCGTGAGCCACTGTGCCTGGACTCATTGGTTCTTTTTTCTGGAGAACTCTGACTGACACAGATTTTGGTATGGTGGCACACAGAAAGAATGCCATGTGATGACTGCAGTCATGCTTTGTTGTTGTTGTTGTTGTTGTTGTTGCTTAGAAGCCAAAAAACTACCAGAAGGTAGGAGAGAAGCCTGGGACACATCCTCCCCTAGCTCTACTATCTTCAAAGAGAAGATAGCCCGGTCTACACCTTGATCATGGACTTCTGGCCTCCAGAACTTTAGACAGTACATTTCTATTATACTAAGACACCCAGTTTGTTTCACTTTGTTACAACAGCTCTAAGAAACAAATACAGATTTTGGTGCATTAGTGAGAACGCAGAGGGTTTGCAGAGGCTATGGAAAGAAAGGAGTGGATTTAAGTCAAATCTGGAGGGCTCAGGGAGGGCTTGGATATGGGAAGAAGGAGGGGGATGGGTTTTGACTTCCCCTGATCTGCTGCCTCTGAAACCCTGCCCCTTCCTCTGACCCCCATGCTAAACTGCACATGTATCCTGGGAATTCTGTCTCAAGCAGTATTCTTGATCTCATTCTCTGCTCAAAGTGCTACAGTTACTATGTGGGGCTGCATGCAGATATTTGAGAACATAGGATATTTGGTCCTAATGTAGACATGGCCACAGGGGACCTGGGTCTCTGTCCTGGCGTTTCCATGTGCTGGCAGTCAGGTCCCCTTGGAAGCTCTTGGAGAAAAATGGAATAAGTCTTCTCCAGTAATTGCAATAGTTCTGCTGCTGAGACAGTCAGTAAATTATTTTCCACATTCTCTGCTGAGAACTACAACAAAACCCACATGAACATTTTTTTTTGGATATAATCATATAATAGACCAGCTAACATTTGGTTAGCGGTTGTCATATTCAGAAGACTGTGTTTCACACTTTGCAAAAATTTAACCCTCATGGCTAACTATGTAGTGAGTTCACAAATTACTCTCATTTTGGAAGTAAATAAGTAGAGATTCCACGAGTCCTGTTGAGGTGATCAGGTTTACCATGCTGAGACGTGGTGGATCTAGGGCTGGTACCCAGGTCTGAGGCAGAGCAAGCAGTCTTAATCATCTTTCTGTCTTCTGTCTTTATCCCTCTCTCTCTTCTACACACCCACATGCACATGTGCACACACACACACACACACACTCACACACATGCATGAACCGTCACAGATAAACCCAAAGGAAGTGGTTCTGCCATTGTGATTTCCAGCATTTCCAAGCTGGTGTGATTCTGAATGCCTCTTGTTAGACTAAGCTGACTCTAGAATAGTTTTATTATCTTAATGTTCTGCTGTTCGGTACAAAAGATGCTGTTAAAGACAGAACTTACTCTTTTCCCCTCTGCCAACCCTAGGTTTGAACCACTGTGTGCTTTTCGTGGGTCCTTTCTCCTCTGGGAAATCACCTAGTTGGACTTCCTGGGTTGGTTTTTTCACCTCTCATTCTCCACCACTGAGAGCTGACTTTTTTCCCACCGGGATAGAGTTTCATCATACTCTTTAGCATTTTCATCAGGTTTGTTGGTAGTCCTGATCACCACCATACTGGGATACAGATGACAAAAGTTTAATTGTTTGAAACTTATATACCCACCCCCATACTCTTTTTACAACTCTGGCTCAAGGTGGACAACTGTCCAAGGTAGATCAACTAGTTGTTTGCTATTCTTCTGTCTTCTTTGCTGTCACCTTCTGTGGTTTGTTTGAAAGTCAATGTCCCCAGCCCCAGGGAAGACTTGTGAGGGACATAATCAATCTGAGTGGGGGTTTTCCAACCCTAGCACTAATTTGGCCTAGGTAATTCTTTGTTGCAGGAGACTACCCTATGCATTGTAAGATGTTTAGAAGCATCCCTGGCTTCTACCCACTATACATGCATAGCGGCAGCCTAAGTATGGACAATCAAAAATGTCGCTGGGAGGCAAACTCACCCCTAGCTGAGAAGCACTGATCTAAGCTGGTACAACCTCATTTTGTTTACCTTTTGCCCTTAGAGTTGGTCATGAAAGCTTTAATAAAATATTTTACCTAATGTAAAAAAAGGAGAACTTCTAAACACATGGCTCCTTTTTTCCTACCTTGAATGTAAACAGGAGATGCTTAGAACTGTGACAAAATATAATAATCAACTATATTTTGACCTCCAAACTTAGGGAAGCAGGGACAACATACAGGAGGAAGGTCAAGTAGAACCTGGACCATTGATGACATTATAGAACCACTATATCAAACCTGGAACCAGCAACCTCACCTTGTTATATAAGAAAATTTAGTGGCGCAAATGATCTGGAATACTCAAAGTAATTTTAAGAAAGGAGAACAAACTTGGGGGACTCACATTACCCAATTTTAAGACTTTTCATAAAACTATAGTAACCAAGAAAGTGAGAAAGGATTGTTCAATAGATTATTGATACAGAATAGAAAGTCTGGAAACAGATCCACACAAATAGACTTGACTGAGTTTTGACAAAAAGGCAAAGGCAATTCAATAGAGAAAGAATGTTTTTCTTTAACAAATGGGTCTGGAACAATTGAATATTCAAATATGAAATAATATTAGTTATAATAATGACAATAATAATCAACATTGACCTATACCTCAAGATATATACAAAAATTAACTCAAAATTGATCATCATCGACCTAAATGTAAAACATAAAATTATACAACTGCTAGAAGACAACATATGAGAAAAGTTGGGTAATCTTGGCTTATGCAAAAAATGTTGAGATATGACATCGAATGCATGACACATAAGAGAAACAACCCAACATCCTTCAGCTAGAAAATGATTAGACAATATGCGATTAATCCATTCAGTAGAATATTACTCAGCAATGAAAAGGAACAAACTTGATTAACATAACGTAGATACATCTTAAATGCATTTTGCTAAGAGAAAGAAGCTAGATCATCCCAGGGCTACTTATCGTATGATTCAATTTAATGACATTCTGGAAAAGGCAAAACCATGGAAGCTGAAAAGAGATGAGTGATAGCCAAGGGTGGTGGGATGGGGAGATGGGTTTGAGTACATAGGCAACAGCACGAGGGTGATGGAAATGATCTGTAAGTGATGAATGCACAATTCTACGCATTTGTCAACACTCATAGAACTGTAGACTACAAAAAAATGAATCTTACTTTATATAAATTTTTGAAAAAGTCAACCAGGACGGAGGAGAACCCAAGATGGATTGCAACCTGTGACAATGAATCAAACTGTTACAAATGAATAACAACCACACTGAAGGCAGTGGAGATGAAGGAACTGATCTAAATCACTTTGGAATACAGTGTTCTCACTGGATACTATCAGGCTAAAGGCAAAAGGAACCGCACACAAACACCGTACTCAGTTGGCAAATGTGTTTTTCACAGGGGAAGGGTTAGCAATTCCGAAACTATATGTATAGTAGCACTGGACAAATAGTAAATATATTGTAGATAATGAGAAACAGGTTTCCCATGGTCGGAGGAAGAAATTATAATACAAATGAGGAAGTGAAGAAAGCTAGACTAAACCCTGTGGTGGAGACTTAGAGTCAGAGCTGTTAGTATAAACTCATGATTTTAAATACATATGTGTGTATATATATGTATATATATGCAGATAGTTCAATAACAAAGTAAACATAAATATGTGTGTACACATGGGCTAGTGTTTATATATAGGTTTACATTTCCTAGCTCTATCTCCTTAGAAGACATAAAAACAGTAATGTCCCAGTATCAAGCAGCACTCCTAGCACTTAAATATCATTCTCCAATAAAAGAAACCAAGGCTCCTTGCAAAAGTGGTTGATTCCTGGGCTAGGGTAAAAAAAAAAAAAAAAAAAAAAAATCAAGATGAGCCTGGGGCATATTGTGGTGCCATAAAGCAATGAGTTAGACAGGAAGACTAAGTTCTAGTGATCTATTGCATGGCATGGTGACCCATAGTTATTAATACTGCATTGTATATTTCAAAATTGCTAGAAGAGTAGATTTAAATGTTCTCATCACAACAAAAGACAAGCTAGAGGATATGTTAATTAGCTTGATTCAGTCATTCCACAATGTATACTTATATCAAAATGTCACATTGTACCCCATAAATATATATAATTATTATTTGTCAGTTAAAATTTTTACAAAAGGAAGTACTTTAAAAGAAAAAAAAAGTAATATGCATGTTAAAAGGGCAGAGGAGACCAGGCATGGTAGCTTGTGCCTGTAATCTCGGCACTTTGAGAGGCCTAGACAGGAGGATGACTTGAACTCAGGAGTTTGAGACCAGCCTGGGTAACATAGTGAGACCCCTAACTATACAAAATTTTTTTAAAAAATTAGCCAGTTGTAGTGGTATGCATCTGTGGTCTCAGCTACTCGGGAGGCTGAGGTGGGAGGGTTGCTTGAGCCTGGGAGGTTGAGGCTGCAGTGAGCCATGATTGACTGTGCCACTGCATTCCAGCCTGGGTGACAGAGTGAGACCCTGTCTCAGAACAAAAACAAAAACAGCAGGAGGGCACAGGAGCCAACCTGAAAAAGTTCCCAATGATCTACACGATTGGGGAAAATTTCAGCAACAAAATAAATAATGATGTGATTGCTATAACCTAAAGAATAAAATATCCTTGTGTCTCTACTGATAAACAAATAATCAAATAAATAAAAACAGCAGAAAATACACGTCTTCATTACAGAAAAATTCCAATTAATAGACAGAAAGAAGCAAGAAAAAGAAAATCACCACCGGAATACCTCAGTGATAATTACTGCAAGTAAGATCTACTGAGGGATGTTAAAATTAGTGAGCAAAAGTTTAATGAGAAGTAGGATATTTCTCATTAAATATCTCTCCCCACATATATTTATTAATTGCAAAGAGAAAACAGCAACTTTACAGTGGAGCAACCTGGCCGTCACTACCTAATCCAAGTGATCCAGGTTAACATCACCAGTGATGAGACATCATCACATGCCTGCAGGTATAGAGCACTTTGCCTTGATGGCATTCTTCCCATAAAGGACAACCCTAGTCTAGTCATGGAAGAAGACTATATAGTCTCAAATTGGGGACCATTATACAAAGTAATTGGCCAGTACTCTTCAAAAGTTTCCAGGTCATAAAAGACAAGGAAATACTAAGTTGCCATAACAGATTGGAGAAGAAAATGAGGAAAATTAAGTGCAACGTAGGATCTTGAACTGAATCCTGGAACAGAAAATGACATGAGAGGAAAATCTTCAAAAAAAAAAAAATCCAAATCAACCCTGTAAATTAGTTAATAGTATTGTACTGATGTTAATTTCTCATATTTGACAAATGTACCTTGGTTATGTAGGATGTTAATGTTAGAAGATGCCAGATAAATGGTGTATGGGACTCTCTATACAATGTTTGTAGTGCTCTGTTAACTTAAGTCATTTCAAAATAAAAAGTTTTGTTTTCAATTTATTTTTAAAAATTATTAACTTATCTGTTTTAGACACAAGGTCTTGCTCTGTTACCCAGGCTGAAGTGCACTGGCTTAATCATGTCATTTCATCCTTGAACTCCTGGGTTCAAGCAATCCTCTTGCCTCAGCCTTCTGAGTAGCTAGGACTAGAGGCACATGCCACCATGCCTGGCTACTTTTTTTTTTTCTGTAGAGACAAGGTCTTGCTATGTTGCCCAAGCTTGTCTCAAACTCCTGGCCTTAAGTGATCCTCCCACCTCGACCTCCAAAAGTGCAGGGATTACAGGTGTGAGCCACTGCCCCTGGCCAAAAGTTTTGCTTTCTTAAGCTACTACTAGTCAATGTTTGGTGCTGGCAAAAGCATCCTGAAGTAATACAAAGGTCTATTTTGGAATCTGGTTGTGGTGACAAATACAACCTGACTGCATTGTTGTAAATTAGGGGTACAACTAGGAAAACAGAATTTTGGGGGGCTCCTATAGGGACAGTCAACAAAAACTTCCTAAAGTGGAGATATAAACATTTTATTCAGTGGTAGAGAGTGAATTAGGTCTTCTTTATAATTTTCCCCATCTCTAAGTTTATATGACTCATTTGTTGTATTTGCAAGTGGGACCCACTTGTTTTGCAGCCAACACTTACACTAATTTTTTTTTTTTTTAAATGGATCGGAATCTATTGTAGGAGGGGGAATGGTAAGCAGTGGAATGTAAAACGCAAACCAATCTATAGTTTCCAAAGGGCCTAGGGAGGCTGCCAAAATTAAAGTTGGCAGCAAACAGTTTACTAAATCTCTAAAGAAGAAAAAAAAAGGTTATATTACAAGTCCCATAAATATTCTAAGAGTGGTAGGTAAAGTGTGTTTAATACTGATGAACAAAGTTTTAGCATGTATTGGAAAAACAGTTTCTAATATAAAATTACCGACAACTGGAAGTTATCTGCAAAATTTTATACCTAAGTACTTGCAGATGTAATTTATTTTTCTGACAGCACCGCCTGTGTAATGAAAGTTGCTTTTAATAAAACATGAATGCAGTTAGGTTTTGCCAATTAGGTTCAGAGGAGTTGTAATCAGTCTGATTCAAGTTGATACGTAGCTCCTTAAATTCAGCACTGACCCATAGAATGGCTTCAGAATTTCTAAAGTGTTTGTGAAAGATGAACTCCCAAAGCTCCAACTGCCCAGGCAGAAGGGAGGTGGTCCTGGCCAACTCAGGACAGATGCATCCCAAAGGGACTACAGTGGTCGTGGCTATAGAAAGCCATGTGTACTGGGTTGGGTGTTAACACAAGATTACAACTGACATGAAAATAAGCCCATTCTCCATTTCATTTTATTCATGAAAACATGAGCAAACGTCTAATGCATGCAAACATCTAATAGCCATAGATCAATTATCATTTTTACACAATCAGCCAGAAGACAAACCCTGGTTCCTTCTATGTTAGCACACTTCTTGATGCTCGGTGAGATTTCAAGATCTATAAAGACATGTCCTGTCACCTTGAGCACCTTAATAACCTGTCATCAGAAGAAAAAATGCAACAAAATGAAGTTTTGGGGTCTAGAATGAGGTCATCAGTATTTTGAACTTTTCATTTGGGTCCCTGAAGTCTTATATTCAACAAATATTTGTTGTTTAAATATTTGCAAAACATAGAGGTCAAAAGATTTGAAGCATTAGTTGGACTCAGCCAGAGACCTGTTTCTAATAGTTGCTATGTTTTCATATTTAAAAACAGTAATAATAATTATTGCCCTGCCTAACTTATTGGAATGTTGGAATGACACAGTATAATGATTTTAAGGGAAAGTGCTTTGAAACTTTAAACGCACTATGCAAATGTCAGTTACTGGTAAGTACTGGGAATAAAATAGAGGGCTCCTGTCAGTCGGAAATCTTATAGGTTGGTTGAGAAGGATGGTTTTTTGCCTCTTGGGTTTCAAGTTCCCTGCTAGGTCACAGATTAAAGCATTTCATAGGCATGATCTCATACCAGTCCCACAAGGATGAAGAAATTGATGCCTGGGATAGTGCAGACACTCAGGTGAATGGTTGAGATAGACTCTGATACTGCATCTATTTTGCTCCAAAGCTCATCTGTTTCATCTGATGACTTCATTTGCTCCCTCATGAAGCCAATTAACAACAGAAGAACCTAGAAGTGTTCTGCATAAATGATGCAGACATAAATACCGTGGGGATATCAAGGCATTGCCTCCCCAGAGCTGTGGTTAAGTGCACACTTTGTCAGCTCTTCCTTCTCTGTTCCAGCCTGCACAGAGTTGGCAAGAAAAGTTAGTATTTTCTTGGTATCTGCAGCTGGTACTCCCCAGACAGGAACTGAAACACGCCTAATGGTGATTCATTCATTCTCAACTGAGTTTCTTCTTTCCTGTACCCCAGGGCACTTCCAGGTTCTGGCCCTGAAACGGAAGTCTATGTGTGAAAGAGACACACAGAGGCAGCTTCCCAGCTATTTTCATCTCAGCTGGCTTGCCAAAGCCCCATTTCAAACCTCTCTCCTCCCCCAAAGTCACTGGAATATCAATCACAGTAAAGGCGTGTTGCATTCCTTAATGGTAACTCCGACTCTTGGTTTGGCATTTAGATAATGTCCCTACTATCTGTCCCTTAAGCAGACAATAGGGACAAAAGATGGAGACGGGTTGGTTCCCTGCAAAATCAGAGACTATAGTGGTAAATACATTTTATTGTCTTTTAGCTTGTTTGGCTGAAGCATCTTGAACCCTCCTAGAGTTGGCACAAAGCATTTTTTCCAACTTGAAAAGCATTTTTTGTTAAGTTTATTTTTATAGGTTTGAAATCATACTTCTTGTTCAGTGGCTTTTGAGGGACAAGTATGAATAGCAGGAGACAATGGATTACAGAAATATTTAAATTGGCATGAACAGAATGTGAGCTGGAACTAGGATGAGGCGAGTTGGAAAATTATGATATTTTGTATATTGAGTTTCTTTGCATTAATTTTAATTTAAAAAATTATTGCATTAAAGTATTATTGATCTTGATTACTAGGTATTTTGGTACCTCTGTAAAATTTGCACCTTGGGCAAGTATCTTACTGGCCTCAACCTAGTTCCGTCCCTGCATAAGACACGTTTATTATGCTACCCATGGACCTGTGGACTTCAGAAGACATTTTGTGGCTCCCTTGAGTCAACTCAAACAGGGCCCTGTTGGAGCAGGATACTACCTCCCTCTTCTCCAAAAAACGACCCATGCTCTGCTTTCATAACAGAAAATTATTCTGCATGTCTGCTCTGGGGTATAGAGGAAGAAAGTATGCCATCTAGGCTCTGTGCACGAGCGCGTTCAAGCCGGCATTGCTCAAACTTTAGCACGGATATCAGTCACCAGGGACCTTGTTAAAAGTGTAGGTTCTGATTAAGCAAGTCTAGGATGAGGCTTCAGATTCTGCATTTCTAGCAAGTTCCCAGGTGATGCTGATGCTGCTGGTCCCTAGATTATATAGTCCCTGGTAAGCCAGCGACTATAGCAGTAAATATATTTTATTGTCATTTAGCTTGTTTGCCTGAAGCATTTTTAACCCTCCTGGAGTTGGAATGAAGCATTTTTTCTTACTTGAAAAGCATTTTCTGCTGAATTTATTTTTATAGAACCTTTGAATAGCAAGGGTCTACAAACTGGTGGTTCATGGGCTATGTCCACAAACATGGTTTGTTTGGACCAGATTTTTTTTTTTAATTAGCCAGATAGTCACCTATTCTTTAAAAAACCTCTGGAATATCTAGTAGCCTTGGACCAGCCTTTCTGCATAGTAATGAAAGGCTAGAGAATGGTAGGAACTTTTTTTTTAGACAGGGCATAGGTCCTATATTTTCCTGTAATCCTCACCACATGTATGCACAATGTGAACTTACTTAAACTTCTCCACTTTATTTGTTATTGGTCTGGACTACATAGGCCTTTGAATTTTGCAACCTCGATCTCCTATTTAGTTTGTCAAAAACATTGACTGGTATTCACTCAAATCAGAAACAAGCATATTGATATTTGTTGACTCTTATTCTCAAGCATTGGTCTATGTATTTTTGTGGCATTATTACCAACTTACAGCATATCCAAAGGCTATGTTTAAAATTAGCCTCATGAACAAGAGGAAACAGCAGTAAAATTAACTCTCTAAAAGGCTTAGACCTTACTGACTTGGATTTTGAAACCATTGGAAAATTTTATGTGCGATTAAGTTGAGGACTAAAGAATTAATGGAAGCACCATCTACTAATTTGTGTTTAAATTTGGCCAAGGTGTATTGTAGCATTTGAAGCAGAAAGCATGGAACTATTACTTGAATTTGGAGTCTAAATATTAAAATGGTACTCAAGCTAGTATAATTTGAATGATAATTACCAACTAAGTGACTTTTTAGGACACAGATATTTTAACTACCCTAGTTTTTGTTAATCACTGGCCACGCACAGTTGCTCCTCAAATCCTGCCAGTTCTATTCCTTAAACAGGTCCCCATCTATTCCCTCATCTTTCTTCTCCAGCCACTGCTCTGACATCCTGTCTCACATGGATCATTGTAAGAGTGTCATAAATGTCCTCTTGACTTCTAGTATTTCCCTCTGCAAGTCATCTTCCAACTTCCTGTGGAAGTAAAAAGCAAAAATTTACCAAGTTGCCCTCTCCCTAGACCTCCTCAGTGACTGACCATCACTGACAGGACAAAAATTTAAAATTCCTTCCCACCATGCAAGGCAGCACCAGCTCCCATCTGTCCACCTCCCACACCACACAAACCCCCTGCCCCATGATGCATCCATGCTAAAGACCCTAGAGCTCTAGGAATTTTCTGCAATGTATTAAACCTTCTTGCTTCATACTTACTGGTCCCCAGGCACATTGGTTACCCCTTCAAGGTGTTCCCCATAGCACATATTATATATAGTGGAGTTCCACATTATGTGGGCATTAAGCTCTAATATCAGAAAGCTTAGGGCAAAAATGAAGTATAGTTAAAACTATCTTGAGAAATTCTTTCTATCACCCATACCACAGAGTATATATGGTTTGTGATATAAGCAAAGCCAATAGTTCTCCACGTGGAACAAGGAGCTTTTAAAAAAGTCGATTACTGATTGACATAGTTGAACTTTAAGAACTAGAGAGAGAGGAATTGAATTTTTGCTGGTCCTCAGTTTCCCTAGCTGTGAAATAAGCAAGTTCAACTAAGTAATCATTAATAATTTCATTCAGCTTTACTATTCTAGGCTAAGAATCAAATACAAGTTTCAGGCAGAAAAGACATGTAGGTGCTATGTTTGGGGTGCTAGGTACTTTGGAAGTCCTACAACAATATTTAAGTGCATCAGGATGGACACATTTTTATGCAGTAGAACTCAAGGCACTTGGGAATTCCAGGCAGATCAGCTTGGATGGTCCATTCTCCAAAAAGAAGCAATTAAAGCAATGGGTCCAAGCTATTCTTCTCGGATGCATGCCAGAGAAGGACATGGGTAAGAACGTGGGCTTTTGGAATGTGCCGACACCCAAAAGGTATAGGAGGGCAGCAAGATGGCGAAAGGCTGTGTGGTGCAATATGGCACCTCTCCACACTTCTTCAAGGCTTCAGAGAAATTACTGACCGAGGCTGTCAGGTGATTGGAGTTTTTGAGGGACATACCACGAAGGGTGCAGTGTGGCATAAATCTAAACTGAGAAGGCAACTGAAAAAGTAATTCAGGAACAATCTTTTAAAACAATGATGCCAGGAAATTTGCAAGGAATTGAAGAGGGACTGGAAGCTTATCCAACTCTGGGTGATTCATATCAATCTCAGACATCCCCCAACCCTTTCTGGAAAAAGTTTCTGAAACAGAGTAGGGAGCAGAAGGTGGGAGGGAGATCTCAAGTCGAAAGCTGTGACTTTCTCTCCTCCTGATGAATTGATTTTCCAGAGTAGTGAGTTTCAATTCCCTCCAGACGATGTCCGAGGGGCTCTTCTGTTCATGAGAAACTAGAGCTGGAGGAAACTCATTTTGACTTTTTTTCCCCAGAATTGTTACGACAGTTTCCATTTGTGACCTGTGGTTACTTTTCTTTCAGGCTGTATGCAGCTCCCACTATTTCTAGCATAGCTCTGGCTTTTTTTTTTTTTTTTTTTTTTTGCCTCCTTGTTATATAGACATCTCTGGTGTGTATTAGTTTTCCTTTTTGCGAACAACATTCTAACTTTGAGCTGTGGAAAACAATCATTTAATCAATAAATCTGATATTGACTATGCCCACATATGTTTATGACTCTGGTAAACTTAATCATATGAAGCAACAAGCAAATGAATAATAGATCATAGAGTTTTATACCTGGACTGAACCTTTGAGATTATCCAATGTAGCACTCGTTTAACAGAAGCACCTGAACTTTAGCAGGTTTCAAGGCTTGTCCTTAGGATCATTTCGTGGCAGAAATGGACAAAACCCTTCTCTCCCTCCTTTGCGTTCTTTGCCCTTCACTCTGGGCATCTGCTGTTGTTTCTGCTAGACTGCAAGCAACATCTGATGAGGAATATCATTCCTTGATTTTGCCCATAGATCAAGAATCCAAAACTTTAATTTCCACAGCTGCCAAAAAGACAGCATAAAATAGGGAAGTGGCTAATGTATGATGTATTTTTGTAATTCACCCACTCTGTTGTACATTAACAGGTAAAATCAAGCTTTATTCTCCCCCATCCCCAAGAACTTTTCCCCATTTTTTTTCGTGGAATATTTATTATTTTAGGCATCTTTAATTTTTCCATTTTTTGGTAGATACATGTTCATTAAAAAAAAAGAGAAAGCAAAACAGACTAGCAACATGATCAACGGCAATTGTCCCTAGACCACATGGCAGGGATTGCCCAGGGATGGCGCATGCAGCAGCAAATTGCCAGGTGTCTACAGTGCCCACCGCTATCCCACTGCAGCCACTGTGCTCATATGACAGAGGAGAACCAGCGAGACTGGCTATTTTGATTTTCAAAAAAAAGTAAGATATCTCTATTTTTTTTTGTGAAACCTGAACATTTCTTTTTTTTTTTTTAGAAGTTTTATTATTTATTTTCTTTAGAGACAAGGTCTCACTCTGTTGCCCAGGTTGCTGGAGTATAGTGGCTTCATCACAGCTCACTGCAGCCTTTGACCTCCTGGGCTCAAACGATCCTTCCACCTCAGCCTCCCGAGTAGCTGGGACTACAGGTGCATGCCACCATGCCCGGCTAATTTTTGTATTTTTTATAGAGACAGGTTCTTGCAATGTTGCCCAGGCTGGTCTCAAACTCCTGGCCTCAAGCAATCCACCCACCTCAGCCTCCCAAAGTCCTAGGATTATAGGCACGAGCCACCACACCCAGCTGAAATCTGCTGATTTCTAAAATGCTGACCATCTGTTTTTAGAGCGACATGAAACAAAAAAACACACCTGTCTGAGATGGAAAAGATGGGTGAGCTTCGGATGGAAGAAGAGCAGCAAAGAGAAAAGACCACAGTCTTTGAACTGGCTACAGATGTGCTCAAGTCCCAGCTCCACTACAGACTTGTTCCTTATTTTGGGCAAATACAGCAATCTTCCTTCTCAAGTTGGTTTCTCCAGGAAATAGACTCTGAGGTTCTGAGATCTGTGTGTGGGAGCTGTATCAGGGGAATTTATTAGAGGTGCTCTCAGGAGCAATGTCTATGAGGGGAGAATGAAGCATCACTGGGCAGAAAGAGAAGCTGAACCTCAATGAGGTGATGCTAGAGTCCTTAGCTGATCCACGGGGAGCTCTAGAGCTGTCATGGTCCTTCACCAATGTCTTGAGCTAGGCAAGGGGGCTGAACCTTGATAGCCCTGCACCAGTGAGTCATAAAATTTGGGCTATCTCTGAGGAGGGAAAAGCCGTTCCCTTCTAATTCCTGGGGAGGGATGAAAGTGTGAGCTGTTTGCAGCCAACACCTGCAGCAGCAAGGAGAATGAGAGAATGAGTGCCTTGGTCCTGAAAATGGGGTAGTGCTTGGGGTGGCACCTCAGCATCCACAGCATTTTCTGAGCCTGTTTCTTGTTTGGTGTAAGAGGGATAAAAATACTTATCTTTCTTGGGCATTATAAGGGTAAGGCAGTATACCATATGCAAAGGGTCTAATCATACTCGGCACATATCCAGCATCCAATAAAATGTAATTATCAGTGGATATGAGCATGAAGTCACTTGACAGCAAGGACCAGAAGCAGTGTAAGAGGAAAGTAATGGAGGTAGAAACAGTTACGACAAGTTTAGTATATTAAGAAAAGCAGAGGCCCAACCTAGTGGCTCACACCTGTAATCCCAGCACTTTGGGAAGCCAAGGCAAAAGGGTTGCTTGAGCCCAGGAGTTCAAGACGAGCCTGGGCAACATAGCGAGATTCCCACCTGTACTAAAGAAAAAAAATTAGCTAGTGGTGCACAATTATAGTCTCAGGTTCTTGGGAGGCTGAGGCTGGAGGATTGCTTGAGCCCAGGAGTTCAAGGTTGCAGTGAACTATGGTTACACCACTGCACTCTACTGTACTCTAGCTTGGGTGACAGAGTGAAACCTTGCCTCTCTCTAAAAAAAAAAAAAAAAAGAAAAAGAAAAAAAGAAGAAGAAAAAGAAGAGTAGAAGAAGAAAAGAAAAGCCGGGAGAGCAACCATGGTTTTAATGTAGGTGATCACTTGCTGTATAGCATGGCTTAAATATCTTGAGACAAGATGACAGAGATTCTTCAAATTTAGGCAAGGAAATCAGGACTGATGCAGTAGACACTAAGGCTTGAAGATGGCTGTAACTTGCTGAAGGCAATCTGTGCTCCGATTCTGCATGCTTTCCTATTGTGGCAGAAGATAGTCAGTGGGCAATCAGCTTCCCTGGCTCTATGCTTAATGAGACATTAACTGCAAGCAATGTAGGGTGGGCATAAAGAAAGGCTTACTTAAAATGGATAACAGAAAGATTGTCATGTTGCCCCTCAGAATGAGACATTGATTACCCTAGACCTATGGATTGAACTGGAAACTGTTCTTTTATCGAGCGAGGTGGAGAAGTAACTTGAAGCTTTGGAAATGTGGACAAGGGCCTCTTGGGATATACCTGGTTGCTTGGAGTAGATCACTACACCCCACCATGTCCCCAGAGGGGTATATAAGGCTAGGGTGCAGCATTGTTGTCTTCAGCAAAATACATGGAGGTCTGGCAGAAGCAGAGATGCTCAGTGCATCCGGTTCTGTGAAAAGTTCTAAGAATATCACACATCAGAAGGTTGTCAGCCTAGTGTGACCAGGTGTCCAAAGTCAACTCAAAGCCAGCAGATAAAGGTGAACTTTCCTGTTTTCACTCTCAGACAAAAATGCACTGTGTGCTGCTCAGAACCAGCAGAGCCATGGGCAAGATGGGCCATATCCTGTTTAATGGTGGCCGCAGATATTTCCTGGCTGAGAGCTCAGGTCAGAGTTATATACGAGCATGCGATTATACACAGTACTCATTTATACACAAGCAGATGAGACTTTCTTTTCCTTTTTTCTCTTTTTGTGCCTCTTGTAAAATGTCACTTTTGATCTGGGGTTGAAAAATTGCCGGCTTCCAAAAGTTGGCCTACTTAGTCCCCAAGGGACATTTTTAAATGTTGAGGATATGCCTGTTGAAAATATTCCCTTTGCAAAATTGGAGGAGAGCTTCCTGCAGATTTCCACCGCCTTGCAGCAGCCCCGTCTTCTCCTAATGAAGAAATCACTTTTTACAATGTTCGTTATAAAATAGGGAATGGCTTGAATTATCTCTCTCTGCAGGGAGTTTCATTTATCTGGAATATTCAACCTAATTAGCTAGCCCAACTGGTCAAGACTCAAGTTGATAGCCAGGGGCAGTCTTAATACATTGAAAAAAAAAGTATACAGTAGCTCTTTAAGCAGATCCGTAGTGAATATTTGAATGCTTAATATATTTACTTGAACAAATAAAGAATACATAAATGACAGAGTTTCTAAACTCATCACCTGGAGATTGCGAGGGGTGATATTTCAAATTAGTACGGATGCATCTAGAAAGTTAGCCAAGGCATGTCAGTGTTTCCTCTTAAATGCATTATTTCGTGTGTGTGTGTTTTAAGTGGACACAATGATGTTTGTGCTGTCTTGTGGCCCAGCAAACACAAACCAGGGTATTATCTGGTTATCATGGGTGTGAAAATTCAAGTACGGGTCAGAGACTGAGCATCGGAAACAGTGAGCTGTTTCTTTGACAAGCGTTAACCAGCTTGCCAGGCTGGGACCCAGAAGCAAATGTTTCCACTCCCTTCACCGGATAGCCTGGAAAGATAACTATGCATCAGGTAGTTACTTAAGTGGAACCACTGGTGTAGGGTTACCAGAGTCTTTTCCTTTTAGTGCCCAAGGGCAAAGAGCATTGTTAATGACGCCTACACCGGAAAGTAGGTTAAGAGGCTTGACACCGAACTGTTGGCGGTATTACAGTTTAACACTTGGCGTCCTCTGACTCAATGTGTAGATGCCAGTTCATGCTTTGTAGCTTCACAGAAAACTGAAGTTTAGACATCTGTAGGTGGAAGGAGTGGAACTGATGAATCATCTGTAGAAAAAAAAATGAAATACATCTTTGTTTCTTTGAACTCAATAATACCCGGTGCCTGAAATGTGAATGTGTTAATTACAGAGATTTCAAAGCAAAACCATAGCTTGCAAAGGGTAAGTGTGTTTTTACTCAGCATATTAACAATACCTTTAGAGTAGGTGCTGTCATCTCCTGAACAAAGGAATGTTTATGGAATTGAATGACAACAATGCATGGGAAGCCAAATCATAACAGGCACAATCATAAAATGTCTTTCTATGATTACATTTAACAGATTATTCTCTTATCTGTCCCTTTATTAAGAAGATGCCATTTTCCCATGAGAGCCAAACACTGCATCCAAAAAAAAATACAACAAACAACCCTTTCCTGAAATGCATGCATAATTTTAGACAGAAAAAAAGAGAACCTTGAATCTCATTCTTTCCTACAATTAAACTCATACATTGTTTTAAATACTGCTTGAATGCTACTAAATTCACATGGATGCAAGATGGTGTGATGGTTAAGAGGCTGGGTTTAGCAATAGAAGTTTCCTCTTTTCACTCCTTTATTTGCAAAATGGGAGTAAAAATGCTGACTTTAAGGACTAAAGGATATAATACACAACGACTGTTCAGTGCCTAGCATATAGTATGTGTTCAGTAAGCATCGCTATCCCAAATATTATTATTTTTCAGGTAGATGGGTGAAAAGCCGAGCAAGTTGTAACAAAAGGAAGGCAATTTTTTTTTTCTGTTTGCAAACATTTTTATGCAGGAGAATCTGAAAGAAGTCTTAGTTTTTTTTAACAGTAAGAAGTGGTTCTAAGACAATCTGATCCAATTCATCATTTTACACCACAAGAAACTAAGGCCCAGAGAGGGGGAAAGGACTTGCTCAAAATCCAATTGAATTCTCAGAAGAAAGAGGACTAGGCCCTAAATCCTGACAGTCAGGGCAATATTCTTTCATTACATTCCCTGTCAATCTTTGAGCATGAAACTATGTTCATCTGGGAATGTATCATTATGTGTTATCAGTTAATGCGAGCATTGAGTCTAACTTACTCTAGCTGGTAACTGGGGTGAGTGATAACATTGCATATTTCACTAAAATCTTTAGATGGTTATTGTTTTAAAAGTTCCTTTGTACATGTACTTGAGCTCACATTATGTATGAGTTTTGGAATATGTAGTATCTATCTGTCTATAACTCTATAGGTGTAATTCAAGTGGAACTTACAAATTGAGAGTAGGGGCAGTTTTTTATATGAATGTTAGAGACTTTAAATTTTAAGGCATTTGTCCTAAAACGTTGCTATTAGATTGACTCTTAGGGGTTAAGGTAGACTCTCACTAAGAAGTTCATGATAAGATACTGCTGGGATATATTTTAGGTAAGAATAAATTTTTCATGGATTTGTTTGTCAACTTCCGTTAGCTGTGAACAGTATAAGCCAAGGAATTAAGGCAATAGAACAGGAATATTTGAAGCAACATGAGGGGATGTTTCTAAATAGGGTGGTTTTCCAGAAGAGCAGATCCAGAGAACAGTATTAGGACACTGGACATCAGAAAAGTTAACTGAAAATGGTAAATACCAAGACAAGAGGAATAATGGAGGTCTCAAGCATCACTGAATTTGGAAGACTTAGCTACAATAAGCCTTTTCTTGCTGGTAACCATTGGTTGTCATGGTTCCCATAACTAACTTGCTCATTTGCAAGAACACAGAAAATGTTGGTTTGTGTGTTACAGGTTAATTTCTGGGGTGGTTATCACCATGACTGACCACCAGTGTGTTTTACAGCAGGGGGATCTTGAAACTCAACACACCTTCTGAAACACTATAGGTAAGGAAAAAATAGAAAAACTGGCTGGGTTTTGTTTGTCTTACAGGAGAAAGTTTGTCATTTTGATCAGGTAGAAATTACTCCATCATGGGCAGTTAACCTGCAGGAATATCTTTTTCAACCTCTGTCTGTAACCACTCTACTTTAATGACCTCCAATGCCCTTCAGGCTTCCACTGACCTGAGGCTGCAAGAGAAGACTGAGAAGGCAAATACGACACACTCTAAATATTGCTTACAAATAGCCCCATCTTCACATTCTTCTTGGAAACACACTTTGATTTTATTTGAGGTCCAGCTCAAGAGAATGAAACATGATTGTTCCAAGTCCTGTGGCCATGTGATTTTTTTCTTGGCAAAAGTTCTTTTTTCACTGGAAATAAACCAATAGAAGGAGAAATCCAATTTTTCAGGGAAAGTTTTCCTTCCAAAACGAAAAGACAGAAACTTATGCGGACAGTGCCTTGTACCTATGCTCCATTCCCCTACTTGAAGGAACCATGATGTCTGGAGCCATTATAGCCATCTTGGGAGCATAAGAGAAAGTAAGAAATTTCCAGAGAATTCTACGCAGTGCTGTTACATTGTTCAGCTGCTGAATTAGCTCTGGAGGGCCTGTCTGTAAATTCTTGAGTTATTAAGCCTTTGATGTCTAGGTTTTTTGTTACTTGCAGCTAAATGTCTTTAATTAGATATAACGAGACTTTAGAGATGGCCTTAATTTTCTGGTGGTCTTGTTCCTAACTTCCCAAATACTGGATGTGTGGTTATTTGAGTTTGGGAGATAAAACCCGGTCTCCTAATGATTTTGTGAGTTTGGCCAAAGTTGAAATTCTTCCAAAGGTCTAAGGACCATGGTTTCAGAGTAGGAGCTCTTTCTGTGACTACACTTAAAATATAAACAATTATTTTCTATTCATATTAATAATTTTTTTTTGAGACAGAGTTTCACTCTTGTTGCGCAGGCTTGAGTGCAATGGCACAATCTCAGCTTATTGCAACCTCTGCCTCTAGGATTCAAGAGATTCTCCTGGCTCAGTCTCCCAAGTAGCTGGGATTACAGGTGCACACCACCACACCAGTGTGGTGTGCTGATTTTTGCATTTTTAGTAGAGATAGCGTTTCACCATATTGGCCAGGCTGGTCTTGAACTCCTGACCTCAGGTGATCTGTTTGCCTTGGCCTCTCAAAGTGTTGGGATTACAGCTGTGAGCCACCATGCCTGGCCTTGTATTAGTAACATTCTAATTATTAAAAATTGGACAGGGCTGAGAAAGAAGGCAGATAAAAATTACTCAAAAACTGTTAACATTTTAACATGTTTATCAATTTTTTTCCCTAGACATATGTATTTCTATAAGGTTATATCTAAAATGGGGCCAAACTAAATCCTCTAAAGTTTTTCTATTCTTGATTATTATGAAATATAATTATTTTATTTTAGATTACTAAAATATTCTTAGAAAACTTGATATTTAATGAATGCTTATAATACCTTTTAAAAAATTACCATATTTCAAAATTCATTTTTCCATTTTATAGTATATTGGTGCTGTTTCTGAGTTTCACTCTTTTAAGTTACACTGTAGTGAACATCTTTATGCACCAATTTCAATTATGTATTTTATTATTTCTTTAGAATAAGTCATAGCAGTGGAGAGATTAGGTTAAAAGGGATGAAATTGTAATGATTTTAGTTGGAATGTAAATGTTACAAACTTTTTTTCCCTCTTTTAAATTGAGGCATAATTTACATACAGCAAAACTTACAGCACTTGGATCTTCCGGTTACAGAACATTGGTGTGGACATTTTAAAGTCTCAGTATTGATTACATATTACAAATTGCTTTCCAGGAAGGTAGTACCAATGCACACTTCTTCCAGCAGGCTATATTATTATTGCTGTCATTAAAAACTCACCAGTATTGACCCCTAACACCTTAACATAGCTGATAATTTGGTGGACAAAAGTATCATTTTAATTACATGCCATCTTCTTTCTTAGCTATTTGTATTTTTAGTGTGAATCATCTTTTGCCTTTGAAAATTGGCATGTAAGTGGCATCACAAGTTTGGAAGAGTTATTTAAATTAAGGTTATTAATTCTTTGGCAGTTATTTAATCATCCTTTTGAGTTTGTTGTTTGCCTTTTAATCTCATTTTTATTGCTTACCAACTAACATTTTTGAAAAGTCTCAGATACATTACTTCTCAGATATATTATTCATCTTTCTTTTATGATTTCTTCCATTGCTTTTATGCTAAGGAATTCCTTGCCCATTTTAAAATAATCACCTACATTTTCTTTTAAGAAAAGAAAGACTTATAGGTAATTATTTAAATCAGGATCATTTTTCAACCAACAATTTTGTTTTCCATTTAATCCACCTGTAATTTATTTTAATAATGGTGTAAACAGTGGTACAGGTGCCCTGTAAGGCTGCTTCTCATCATACACTAAGAATTCATCCATATTAAAGGTCTATTTAAGGGTTTTCTCATTTGTTTCAACCTGCTCATTTAAACTATTTTAGATTTTTAATACATTTTGATATTTGGTAGGGCAAGTCTTTTATCATTGGCCTTATTTTTTTGTATTTTTCTCCACTGGTCTGGACCATTTGTTCCCTAGATGAAAATCATCATTTTTTCAAAACTCTGGTTTGAATAAACCTATACGATATTGTCTTCCCAACCAAAAACATGATTCATCTGGTTTTATTTTATTTTATTTTGAGATGGAGTTTCGCTCTTTTTGCCCAGGCTGGAGTGTAATGGTGTGATCTCGGCTCACTGCAATCTCCACCTCCCAGGTTCAAGTGATTCTCCTGCCTCAGCCTCCCAAGTAGCTGGGATTACAGGCGTGTGCCACCACACCCGGCTAATTTTGTATTTTTAGTGGAGAAAGTGTTTCACCATGTTGGCCAGGGTGGTCTCGAACTCCTGACCTCAGGTGATCTGCCCCCTTTAGCCTCCCAAATTGTTGGGATTACAGGCGTGAGCCACTGAGCCCGGCCTCATCTGGTTTTATATACCAAAACCTAGTGTGGCTGACAGATAATGTTCACAGATGCTCACTTGGTCCCCCACATCCCAGACTCTTATGTAGCTGGCTTCGGATTAGATGACTAGTTCTGACCAATACACTGTAAGCAAAAGTGACCTGGGTCACCTCCGGACAAGAAAGTCTCAGCTGGAAGCACCTCTCTCTTCGCCTTTTGCAGTGACCTCCCAGAGTCAGCCCAAGCCCACAGGAGGCTTTGCCCAAATAAGCAATAAGCATTTATTTCATAAGCCACGGAGATTGTAATTTTATTTTATTTTGTTTTTTATGTTTTGAAATGGAGACTCACCCTCTCATTCAAGCTGCGGTGCAATGGTGCGATCTCATCTCACTGCAACCTCTGACTCCTGGGTTCAAGCAATTCTCCTGCTCAGCCTCCTGAGTAGCTGGGATTATAGGCACCCGCCACCATGCCCGACTAATTTTTTTTATTTTTTTTTTATTTTTAGTAGAGATGGGGTTTCCTAATGTTGGACAGGCTGGTCTTAAACTCCTGACCTCTGGTGATCTGCCCGCCTTGGCCTCCCAAAGTGCTGGGATTACAGTGTGAGCCACCATGTCCAGCCCGAGATTAAAATTTTATTTGTTATTGCATCACCAATTTCCTTATACAAATCTCTTATTGTAATACACTTAGGTAACATCTTGGAATCCTTTTATCTCATTTACACCCCATATCCACCCCACCCTCAAGTCCTGTGCTCCAAGTCCTCTCACCCCTGTCATTGATAAAACCCTACATCAGTGGACTTGAAATCAGAATTTTTGCATCTGTTGGGTTACATAAATATTTTCCCAGGGGTATGAGGAACAATTGAACAATTAGTTTAAGGCAATCCATTTCCAGATCTGCAGCTCCCGTCTTCTCTTTCCCCAGACACTCTGCCTCAGAAGGCTGCTGAGCTCATGGCTAGCCTTGGTGCCCTCCCCTTCCTCTGACCTTTGCTTTCTGTGACTCTTCTTCTTCTTCTTTTTTTTTTTTTGACGGAGCCTTGCTCTGTTGCCCAGGCTGGAGTGCAGTGGTGCAATCTTGGCTCACTGCAACCTCCGCCTCCCGGGTTCAAGCGATTCTCCTGCCTCAGCCTCCTGAGTAGCTGGGACTACAGGTGCCCACCATCATGCCCAGCTAATTTTTGTATTTTTAGTAGAGACAGGGTTTCACCATGTTGGTCAGACTGGTCTTGAAGTCCTGACCTTGTGATCTGCCCGCCTTGGCCTCCCAAACTGCTGGGATTACAGGCGTGAGCCACCACACCCAGCCTCTGTGAGCTTTCTTACCCATCACAACAGAAAAACCGCCGCTATCCCTAGTGGACTAGGGCACCTTGCCCTGCAGTGGAAAACCCCTACAGTTCCTTGGTGAAGGGATGAAAAGGAAGGCATCTAAAGACAGAGAGACATGCTTTAGCAAGTCAGGTCGTTTCCAACTCCTTGTGCTCAACCAAACTGAAGGAAGAACTAAATGAATGGATACATCATTAGAGCATATTTTGAAGATAGATTCGCTTGTCACATTTTGGCATATAACGCAGGAGTTCAAAATATTGGCAGATTTTGCCAAAAAATAGTCCTTTCATTCTATTTACATATTTTTGTAAATAAGTTTTCTCATATTTTTGTGAATACATGTCCTCAGCAACGCTTATTATCAATAAGAACAAAAATAGAAATAGAACTGGGCCAGGGCAGTGGCTCATGCCTGTAATTGCAGCACTTTGGGAGGCTGAGGCATCAGGATCACTTGAGGCCAGGAGTTTGAGACCAGCCTGGGCAACAAAGCAAGACCTTATGTATACAAAAAATTAAGAAACTAGCCGGGCATGGTGGCATGCTCCTGTAGTCCCAGCTACTCAGGAGGCTGAGGCGGGAGGATCACTTGAGCCCAGGAGTGCCATGCTGCAGTGAAGCTTTGATTCCACCACTGCACTCCAGCCTGAGTGACAGAAAGAGACTGTTTCAAAACAAAACACAAAACAAAACAAAAACAAACAAACAAAAAAATTGATACTGAGCACTGTAGCAATAACTAAAAATCATCCAAGGGGAATAAAGCCTCATAAACCTCTTGAAGAGATATATTTCTAATAAAACCCATTTTAATGTCTAATCGTTACTAAATAGCATTTGTAATGTGATTATGTTATTTTGATAAATTGTGTGTTAGTAATTATAATTATAATTCAATCAGAAACTATTAGTAGTTAGTACTTTATGGCCACAAAAATAAAAAAAAAAAACAAATTTCCATTTTCACACATATTTTTGATGCAAAGAATTATGCCAAGATAATCAATAAAAGACATTCAAATATTAAAATATATTACATTTGGATAAAAATCAGTGGGGAAAATATAATGGAAAGCAGAATAAAAATACAAATGAAAAGATAAAAGAGAATAAAAAAATTGACTGTCATGGAAGAGCATGTTAATGTACTTTTAAAATGAATGCAGGCATTAGATAGTATTTAATATGTTACAGTATGTAGATTCAATTGAGTATATTGAAAGGGATTTTATTTTAAAATGTCAACATTTATAATAAGAAGAAATTACATTTTGTAACTACTTAGATGATTGGCAAAGATTAGATGTCAACTTAAAAATGTGGAAAGGAGCTCATAATTTTTTCAAATCCTTTTAGGGTGAACAAGAGAAAAAAATGCTTGGAAACTCCTGCCTTGGGAGAACACCCTTGTCTGTTGCATATATAATTCTCCACAATCACTCCCTAGCTGCTTTCTAAACTTCCACATTTCCACTTTCCACCATTAATCTTCCCATTCCTATTGTCAATTCTCCAGTCAGTAGCCAGAGTGGTCTTTTGGTTTTGGTTTTTGTTTTATTCATTTATTATTTATTTATTTAGAGACAGGGTCTTGCTGTGTCACCCAGGCTGGAGTGCGGTGGCAGGATCATAGCTCACTGCAGCATCGACCTCCTATGCTCAAGTGATCCTCCCACCTTGGCCCCCAAAGTAGCAAGGACTACAGGTGCATGCCACTGCACCCAGCTAAGTTTTTAATTTTTTGAAGAGACAAGGTCTTGCTTTGTTGCCTAGGCTGGTCTCGAACTCCTGGCTTTGACCAATCCTCCTGTCTCAGCCTCCCAAATGCTGGTATTACAGGTGTAGGCCACCGTGTCTGACCTTGTTTTTGTTTTTGAAGCTCAATCAGATGATGTTACTCACAGCTCTGCTTGCAAATTCTCCAACGTCTTTTCATCTAATGCAAACTCCTCATGGGCTATAACGTCCTACGTAACCTGGCATCAGTCATCTTTCACCTCCTTTCTCCTTATTATCTTGGCTGCAGTCATATTGGACATTCTGATCCCAGCACAGATAAGCTTGTCCCTGCCTCAACACCTAGGCACTTGCTGTTCCATCAGACTGTAAAGCTCTTCCCTCCCATCATTCAGTGTCACTTACTTAGAGATCCTGTCCCTAATAACCCTATCTGAAATTGCTGCCTATCTACTGCCTCTCCCCTTACCTGCTTTACTTTCTTCCTAGCACATAGTGCCATCTGAAATTATAATACATGATACTTCCTTCTAAGTTATTTTTGTGTCTGCCTTGGTAGAATGTAAGTTCCGTGAAGGCAGAGGCTTCTGTCTGTCTTGTCTCTTTGTCCCCAGCCCCTTGAATAGAATGTGGTACATACTAGGCATTCAGTTAATATTTGTTCATAAATGAATGGTATAATTAGAAACAATTAGATAATTGTTTCTATAATTAAACAATTTATGTATTTAGACATTTATATATTTAGATATATAAACAACTTATATGTGGACAATTTATATAAATAATTACATAAAGGTATAATTTGAAACAATTTATATGCCCACAAAAAAGATAAATATTTCTTCAGTGTGATAATATTCAATTTTAAAAATCATGTTTAAACTAGTTTATCATAAGTGAAAAAGCTAAGAACGTAATTTCAGTGGAAAAAGAACAAGGTGCAAATATCTTTAGTTATATCTATATCTGTATCTGTATCTATATCTAAATCTGTATCTATATTTTTCTCTGTAGCTCTTTATCTATATTTCTATCTATATCTTTATCTATTTCTATGTCTTTATCATCACACTGGAAAAGATTAGATACCATCCCATAAAGAGGATAATACTAGTTTTGCGGGCATGGATTATTTTGTGCTGTTGTTATAAAAGTTGTACTTGGATTGTGTAGGGGTTTAGGAAGTTGGGGAAGAATAAAGAAAAAAAAAAGGACACAATTTGGCAATAACTGGAAAGCATCCTATTCATTCACAGGTCCTGTTTTGGAAGTTCTTGCATCCATCAAACCCAATTCCCAGGAAAGGGTATGAAGTCCATGTGTGTAAGGAAGGATAGAATACAGTAACAAACAATCCCAAAATATCAGTGACTTAATATGAGCCAGCCAGCTGTGGCTCACGGGCAAATCTGGCCTGCAACCTATTTTGGTATGGCTTGCAAATCAAGAGTTATTTTTATTTTCAAGAGTTTTTTATTTAAAAGAATATGTAATAGAGATATGCCTCACAAAGCCTAAAACATTTACCATCTGCACCTTTACAGTAAAAATTTGCTGACCCTTGGGTTAAAATAACAACCTCCTCAGCCTCCCAAGTAGTTGGGACTACAGGTATGCACTGCTGTGTCTGGCTAATTTTTTTGTTTTTCGTAGAGATGAGGTCTTGCTTTGTTGCGGAGGCTGGTCTCAGACTCCTGTCCTCAAGCAATCTTTCTGCCTCAGCTTCCCTAAATGCTTAGATTACAGGCGTGGGCCACCTGTAATCCTGACGTTCATGTCCCTGTGGGCTTGGAGGCTATTCTCATCCATGTCCATCCTGAACCTGGACTGATGGAGCAGCTGCCATCTTGAATGTTGCTGGTTGCTGTGATGGAGACAGAGAGGGAGCTTTAGGCATCACATGCCTACCATTAAACTTTTAGCCCAGAAGTGACATATGGCATTTCTATTCAAAATTTGTTGATCATAAGTTATCACGTGGTCCCTCACAATCATAAAGGGACCAGGAAGTACAGTTATACCCTGCCATAGGGAATGACTGCCATAGCTTAAGAGGAACCATGAGATTCTTTGAGGCCCAGAGAAGTTAAGTGGCTCTTCAAGGCCTAATATCCTGAAAGAGTCAGAGGGATTAACACTAAATCTGCTTCTAGTGATTTCTGGAGAATATGACTGCCTCTTAGAGTGTGGAACCAGGCAATTAATTATTGGAAATCACTTTTAATCTCTACTGCTTATTTAAACATTTGGGAAATATCATATTTACATAATTAAAACAAATGATAAATTGGAATTATAACAGAAATTGTAAACTCTGCTACCTCCAGGGATCAGTTAGGTAATTAGGACAATGGGAATAAATGACCACTAGAGAGAGGTGAAGACTGCAGTGAGCTAGAGTGTACAGGCCCTTTCTAAAGGAGGGTGGTACCAGGCGTGATGGCGCACACCTGTAATCTCGACTATTTAGGAGGCTGAGGCAGGAGGATCACTTGAGCCCAGCCTGAGCAACATAGGAAGAACCTGTCTTCAACAAAATTAAATCAAAGGTAAAATAAAGAGTGTGGCTACTACTCAGCTCCAGCTGATTCTAGCCAATGCTATGCTGTTTTTTTATTTTATTTTATGTGGAACGGGAAAACAGTAATCTGGGTTTTTATGTGAGATCATCCAAAATTTAAAATTGGCAACAGATATTGAAAGTTTACAAAAAAATGATTGGGTCCATCCAATAAGCCATATCTGTGGACTTCCATCTGAAGAACTCTACTTTGCAAACTCCAGAGTAGGAGGACTCAGTTTTTCATTTAGAACAAGGCTCTGTCTGCTTGGGGCTGATGCCTTTGGATGGCAGAAACCTAGTTTTCCTGCCTTTTGAGTTAGCTTCTGGCTCAAAGTAGTGAGTGTGTGTCTCTTAACATGTCATGGTCCTCTCTATCTCTCCCAGGTCTATGGATGAGGTTTGTAACACTATTGCAGTTTCTGGATGAAACTTGCAAGGGATTTGTCAAAGCTGGGCTCAGAGTGACTCAGTCCTAAAATCTCAGGCTCTCTGAAGAGGAATTAGCCTGGCACTAGGCTGGAGCACCCGGTCAAACCTAGCAACGTGCCATCATTGCTGATGGGCCAGATGGTGACAGTGACAGCACCTTCTGTCTGTAATGAGTCGACTGTCAGTTGGTGGCTTCATCTTTACAAGATCTTCTTGCTAATGCATTGCGGTGTTGTGCCTAGCCTTGGGTTGGTATAGAGATGGTATATTGGACACCGCTTGTGGCAACCCGTCACATTCTCTTGGGCTGCATTTTGGTCCAAAATGCAGCAGCTTGCTTCTTAGGAGTATAATCTGACTCTGTTCTGCCCCAGCACGCTGGGTATGGGCTGCACTGTGTATCTCTAAACTTTCTGCTTCAGGTCTGCCTGCAGGAACCCATTTAGCTTGGCACTCACACATGTGCAAGAGATTTCACACTCCTTGGGGAAATTTTTGATCTCCAAAATATGAAGAATCGGGGAGCATAGGTAAATACTCGCCTGCTCAGTCCTCAGTTCTTTAAGCAGACAAGGCTGGGGAACATTCCAAAAGCTCCTCAGAGGCTCCTAAGGAAACCAAACTCACAATAGTAATACCCTGATGAGACACCCTCATTTCAACTTTCCTTCTTTCCAGGTGTAGCTCTTTCCAGTCCCTCACAGAGATTCCCTGAGCTCATGTCCTATAACAAATAAGCCCTGTCTCAAGCTCGTCTATCCTGGGGAAGCCGCATTAGGACAAAAGGCACGCAATGCATGTTGATTGAATACTTGGGACCCATACTTTAAAATGAGGGCTTGCAATTTGCCATAACGTGGTCATTTCTAGGAACCCCCTAACTCTAGGGGGGAAGTTATGATTAAATATATCAGGAAAATCTATGGAGTACAATTCTAAATTGCATAGAAAAAAAACCCCACAGATCTCCTTGGGATCGTGCCATCAGGATAGATTTCCAGCTTTTTCAGCAGACCACTCTTCTGCCGCTTATCTTGATCCATCCAAGCATGGTTTTTCACTTTCCTCCTCCTCCCTTCAACACATCCCTTGTTTGTAGATAATGAAGCCACTAGGCCAGGGATAAAAACTGAGTACCACCTCATGAGCCATTGCCAATAGGCTGGAGCCCTGGATGGAGGAGAATTCTGAGGCTGTACGTGGCCTTTGGGAGGGCTCTGATCCTGTAACCATGTCTGTCCTGCATAGACCTGGGGGAGGAGGATATTGGCCTTCCATCCATGAGGCTGTCTTCTGAGATTCTTAACTGTTGTCCCCGCCTATTGTAAACACCCTTGTCGAAAGCAGAGTTTAAGATTATTTTTATCAAATCATATATTTTTGGTTCACTAAGGACAACTTTGGACCTGATCCGTCCTAGCATTTTTCCTTCCACCACTATCATTTTGACATCATCCCCAGTTCTATATTACCATTTGAACCAGTTTGTTTTTTTTTTAATCATCCCCAAAACAGTCTGCTGATCTTAAGGAATTACAGTACTTGGTCCAAATAACCCAGGAAGATGCCACATGCATTTATGTGTTACAAAAACAGAGGATCCTAGAATAGCAGGCGTAGAAATGAGAGATGGCAGATATCTAACAGGTCATTGGCAGTCCTGTACAATTTAGTTAAATGCCTGGTATTTTTTACAGAATTTCTTTTAACACTCTCTACTTCGCTACCTAGTTCAGTCACACCTGTTACAAAACTCCATTCAAGTCTTCTACTCAGACATAGTTAGAATTTACTCTTTCATGCCAGTTCCCTATCTTCATCTTAGTTCTCAGAAAAATTTCTAAAGCATCCCTAAGTTAGTCTGTTTAAACAACAGCAACAATAATAACACTTCAATGCGAATATTCACCCACAAGGTGGTTTGCTGAAGCAGTTTTCAGCACACACACAAGCTGGAAGTAGTCTGAATGTCTAAGAATGAAGGATTGATTAATTAAGTCTTCATACAACCATGAGATAGAACACGAGGCTGTCATTAAAAATGATGTCAGGCCAGGAATGGTGGCTCACGCCTGTAATCCCTGCACTTTGGGAGGCCCAGGGCGGACGGATCACCTGAGGTCAGGAGTTCAAGACCAGCCTGGCCAACATGGTGAAACCCCATCTCTACTAAAAATTCAAAAATTAGCCAGGCATGGTGGTGGGCACCTGTAATCCCAGCTACTCGAGAGGCTGAGGCAGGAGAATCGCTTGAACCTGGGAGGTGGAGGTTGCAGTGAGCCGAGATTGCACCAATGCACTCCAGCCTGGGTAACAGAGTGAGACTCTGTCTCGAAAAAAATTAAAAATTACAAAAAGCAAAAAGATGTCAATGCAAAGTTATCAATTTCAAATAACAGCCACAATAAAGACTCCAAAGCGACAAGGGTATATTACAAAATAGTATGCATACCATGGCCCTGACTTTTGTTAAAAATTGAATAGTTATTTTTCAAGTTTGAAATGTCATATGCCACAGTTAACAACAGCTAATGGGGAATGCTTACGTAATGGATACTTTTAATTTTTATTTTTTATTAGTTATATTTCCTAATTTGTCTGTAATGAACATGTACTGCTTTTATAAACAGAAAAATAAATGTCCATTTTAATAAGCAAAAAGCCTTACACCTTTTTTTCTTTAATTTTAATTTCTGGTTAAGAGGGGTCATTCTCCATGAGTTCATTCAAAGACAACCACTGAGTTAGAAACTTTACAAATCAATATTTACCTTCCTGGCTCAACCCAGCCTGTGCTAACTGATAACCCCTCTGAAGAATTTTCTGAAGTTGAATTGCAAAGGTCTCCGTAGGGGTCTTGCCTGCTTCAATAAAAGCGTCTTCTAGTTTTGTTATTTCTGCCAGGTACATCTTCTGACTCTTTCAAGTTCTGGCAGGTTCATGCTTATTTGAGCTACAGGTGCAAACCAGGTAAATAACTGTCCCCAAATGCAAGGTTGCAGTCCTCTAGCCTCCTGCAAACCCAATCCTTCACTCCAGGGACAAAGAAGACAGCTTTCCCTATAAAGTTACCCCACGGGATTGCAGAGTTTTTCTGTGGGTTCACCTAAGCTCTGTTTATATCCCTGCAAACAAAGGCGCAGAAAGTCACCGGAGCAGCAAGGTGTGTCCGGTGCTGAACGTTTCTCCAGGAGTGCTGCCTGCACTAAGTGTAATGTGACTCTTTCCCATCCCCTTCTCCCCCACTTTTAAAACCCAGCTGATTACAAGTGTTGTTAAAGGTTACTGAACTAGAAAAACAAACCGTGCCATGGTTGGTGCATTCCTAATTACAGACGGGAGTGCATTGGGAACAATTGTTTTTGTACCTCGACATTTCTCGGAGCCCCAGTCAGGAAGTATGCTGTTTCTCTTTGGCCACTCATAAGAGAGGATTACTGACAATCTAGAAACTGCTATCAGCTTTCCTTTCTATCCCAAACTAATGTAAAACAATTTCTCAAGTATCAGCTTTTTCAACAAAAGTCTTCAGCGACTGACATTGCATCAGAAAAACAAACTTAACAGATTTGACCCTGAGGTGTGCATTACTCTCTTCCGATCATTTTTTAGCTGAGAATATTGTCTGTTGCCGATAGCAAGGGGAGGAAGAAGAGGTAAGCCAGGGCTGTTGAGGATGTTCTCACCCTGAGCAGTGGCCAGTAAGTGAACACCGGAGTTTCCTCTCCTTGTCGTTTGCTGTTGTGTTTGCACGGTTAAAGGAATCAGGGAGCCTGCCTGTTAGGTCTGCTTCCATCCTCTGAAGCTTAAAATGAATCAGCTGAAGAAAACATGATGGATTGACATCACTCATGATAAAGTCCTCAGTGAGATGAATCAGAAGTTATTTTTATTTTGCAACTTTCATTACCTCACAAAGCATGGAAACTACTACCACGCTCTCTTTACTTGTACAAGAATCTCAATGCCCTTCAAATATCAGGGAACCCTTTGTGCGGTGGCCGGTAACCTCACCTAATTGTTAAAAGAATACAAAGAGAGAGAGAAAGAGAGAGTGAGAGAGAGAAAAGAAAAAAAATCCCACTATACTCCACTAACACTAAAAAGAGACATGGAGAATAGGAAAACACCTGGCCTTGTGCTTGCTAGATGTTTGCTGTGGAAACAATCTGTTCATATTTAAAGAGAAATGACATCATAAAGCATTTGCTGCCATCATTTCAGCCAGCGGATCTCAAGAGTTGTGCTTTCTCAGATTTGAATAAAATTTAGGATGCAAGAAGAAAGATTTCTATACAAAAGAAAATCAAACTTATGGAAAGAAAAATGGCCCTCAGGACAGGGCTTGTGACAATTGCATCTGGACCATCTTGTCACTGCGCCAAGCCTCCATCTTCACAGAGTCCTGCATCCTTGCCAAAGGGCCTAGGTACTATAAAATGCTTTCAAAACATTATATTTTAACAATGCCGAGCAGCAAAACGGTTTGCTTTTAATGGCCATCTGTATAAAGTCTCTTTTTATTTAGGAAAATCTATTTTAAATTAAATATCATAAGCCCACAAGCCATAGCAAACAATATTTTTCACCATATGCTCTGAATTAATATGCCAAAGATTGCAACCTCTATTTTTCTTCATAAAAAGCTGCCCCACCCTGATGTGGGTATGGTGAGCTGGAGGGCGGGAGGGTAGGAATTTTCAATAAGGCCACCAAGGATAGGATGACGGCAAGGAACCAAAGAAAAAAAAAAAGTAAAAAAGAGAGAGATATCTCCAGGGTTATCTCTCTTTTGCATCTTCTCAGTGCAGATCTACTTCCCTTTTAGGAAATTCCCTTTGATCCACTTTCCTCCCTTGTCTAGAGACTTTACACCCAAGAGTGCAAGCAAAGCTGGCCACACCTTGAAAGACTTTGGAAAGTCACTGTAATTCCTTTCACCTGTTATGTGCCACACTTGAGGGTGATATGGTTTGAAAGCAAGTTTCTTTCCTTAGGTGCTGGGCAGACATGGAAACTTGGTGTTCACGGTCCCTAGTGTAGGCCATTCTGCTCTCTGCCCTTGGCTGGCATCCTTCCATTCCCTCCCTCAGTTTCCTTCTGCAGGTCCCTTTCTAATGAATGTCAAAGGGTGGGTGCCCTAGGACGTGGAGCCCCCAAATGACCAAGAATCCAATGAGCTTGGTGAGATTATGGAATTAAGGAGATTCACTTAGGGGTGGTCTGGCTGCCTTTTGTCTTTGCAGAGGGATCATGGGATGATTTGTGAGCCAGTTTCATGGGAGTTTCAGATGCTCCTAACCTCTGAACATGAACATTTGATGCCTGGCAAGATCACAGGGCTTGACTGCATGGGGCTGCTGCCTCTTGTGCAGGGGTGGTGGCACCAGGAGTTGCTTCAGGCTGTAGCATAGCTTTCTGCAGGGAGACTTTAAAATCAGTCAGCCTGAGACCTGATTTTCTTTGTCCTTGCCTCTCCTGCTCTCCCCTAACAATAATTTTTTCTTTCTTTTGTCTTTTTCTCCCATCTTACCATGTGTCCTTACTTTTTTTCCCCTTTTTTCTTGTCCTCTATGTTTTTTGGCCTCTGTCTATGCAACCTTATGTGTTACTATAATTATTTTTAATACTTAGGATTACTTGTGACATTTTGATAACTACTAAGTGCTATCCGATTTACAAGTATCATCTTAAAATCTTGTGACAGGGATTTGGGTATTATCACCTGCATTTTAGACATGAGAAAATGGATTCTCAGGGAGGTACATCCACATGATTTCAAAGCCAGTGTTCTTTCTCCTTTGCCTTAATGACTGTCATGTTCTATGTTTGGCTCTAATTTTTTGGTGGGGAGGTAAGTTAAGGTTTATGGCTTCCTAGTATTATTGGGCTTTTCCAACTGGTCTACTTACCCATTCATGAATTTCTCACTATTGCTTTCCTCATACTCTTCTCTCTATATCATAAATTGTCTACTGGGCCATGCGGGAGATGTGGTAGAAATACAGGCATCAGAGGAACAGCTGAATCTAATGTAATCCCTGAGCCTCAATTTTATTTTCCCTTAAATGGAAGCAGAGGTTGCATTTAAAAATAGGACTTGTCTCTTCTTACTGAGGTGCAGATGAATGAGACAGTATGTATTAAGTACTTTTGCTGGCTTGGGACATACTAATTAGTTAATACTAATGTCACTCCTTCTCCAACCTCACTTCGAGCCACTGTTCCCTTCATTCCATGCTCTTCAGCCTCACTAACTGTCCCAATTCCTCTTAAGGTTCTAGGCTGTTTCCTGAACGAGTCTTCAGGTCCATGGTTTCTTCTCAGTCTGAAGTTTCTCTTCCTGTCCTTTGCAAGGGCTACATATCAAGGTTCTTTGATCATAAGAAAAGGAAACAAACTTCAGTTAATTTTACTAAGAATAAATTGACCAACAGGATGACAGTTTACAAAAATGAAAAGAGCTGAAGAGCTGGGTCATAGAAAAAAGGAGAATCAGGACTGCTGTTCTAGTGTCTATTGCTGGGTAACCAACTGCCCCCAAACTTGATGGTGTAAAAGAACAACAATCATTTATTTCATTTATGACTCTTCAATGTGGGCAGGGATCAGAGGGAATAAAGTCTCAATTCCATGTAGCGTTGGCTGGCATGGCCTGGCTGGGGCTGGAGGATCCACTTTCAATATGGCTCCCTCACATGGCTGGTAACTTGGTGCTGGCTTGCTGGGAGCTTGAATGCAGCTGGAACTGAGATCTTGGCTCTTAGGCTTCTTCACACTGTGGCCTCATTGCTATGAGCCTGGAATCTGGAAGGTCATGGAACAAGAGTCACTGGATTCCATGGTGGCTGGGCTCCAAGAATAAGTATTCCTGGACAATTGGACGGATATTGTACAGCCTTTTTTTTTTTTTTTTTTTTGAGACAGAGTCTTGCTCTGTCACCTGGGCTGGAGTGCAATGGTGCAATCTCGGCTCACTGCAACTTCCGCTTCCCAGGTTTAAGTGATTCTCCTGCCTCAGCCTCCTGAGTAGTTGGAACTTCAGGCTCATGCCACCATGCCGGACTAATTTTTGTATTTTTAGTAGAGGTGAGGTTTCACTATGTTGGCCAGGCTAGTCTCTAACTCCTAACCTCTGGTGATTCGCCTTCCACAGACTCCCAAAGTGCTGGGATTACACATGTGAGCCATCGCACCTGGCCAGATATTGTACGACCTTTCATGATCTAGCCTCAGAAGTCAGAGAGCATCATTTGTACCATAATCATGAGGCCACTCAGATTCAGGTGCAGGAGGCACATCTCATTGGCAGCAAGTCAAAAGTCACATTGTAAGGAGAGCAGGTAAGAAGGAAGATATCGTTGGAGCAGTTTTTGGGAAGTATAAACTACCACAGCTCCTCTGAATTGGTTCCTAGGACAGGACTACTGCATCGCCATCCAAGAACTCAGAAACTCCTGCTTTCTTTTCCTATGTGTTTGATTTGAACTTCACTTCCAGGGAAAAAGAGTCTGATTGGCCTAGGTTGTGTCATGTGACTTCCCAGGGTCATGTGATGGGCATCCCTTCTAGGATCACACAGTGAGGCAGGTCAGACCCCAGCAACATATGTCCACTGCCCCTGCTTAACGCTCAGTTTAAATTTCACCCATTCAAGGAAGGCTTTCTTGACTCCCCGTATTTAACTCTGGAGCCATGGCTATTTTCCTTTACTCATTCAATTTTTTTATTTATTTTTTTTTTTGAGACGGAGTCTCACTCTGTGGCCCAGGCTGGAGTGCAGTGGCACAATCTCGGCTCACTGCAAGCTCCGCCTCCCAGGTTCATGCCATTCTCCTGCCTCAGCCTCCCGAGTAGCTGGGACTACAGGTGCCCGCCACCATGCCCGGCTAATTTTTTTGTATTTTTAGTAGAGACGGGGTTTCACCGTGTTAGCCAGGATGGTCTCGATCTCCTGACCTCGTGATCCGCCTGTCTCCCAAAGTGCTGGGATTACTCATTCTACTTTTTAAATTCACAGCACATTTAAATTCAAAATTAAAATTATTTTTATTTAATCTCTCACTCTTTGATATTGTTTGGATCTGTGTCCCCACCAAATTTCATGTTGAATTGTAATTCCCCACTGGGGACAATGTTGGAGGTGGGGCCTGGTGGGAGGTGATTGGATGATGGAGTTGGTTTCTCATGAATGCTGTAACACTATCCTCCTTGGTACTGTCCTCAAGATAGTAAGTTCTTGTGATATCTGGTCATTTAAAAGTATGTGGCACCTTCCCCCTTTCTCTTGCTCCTGCTGCGTAAGATGGCCTGCCCCCACTTTGCCTTCTGCCATTAGTGTAAGCTCTCTGAGGCCTCCCAGAAGCAGATGTCACCATGCTTCTTGTACAGGCTGCAGAACCATGATCCAATTAAACCTCTTTTCTTTATAAATTAGCCAGCCACAAGTATTTCTTTACAGCAGTGTGAGAACAGGAGAACAGACTAACACACTCCTCCACTAGTCTAACATCTCCATGGGCAGAGACCATGTCTCTTTTGTTATCTTTTACTGGATATTTCTTGGTTACCACTTCAAAATCCCCCCAGTCCCGCCTCTTATTCCAGTTAGGGTAACTAGTTCCAGGTGGCCTTGACAGGCTTAGAGCAACTGCAACTGAATATTCTCTATCCTTGTGGTTTGTGCTTTGAACATGGGGGGAAAGGGACAGCTAACTTTTGAGAAGGAGTTTCCCAGGCTCTCATGTCAGTTGCTTTCTGGCTATTCTGGCCCGTATGAGACACTGGTGAGAGACTGAAGAACAACAGGAAGGGAGAAAGGGTATTTCCCTGTCCGCCTCTAGTGGCAACTATGGCAGTGGCTGGAAGCTTTCCCCTAGGGTCCCTTTTTCTCTGCAGCTTTCTCCTAGGGTCCCTCTTTCCCTGGTCCTGACTTCTACTAGAACACAGGATCAGCCAGCGTTCTAGCCCATCCTGGATGACCATGGCTTCTCATTGAGACTATATTTGCTGCAGTTGAATTTTGTGCCCCCGAAAGTTCTAGTTCAAGTCCTAGAAATGTTCAAGTCCTAACCCTCAGTACCTGTGAATGTCACCTTATTTGGACATAGAGTCTTTGTAGATGTAATTAGCTAAGATGTCATATTGGAGTAGGGTGGGCCCTAGTCCATTGTGACTGGTGGCCTTCTAAGAGGAGAAGACAGAGATGCAGGAGAAGGCTGTGTGAACACGGTGGCAGAGTCTGGAGTGATACCTCTACCTCAGTGGTCCCCAACATTTTTGGCACTGGGACTGGTTTCGTGGAAGACAATTTTTCCACAGTCAGGTTTGGGATAGGGGAATGGTTTCAAGGTGAAACTGTTCCACCTCAGATCATCAGGCATTAGATTCTCATAAGGAGAGCACAGCCTAGATCCCTTGCATGCACAGTTCACAGTAGGGTTTGAGCTCCTATGGGAATGCAATGCTGCTGCTGATCTGATGAGAGGCGGAGCTCAGGTAGTACTGCCCACTTGCCCACTGCTCACCTCCTGTTGTGTGGCCTGGTTCCTAAGAGGCCACAGACTGGTACCGGTCCCAGGGTTTTGGGTTCCCTGCTCCACGTGCCAAGGAACACCAAAAACTGCCAGCCATATCCAGAAACCAACAGTGGAGCATGGGACAAATTGTCCCTCAAAGCCCTCAAAGGAAACCAACCCTGATGATTCCCTGATTTTGAACTTCCAGCCTCCAGAAACATGGAAGAACACATTTCTGTTGTTTTAAATCACCCAGTGGGTGGTCCTTTGTTTAGGCATCCCAAGGAAATGAACACAGCCTCCTTTCCACATTGCCCTTGTAGCATCTTGCCAGTTGCTGATCTCTAAGCTGCTTCACTCATCTTCTGTGCTTTCCCTTAGACCTTTAAACTGAGATTTAAACTGACATTCAAACTGAGTGTTAAGCAGGGACAATGGACATATGTTGTTGGGGTCTGACCTGTCTCACTGTGTGATTCTAGAAGGAAAGCCCATCACATGGCCCTGGGAAGTCACATGACACAACCTAGGCCAATTAGGCTCTTTTCCACCCACAAAACCAGTCTCCTGTATTCAGTTACTACTGTTTGAAATCACTGGAGTGCTTTCAGTTTTCTTATTTTGTTTTAAATCCTTTCTTCTCTTTTTTTTTCTTCCTTTTTTGTTTTTTTAGAGACAGGGTCTGACTGTGTTGCCAGGGTGGTCTCCACCTCCTGTACTCAAGCAATCTTCTTACCTCGGCCTCCCAAAGTGCTGGGATTAAAGGTGTGAGGCACCATGCCTGGCCTTGGTTTCAGTTTCCTTGACAGGCCCTGAGTGATACTATCACATAATATATACCATTTATAATATGCTTATTACATGCCAGGCATTGAGATAAGTATTTTACCTGGATTATTTCATTTAATCCTCATATCCATCCTATGACAGAAGCATCGTGCTTGCTTGCACTGAACAGATGGAGAAAATGAGAAAAAGTATAACCCAAGAAGGCTGTCTAGAGATAAATGGGGAAATCAAACCCAGGGCTAGCTGACTGCATGACCCAGGCTCTTGAGCACGGCTCTGTTCTGCCTTCCCCAAGCAGGCTCTGAAGTCAACAGTTCAGGTGTGCGGCATCCATGGCCTGTTCTATGGCCCTGTTCTTCCTCCTGTTCCCTGCAGCATCACCTCTGCCAGACTCAGCAAGTGCCCTGTCTCAGCTTCTCAGCGAAGTTGGATCTAATCTCACAGTGGTGAGTCTTTCCTCACCACACACGTAAGAAGCATTTCTCCCAGTCTTCCAGACATTTCTCTTCTCTGTTCAAGAACTAAAAATGATTCCTTATTCAAGAGTACATCTTGGCTGGGTGCAGTGGCTCACACCTATAATCCCAGAACTTTGGAAGGCTGAGGTGGGTGAATCATGTAAGCCTAGGAGTTTGAGATCAGCCTGTGCAACATAGTGAGACCCTGTCTCTACAAAAAAATCAAAATAAAAAAGGGTGCATCTTTGTTCAGAGTTGTCTTATAATAGAAAATATGATGTACAGGCTGGGCACAGTGGCTCATGCCTGTAATCCTAGCACTTTGGGAGACTGATATGGGTGGATCACTTGAGCTCAGGAGTTTGAGACCAGCCTGGGCAACATGGTGAAACCCTGTCTCTACTGAAAAAAAAAAAAAAATTAGCCAGGCGTGGTGGTGTGCCTGTAGTAACAGCTAATCAGGGGTCTGAGGCAGGAGATCGCTTGAGCCCGTGAGAAGCCAAGTAGCAGTGAGCTGAGATTGTGCCACTGGCCACTGCACTCCAGTCTGGGTGACAATGTGAGACCCTGTCACAAAAAAAAAAAAAAAAAAGAAAATATTATGTACAGAAAAAAGAGATAATAATATTGTAAACATCTATTTATACATACATATCTAGGTTGAATTTAATCATTTAAAGATATACTTGCTTCAGATATTTCTTCTATTTGCAAACAATTGAAGCTTCTGTGTATCCCTGTTCATTCCCATTCCCTTCTCTTCCTCTCTAGAAGTTACAGTCATGTTGAATTTGTATGTATAATTTCCATGCATGTTTTCATACTGTTAGCATCTGTAAAGCCTCCCATAAGCAATATTCAATATAATTTTGCATTTTAGAAAATTTTATTGTAAATGGTATCATACTTTATGTGTTTTATAGATTTATCAATGTTGATTCATATAGCCCCAATTTATTTAAGTACTATGTAATATTTCATTATATGAATAAACAATAATATATTCATCTGTTCTATTAATTGCCATTTAGGTTGTTTCCACAAATAATACTGGAACACTTTTTAACTTATGTCACTGTGCACATAAGCAGGAGTTTCTCTAGGGTGTACACACATCTCCAAATTTTCTAAACTTTTTCAAATTGCCCTCCAAAATGTTTATACAGATTGAGCATTCCAAATCCAAAAATCTGAAATCAGAAGTGCTCCAAAATTCAAAACATCTTTAAAGTTTTGATGCTCAAAAGAAATGCTCATTGATACATTTAGCATTTTGGACTTTTGCATTTTGGATGCTCAACTGGAAAATATAATGCAAACATTTCAAAATCCAAAAAAAAAAAAATCCAAAATCGCAAACAGTTCTGGTCCCAGTGATTTCAAATAAGGGATATTCAACTGTATCAGTTTATCCTGTGATATAACAAAAAAATATTGGTCTTAGTACCTTGTTCCTGACACACAGTTCTAAAAAGACTTGGAAATCTCTGGAGTGATGAGTGTCTTTGTGTGCCAGTTAAATGACTGGGGTGGCTGGTGGACCTTAGATAGCTTTAGGTTGAGGGTTGATCTCCAGAAGACCTAAGCATGATTAGAGGCGTGGCACTTTCAGCCTCACCTCCTGACCTCCAGGGAGGGGACAGGGGCTAGAGATACAGATAATCACCAATGGCCAATGATTTAATAAATCTTGATTCTGTAATGGAATCTCCATAAGAGACCCCTAGACAAAGGGGATCAGAGAGCTTCAGGGATGGTGAACACATTCAGGTGTTGGCGTGTGGTAACTCCAGAGATGACATGGAGGCTCCACACACCCTTTCCCACCCATACATTCCCTGTGCATCTCTGTCATTTGGCTGTTCCTGTGTTGTAACAGGAACACACTGGTAATAATTATGTTACCAGTAACAGTTGTAACCAACTGGTAATGATAAGTCAAGTGCTTGCTTGAGTTCTGTGAGCCACTCTTGCAAGTTACGAAACCTGAAGGGAGGAGGTTATGGCCACCCCTAGCTTTGTAGCAAGGTTGAACAGAAGTGTAGGTACCCTGGGTACTCAATACTTGAGACTGGCATCTGAAGTGAGGGTGGTCTTGTGGAACTGAGCCCTTAAATTGGGGGAAACTGATGCTAGCTCCAGGTAGTGTCAGAATTGACCTGAATTGTAGGATATCCAGTTGATGTCCAGAGAGTTGGCACACTGGTTGGTGTGAGGAAGATCCATTCACATTTTTGGTGTCAGAAATGTGAGTAAAAAGTTCGTGAAGCCCTCTCAGAACATATGAGAGTTGCGTGCTTAATTTCTTTATGAGCACTTGGTAGTGGTAGAGATTAGAATTTTTGTTAAATTTATTATGCTTTTAATTTGATTTGTACTTCCTGATAATTCTGGAAGTTGAGCATTGGTTTGCGTATCTATTGATTATTTAAGTTTCTTTCTCTGTTTATTACCAGCTAATACCCTTTGCTCTTTGTACATTCTGCATAGTCTCCTTGCTGGTTGTGTGTATTGCAAATATCTTCTCATAGGCTATGGGTTGTCTTTTCACTCAGTTTAAAAGCATTTTTTTGTTCTATGGAAACTTAAATCTTAACAACATCAAATTAATCAGTCTTTTATTTTATGGTGTGCACTTTGTGTAACTTTTTTGTTTGTTCGTTTTTGTTTTTTTGAGACAGGGTGTCGCTCTGCTGCTCAGGCTGGAGTGCAGTGGCATAATCATGGCTCACTGCAGCCTTGAATTTCTGGGCTCAAATGATCCCTCCCCCACTCCCCACCCCTGCCTCAACCTCCCTAGTAGCTGGGACTACAGGCACATGCCACCACAGTTGGCTAATTTTTTTTTTTTTAATTTTCTTGTAGAGATAAGGTCTCACTATGTTGTTCAGGCTGGTTTCAAACTCCTGGCCTAGAACAATCCTCTTGCTTCGGCCTCCCAAAGTGCTGGAATTACAGATGTGAGCCACCATGCCTAGCTGACTGTAACTTGTTTTAAGAAATTGTTCTTCTGAATCATTCCATTTAACCTGCAAAGACTCCAACATTTGACCACTTTTCTTCTTAACCAGCTTCTCTCCTAACCACATTCCAGAAAAATATCTGGGCTTCCAGGGGACTCTCACGCATGCCTTTCATTATGTTTACTCCTTCCAGTGTCTAGAACTCTTCATCTTTTCATAGATCTAACCTCAAAGTTGCACCTAGTATGTACCAAAGTGTATTGTCTATGTCTCAGGACATAGATCCATAGAATATTTCATAATAAAAGGGATCTTTTATTATGGTCAATTAAGTTTGGAAAAAATTGCAGACTATACAATGAATATTTAGTGTACTAAAGGCTCCAAAAGATCCTACAGAAGAGAAACCTGTAACTTTGTTCAATCCAATGTTTCTAATCTCACCATGGTATCATCTTTGGGGTAATATCTATTAGCATTTTGTAGAACTAATTTTTTTCTTGGGTAAATACTCCTTGGATTGTTGCAAGACTTTGATTACGTTCCAGAGATCTTAAAACTACTGATTTTAACAATTTTGACAGTATTCTCATTGCTTTTATAAAGAAGGAGATTTTTGGATTCCCACCATTCTGGAAGTCTTGCCTCATAGCAATAATATATATTTTTATTATTATTTTTTAAAACTTTTCCTTTAGGTTCAGGGGTACTTGTACAGGTTTGTTATATAGGTAAACTGAAGTCACAGGTGTTTGTCGTACAGATTGTTTTGTCACCAGGTACTGAGCCTAGCACTCAGCAGTTATTTTTTCTGCTCCTCTCCCTCCTCCCACCCTCCACCCTCAAGTAGGCCCCAGTGTCTGTTGTTCCCTCCTTTTGCTCATTTGTTCTCATCATTTAGCTCCCACTTATAAGTGAGAACACAAGGTATTTGGTTTTCTGTTCCTGCGTTAGTTTACTAAAGACAATAGGTTCTACTCCATCCATGTTCCTGCAAAGGATGTGATCTCATTCTTTTTTATGGCTGCGTAGTATTCCATAATGTATATGTGCCACATTTTCTTTATCCAATCTGTCACTGAGGGACATTTAGGTTGATTCTATGTCTTTGCTATTGTAAACAGTGCCACAATGAACATATGCAGGCATGTGTCCTTAGGGTAGAATGATTTATATTTCTTTGGGTATATACCCAGTAATGGGATTGCTGGGTCCATTGGTAATTGTGTTTTTAGCTCTTTAAGGAATCACCACACTGCTTTCCACAAAGGTTGAACTCCCATCAATGGTGTATAAGCATTCCCTTTGCTTGGCAACCTCGTCAGTATCTGTTTTTTCATTTTTTTTAACTTTTTAATAAGCCATTCTGACTTGTGTGAGATGGTATCTCATTGTGGTTTTGATTTGCATTTCTCTAATGATCAGTGATATTGAGCTTTTTGCATAGGCACGTTGGTCACATATATGTCTTCTTTTGAGAAGTGACTGTTCTTGTCCTTTCTAGGAATAATATTTTAAGACACACTTTGACTAATGTTGATTTCTCCTTTTCTGTGAAACCATGCATCAAAGCTGTATTCCTTACTCTTTTCTTCTTCAAATCTCTTTATTTATTTATTTATTTTTGAGACAGAGACTCTCTCTGTTCCCCAGGCTGAAATGCAGTGGTGTGATCTCACCTCACTGCAACCGCCTCCTCCCGGGTTCAAGCAATTCTCCTGCCTCAGACTCCCAAGTAGCTGAGATTACAGGTGTGCAACACCACGCCTGGCTAATTTTGTTATTATTATTATTATTAGCAGTAGTAGTAGAGACAAGGTTTTGCTATGTTGGTCAGGTTGGTCTTGAACTCCTGGCCTCATGTGATTCAACTGCCTTGGACTCCCAAAGTGCTGGGATTACAGGCATGAGCCACTGCATTTGGCCCTTCAAATCTCTTTATATTGAGGGTCTCTCCTGAATTATCTTGGACTCCCAAGCACCTTCCTGGTGTCCATGCATTTGACAGCACTGTGAAAAGTATTTCCATGTTTTGTTCTTTTTAAATTATATTATAATGTTCAACTTTTTAAAATTTTTGGTAGAGGCCAGTTTACACCCTGGTTGTATGTCTCAAGTGTTTGTTTTGTTAATCAGTGAGTTATTGTACTTCAGGACACATTTTCCTGTAGAAACAATGTTCTGCATCAGAGCTTATCAAACTTTAACGGGCATACAAATCACCTGGGGGGACCTTGTTAAAATGAAGATTCCAGTTGGATAGGTCTGGGGCAGAGTCTGTTGTTCTGCTTCCCTAACCTCCCATGTCATGGTCATATGGTCAAGGTCTGCAGACCACACTTTGGGTAGTGAGGCTCTATAAGGTTATCTATTATGCAGAATGTAGCCTTTATGAAAGACTGCATTAGGTTCTAATTTGGTGAAAATGTGATCCTGAAATACCAAATATAGGAATAATGCATGATGAAAAGGCTTCAGATTTCCATCAAAACTGCATGTCATCCAGTCATTCATAATATAGATTAAGAAAGCTTTAGAGACCATCCTGGCTAACACGGTGAAACCCCATCTCTACTAAAAATACAAAATATTAGCCGGTTGTGGTGGTGGACGCCTGTAGTCCCAGCTACTTGGGAGGCTGAGGCAGGAGAATGGCGTGAACCCGGGAGGCGGAGTTTGCAGTGAGCCAAGATCATGCCACTGCACTCCAGCCTGGGAGACAGAGCGAGACTCTGTCTCAAAAAAGAAAAGAAAGAAAGCTTTAGTGGGCTGCTGTGTGAACCAATAATCGGGTATTGTCTTAAGCCACAGACAGTCAGATGTGTAGCTGATATTCATATTCATGGAAGTACTGCATCTAGCAAGACCTATCTCCTCACTGAAACAGGTAGCATCTTGTGCCTGCAACACATACTCACTACTTTTGCTTCTCAGGGCACCTAGCAGAGTGGGAGGAGCTGAATGTGGGCAGGTGGTTTAATTTCTAGATTCCAGTATGTGATGCTGGCTGGCTTAAGAGTATAGTGAGCTCTCTATTGACCTTACAATAAAATACAATGCCCTTCTCATGGCCTTCTATATGCTATGTAATCTGATCCTAGCTTGTTTCTTTGACTTTCTCCTCTATCACCCCAACCATTGCTCATGGCACTTTAGCCACCTGAGCCTACTTTCTGTTCCTCAAATATCCTGATCTTGCCACCCTTTGAAAGAGCCCACTCATAGGTTATTTGGCCTTTTGTTTTATCTGCTTTAACAGTTGCCCCAGATCTTCATATGACTGGCTTCAGTTCCGATGCTATCTCTTTAGAAAAGCATTTCATGACATGTCAACCTACTGTTGATCACTGTCTTTTATTTTATTCATAACATTATTTCTGACTTAAAATACTGCATGTATGTATGCATGTAGTAGGAACTATGTGCCCTGACTCCCTTGTCCAACTGGCATGCCCACTCCCCAGCTGATGTGAGTTTTGATAGCCAATGGCCAACATCTGCACCTTTCTTCCAAGCATTACTCTTGGTCAATAGGAACTGCCTCACCGAGGGATGCCTAGGAGGCTGTGATGGCACACACCTCCTCCACAAGGCAGTGTGCAACCAGTGACTCACTAGTTCAATGTCCCTAGGTGGGTCAGCTTGGTGGGGCCATTTGCACTCCAGAGCTCCTGCTGAGATCAGACAGAGGCTAAACTCAGCTTTGCTTGGCTTCTTCCTCTGTATGGTTCTGCTCTCTACACCAACTTATAAGCCCCTCGTACAACTTGTTTCTTGGGTCTTCAATAAATCACCTTCACAAGAACACCCATCTCAGATCCTGTTACTGGAGAACCCAGCTTCAACAATGTATTAGTTTACTTATTTAAAATCTGCCCTCCTTAACTACGTGGTGGCACACGCCTGTAGTTCCAGCTACTCAGGAGGCTTAGGCGGGAGACTTGCCCTGAGCTCAGGAGTTTGAGGCTGCAGTGAGCTATGCTTCCCCTCTGGCATTCCAACCTGGCTGACAGAATAAGACTTCATCTCTAAAAATGATAATAATAATGAATGAATAAATAAATAAATAAATAAATAGATAAATAATAAAATCTGTCATCCTTACTAGAGTTAAAGCTCCATGGGAGCAGAGGTTTTGTATATTTTTTTCACCACTACTTTCTCAGGCAATATTCATTTCATAGTAGATGCTCATTAAAGAAGTGTTGAATACATGTTGAATGAATAAATTCAGGTTCATATAATCAGCTTCATAGTAACAGCAGTTCAGTATTATTAGGGCTACAATCCACCATTCTATCCTATTCTCTAAATGGACATACCATGCCATGTTAGAAACAAGCATAGATCTTTTTCCATGGAGTGAACTGCAACTTTGCCTCTCTTATTTTTATCCTTATGAAATGCAAAACCATAAAAAGCTGGGGGTGGGGTGGGGATGTCAAATTCTACCCCACAATACGCCTCCTTCAAGTATCTGATTACACAAAGTCCTCAAAGAATATGATTAATGTAACTAAGCCATATTCACACTCTGACATTCTTCCCAGCCAAACACATATTTTAGCTTCACCCAATCCCTTTCAACAAATAAGCTGTTTTGAAAATGATTTCCAGGGCGATGTCTGTTGCCATAGGAATGACATTAAATGAAAAGGACAGAAAATATAGAGGGTGATAAACTGCTTGCTTGGATGACACACTTGACTTGGAAGCCTGTGTTCAAATGAGGCATACATGCCAAGATTTTTATGAAAGACAAAATTAAAATGTATCGCTATCAAGCTGTAACTGACAAGGTATTGTGTGGAGGCTGTTAACATACTGCTCCATATATTTATTGTTTGTCATTTTACTGGCCCTGACAAAGGTCTCTCAGTGCTGTAAATCACACCATTAAATCTGCCACGAGCAACAGAGGCTGTTGGAAGGAAGAGAAAGAAAGCGTGGTGTTGAATCTCGGTTTCTGATACATGCTGAGCTTCTGGGTGAGCTATCATGTCGTCCAAGGAGCCTTCCCCCTTTGGGCTGACACTTTTACAAGTGTCAGATTGTTGGCTTTTGACCCTTTGAAAAGAGAAAAAAACAAAACAAAACAGAACAAAACAAAAGCACACACCCTTCCTCCACCCTGCTTTCGATTGCTCCTGATTTTTCTGTTGGGTAAGATGCCCAGAAGTTACCCCCAACCTTAGCCCTAGTTTACATTCATTTTGGGCATAAGATCTCAGATGCACCAGGGTGCCCTATGGAGGTGCTCCACCAGAGGTGGCTTTTGTTGTTTTCTGGAAGATGTGCTTGGGTTACCATCAGCCTCTTTTCTACACCAGCGAAGGCTTGTTTGTTCTTGAACTGGTAAATTAATAGAATCTTTACACCTGCAGCTGCAGACCAGTGTGGGGATGTATAAGACAACATCAGGTAGCTAGGTGCTGCCTCTCTGTCTAGCTAAATCTCGGAAGACTTGGGCTTTCACCCACCTTCATCCTTTCTTTTCTAGATGTTAGCATTATGGAGACTCTGCCTGGGCACTGGGCAGCTTGAGTTTTATTGTGGAAGAACAAAAAGGCAAGTTAAGAGCTGAGTTTGTGTATCAGTTCATTTTCACACTGCTATAAAGAACTTCCCTGAGACTGGGTAATTTATAAAGGAAAGAGGTTTAATTGACTCACAGTTCTGCTTGTCTGGGGAGGCCTCAGGAAACTTGCAATCATGGTGGAAGAGGAAGCAGGCACGTCTAACATGGCAGCAGGAGAGAGAAAGTGTGTGAAGGAGGAGGTGTCAAACACTTATAAAACCATCAGATCTCATGGAGCTCATTTGCCATCACAAGGACAGTGTGAAGAGAGCTGCCCCCATGATCCAATCACCTCCCACCATGTCTCTCCCTGGACACATGAGGATTCTGAGGATTACAATTCGAGATGAGATTTGAGTGGAGACACAGAGCCAAACCATATCAGTTGGAATCTCAGATTCACTGCAATGAAATGTGTGTTTTGGGCAAGTTTTCAAATCTCTGTGGACCATAGTTTCCTTATCTGTTTGAATAAAAAGGGGGTAAGGGGTGTTAGATTTCAATTCCTTCTAAGTTGCCTTCAAGCTCAAAATTCAAATAAAATTAAAGGACTATGAGTGGCTATCTAGGGCATTCTATTGCCTCTGGGAAAGACTAGCCTATATTATCCAGAATATATCTCAGTCAGAGGAGAGTCTCAATGAAGAGCAATCAGGCAATGTGTTTTTCTTCCAGTCAGAATAAAGGAAAAGAAAAAGAAAAAAACAACACCACCTCCAGCATCTAAACTTGGGGGTGGGAAAACAAGAAGTCAATCACTAGTTTGGAGTGGGGACAGTGTTTTCAGGATTCACTAAATATGGGAGAGTTCTCTGCCAATGTTTCTCTGTCATGTCTACATTTATTTTTGCAACACAAATGGATGTTTTAGGCAACAGAGTTTAAAAGGAAAGACAGCTTTCACCTACACACGTATGTGCAGAGTCTCTTTTTCCTGAAACTTTCTGTGCTCAGAATCATGTTTGAAGACATCTTCACACAAAAATTAAGAAGTGTGTTTTTAAACATTTTTAAGGCATACCTTTTATATTTTTGGTCAGTTATTGTCAGAATTGTGTACATGCATGCTTCAAAATCAGCAACCTATATATTGAGTTTGCAATAATCCTATAATTACAGATTTGAGGGAAAGTTAAAATTGCTTGTAATTGAGAAAAGGCTGACCAGTGAACCATGCCATTCTTTCCTCCACTCCCTAGGCTTAGAAGCCCCACCCTAGCCTTAGAGCTGCTTGGAGAGGCTCTTTTAAGATGCCCCTGTTATAAGACCAGGCAAAGAACAAAGTTCCAAGTTTGTGTTTGGTGTTGTTCCTAGGCTTTCGTTCTGGTTCTATAGGTAATACTGATTTGCCCCTCTTCCAGTGGGGTTAATCAGTGCGGCTTAAATGAGCAGATTCTAGAATCTGCCAGGGTTGAAGTCATGACTCCACCCTCGCAGTGTGACCTTGGAAAAGTCATTCCACCCCTGAGCTTCACTTTTCTCATCTGTTTAATGTGGTTGTTATGACTCAATGAGATAAAGCATGATGGACCAGATTTATTGCATCATAAGGGCATAATTAATCTTAAATATCATTGTTATTCACCATGATTCCAGAAAAGTCATGTAACATCTCAAATTTCATCTTTCCCATCTATTAAAAAAGTAACTATATATATATATATATATATATATATGTACTACCATTATTATAACATTCATATGTTAAACCAACTTTAATAATAGGACAAAGTTATTTGAGATCTATGAAGTATAGATAAAGGCAAAGAAATGATTATTATTTTGATTTTTATCCTTTCTTGTGTTTCAGACCACAAAGTCTTCAAGTGAGACAGACTGAAAGATTTTATCTCCAGATTGATTACAAAAATTTTAAACGTTATTTAAAAGTATTAAGAATAAAAAAATGCATCTCATATGCACAGCATGGGTCAATTAGCAAAAGCTTGAACCTATGGTCCTTCCCTTGACAACTGTGAACGATTTTCAAAAATTTAGAAACATTTAATTGACAAATTGAGATTGTATGTATTCAAGGTATACAACGTGATTCCATACACATAATTGTTTAATGATTATGATAATCAAATTAGTTAACATATCCATCATGTCAAAATTTTAGTGAGGGTTTCTCTGTTAAGTATTGGGCCAGGCGCGGTGGCTCATGCCTGTAATCCCAGCACTTTGGGAGGCCCAGGTGGGTGGATCACTTGAGGTCAGGAGTTCAAGACCAGCCTAGACAACATGGCAAAATGCCATCTCTACTAAAAGTACAAAAATTAGTTGGGTGTGGTGGCAGGTGCCTGTAATCCTAGCTTGTTGGGAGGCTGAGACAGGAGGATTGCTTGAACCGGGGAGGCAGCGGTTGCGGTGAGCCAATATCATGTTCCGCTGCACTCCAGCCTGGACAACACAGCGAGACTCTGTCTCAAAAAGAAAAAAAAATTCCCAGGTACCTGCTGTGAGAGAATACCTACATATGTGGTATTTCTAATACTTATGCACATTTTATTAATATTTTCCCAAGGTAAAAAATGCTCTATCAAGGAAGATTGTCTGAATTTATTTCAGCTGGGTGTGGTGGCTCATGCCTGTCATCTCAGCACTTTGGGAGGCTGAAGCAGGAGTATTGCTTGAGAAGAAGTTAGAGACCAGCCTGTGCAACATAGGGAGGCCCTATCTCTACAAAAAAAATTAAAAAATTAGCTGGGTGTGGTGGCTCATGCTTGTAGTAGTCTCAGCTACTCAGGAGGCTGAAGTGGGATGATTGCTTGAGGCTGGGCTGTCGAGGCTACAGTGAGCTATGAAATTGCCACTGCACTCCAGCCTGGGAGACAGACCTTAAAAAAATAATTTTTATTATTTATTGTCTCTAAAAAAAATAATAAAAAGATTAACTTATTTCAAAGGATTAACATGCATATTCTATTTAGAACTTTTAAAAACCAATATGAGATAAACATTGAAAAAAAAGTGTACAAAAGAAATGTATATACAATAAGCCAAAGGAAACACACATAACTCATACTCCTAGATAATCAAAGAAACAAACCAAAAAACCAAACAAGGTTGTGGTATTTTCCTCTTATTGCCTTGGCAGAATAAACTGATTGAGATTGACTGGGGTCAATGAGGTTTGAGGAAAATAAGTATCTCCTATTAACAATGGAGTTCCCTCTGGGAGGTGAGATTATAGATAATTTTGACTTAAAAAAACTTTGTGTATTATCTGAGTATTTTTAAAAGACGCATTTCTTTTATGATGAGGGAAAAAATAAGGTTTTTTTTGTTTTGAAATAGTACACTAAAAATATATTTGAAAATATTATGTAAAATAGAACACTGATTCATACTTTGGTTTGTTGGTTTTCTTTAGTACCCCCTGTGTTGAGTTTTCAGCTGGGACAGAGATGTTTGAATGAACATAGATTCATCATATTATCTCATTTCTCACTGACAATGGCCCTTTAATATCCCAAAATCATAGACACCCCATACAGTTGCTTTGTTACTGATTTCCTTATAATTTCCTTGAGGATGAAACTACTTCCCTAAATAGAATTAATTAAATGCCAAGAACAATTTGCCTTATTCATATTTTACAAAAAAAATAGAGTCAAAATTTAAAACATTTCTATGGGGAAGAAACTGGATTACATATTAAATTCTACCAAAAATTAGAAAAAAAAGGCTTAGAGGAAAAGTTTGGGTGCCACTTAGAGACCTATCCGATTATTATAATCTCACCATTTTAGTGGCTTAACATAATGTAAGTTTATTTTTCACTTAGGTGTGGGAGTAAGAGTAGGGGAGGCTGCTCCTTATAGTCATTCAGGGGCCCAGGCTGCTTGAGGCTCCACCATCTTTACCAAGGCACTGAATGTGCTGAACAGCCAGCCACTCTCTGACACAATCTCTACTATCTATTATGTTCCATTAATCTATTATTTTTAAGACATTCGTGACATTCAGTGTAGTAAATTACTTTTCCTTTTCACCAGGGAATTCCAGGTGTTTTCTCAGAAAGTTGGCTTTTTCTGTGCCTCACTCTGTCCCATAGGCCAGAGTACAGTGGCATGATCATAGCTGACTGCAGCCTCAAACTCCTTGGCTCAAGCAATCCTCCTGCCTCAGCCTCCTAAAGTGCTAGGGTTACAGACATGAGTCACCACACCTGGCCATTCTCACAAAGTTTTAAACAGTTTCCATCTCTCCTACTTCCTAATTTGGCAATGGTGCTGTGTCATGTGTTCACATTTATTTATTTTGTCAATACATTCCCTGAGCCATTGAACCATTTTTTCCATCCTGTTCCATCATTGTGGACACTCTTGTACCTGAGTATCACACCTCACAGTAAGAGCTACTGTCTGTAGAGTACTTTCAGGTGCTACGTTTAGACACATTATGTGCCTTTTCATTAGGACATCAGGGCAAGCCTTCAAAGTAACCTTTAATAACAAGTTGTATGAATGAGGAACTAAGCATAGGAAACAACAGATCACATGACCAGGGCCATGCAACTAATAATGGACAGAAGAGGTAAATGGGCCTCGAACTTTCTAATTCCAAAGAATTTCTACTCTTCTATGCTGCCTCTTAGCTTCTACTCTTATTTCTATTTTCTGCAGACCACCTCTTCTCTTAACACCCTGACTTTTTTGTTCAGCTCCCTTTTCCCCTGCCTGGTGTGAAATAGCTACCTATAACTTTTCAGCTGAAAACTCTCTGAAGGCAAAGTGTTCCTGTGCTTCTCAAGATACATTGCCAATCATTTTTGCTAGCTCGGGCTTCTCTCCTCAGCCTGTAACATGATTCAATTTGTTCGCAGTGTTCCCTCTGTAATAGTTAATAGCATTTATTGAGTTCTTCCCATGCGCCAGACATTCTGCTAAATGTTCTCCATGAATTATCTGAATGTAGCCTTAAAACCACTCTGTGGGGGTAATCACCATGATCATCATCTCCACTTTATAGGTGGAAAAACTGAAGCTTCATTATCCTGCCCAAGGAGACCAGCTTGTCAGTCATCAGCTGATCTTGTAATCCAGGCCTTCCATCTTCAAAGCTGCTCCTTCTCATGGTTTTGATACTCTGCTGGGGGCGCACTGTGAGGGTGGAAGAATCACCCACATGGAGTGAGAAGTGCCTGCTAGTGCTGGCAGTTCTAAACCAAATGTAGTTTCTTTCCCTTATTTTTCCCCCAAGTACTTCAAACAAATTCCGATGAAGAGGGATTCCAATCTAGCACCACGTGGCCTCTTGTTTTCATATGTGATTGAATGTTCAAATTTGTTCAAAATTCTTTTTATGGAAAACTGTTTTCGAATAGTATAATTTTCAAAAGTTCTCAATGGAGTGGGGAAATTGGATCGGCACATCACCTGCATTTATTTTCTTTTCCCAGGCAATTTTGAAAGGACTGTAAAAGATCTTTTTTTTTAAAAAAAAAGTTAATCTTCAAAATTCTTCTGGGACATATAATCCTGAAGTGAGCTTAACTGCAACCAATACTGAGTTTTCATTTTTTCACAAGCAAACAAAAACAACCACCAAAAAGATAATTTACCAGTGTAAATTCCTTTCTGTTGATCTCTTTTTTATATAAACATATTTTTGGATGTTTTGCTTTAGTCATATGAAGTTTGGAGATCTAAGTTTTGAAGGGATGTGGATCTTTTTACACACCATAAGAAGATTATAGAGAACGGGGTTTGATAATACCGCCTAATTTGCACTAACCTGTAGTGTCATTTTAAGTTTGTTGCATTTTTTGGGAGTGTGCTTAAATAAGGCACCCCCCAGAGCCCTGCTTGAAAGTATTAATATATCTGAATATAAGAGCAAATCTAATTTCTTAAATTTCTTTAAAAAAAACTGAAGCTGTCAAATGAGCACATTAATCAACCAACTTCCAAATTATCACATTTTAAAGGTGTCTTGAAAGCTTAAGCAACCTCTAGTATAAATATTACATAGGTATTTCTTATTAATTTAAACGAGCAAATTTGATAAGATGCAAAATTTCGTGAGCTTTAATTTTTGTCTTCTAGTGACTGACAAAGAGAAAACTAACTAGCCGCTTTGTAATCACGCATTGCTATTGCATTCTTACAAAACTTGATTTAGAAGCAAACAAAGCCTTGAAAATATGTTTACTTAAAAATCATCCATGGCCATTTTTCTTACAAGATTCAACCAGAATCTTGGTCAAAATGTCAAGATTTTTGTTCCTTTCTTTTTATTTTTAAAAAATTATTTATGTCCCTTATTTGACTGGAATCAGTAAAAGGTAGTAGATAGTTGTTAGGAAACACAGCCATGAAAATGAATGCTGAGCAGGCATTTGGCCCCAAAATTCTGTTATATCAGAAAAGTACCTTAAGCCAATGAAATGGCACATGAATCTCTTTCCTTTGCTCACTGATTCTTACAGCAGAAAGGAATGGCCTATCCACGAATAGTTCCTCTGTCATCTTCAAATGAGATCCTATGTTGGCCAGGAGCATTATCTGTCACCTAGGAACCTCAGTGTTCAGATCTGGAAAAAAAAAATTAATTAAGGGTCTTGATATAATACCTGCTGAAATTCTTTGGGACTTAAGCATTTTATAGGTAACGTTTTAATAAACAGGCCAAAACATAGCAAGAAGACCAGGAGGATCAAGATATTATTAAAAATGAAAATGTAAGTAAAGAAACATCATTATTGAGTAGTTGTTAATCCTGCATGTTTACTAATGATCATTTGCGATTCTCTCTAAATATATCTCAATTTAAATAGGTGCAATTTTCATCCATCACACTAACTACTATGCTACTTTTGAACTCTAGACATTGTCAAAGGATCCGTTTTAACAATGGGAGTTTTGCCAGTGGAAATCCCAATGGGATGAAACCTGTCCTTTAGAAGTAACCAGATAGAGATGAGAATTGGGGGAAAGAGGCAAGATTGCATGATGATCTGGCCACATATTTCTGGATGACAATGTATCCTGGAGCTAGTAATTTCAAAATGTGAAAGGAATTCCCCTAAGCTCCATCCTAGAAGACAGCCGCCAATGTTTTCACTGAGAAGCTCAGCAGTCGGGCTCATTGTGTTGTAGGCCCAAGAATGACTGATCCCTCTGAAAGGGCTTCCGAAATCTTGCCTCCTTTGTCTAATTGGCTGCATCAGTAAATTGCTGGTGGAGAGTTTTAGAGGTTACAGAACAGGAATAGGTTGCAGTTTTACAGAAAGGCAGGTGTGAGGCGATTAAACACTCACTGTCTCCCAGCACTTTTAATCCCTCTGACCAATTACCTGGAATATAACTTGGAGCAAGTGACAGAAAATGAGGTTCCTACTGAGCCCACGTGTGTGTTTTAAATACATATGTGTAACATATACTACAGTTGCTTATGAAGAGTAGTTTATTTCTGTTTTCTTTTTCCTCCTTTTTTTTTTGATTTATTTGAAATGTTTGTGATGACTATACCTAACGTCCTAAAAAGTCTTCTTTCAATAACTTCTTAAGAAAGGTTAGTAAGAATTCAAACTTGGATGGAAATTTGTACCAGATAAGATGTTTTCAATCCTAATAATTCAATGAGTTTTTAAATAAAAAGTTAATGTGTTTTTATTTTGTGAATTAATTGCTGAAAAAGATCTAGTCTTTCTTCCTTTCTCTTTCTTTCTCTTTCTTTCTTTCTTTCTTTCTTTCTTTCTTTCTTTCTTTCTTTCTTTCTTTCCTTCTTTCTTTCTTTCCTTCCTTTTTTTTGTCTCACTCTGTCACCCAGGCTACAGTGCAGTGGCACGATCTTGGTTCACTGCACCCTCAACCTCCCAGTTCAAGCAATTTTCCCACCTCAGCTTCCCAAGTAGCTGGGATTACAGGTGCCTGCCACCACACCTGGCTAATTTTTGTATTTTTAGTTGAGACGAGGTTTCACCACATTGGCCAGGCTGGTCTTGAACCCCTGGCCTCAAGTGATCTGCCCACCTCGGCCTCCCAAATTGCTGGGATTACAGGTGTGAGCCACCGCGCCCAACCTAGTTTTACTTTCTACTTCTCTTTACCTTTAATGCATCTATGAAAGTATACAGACTTTGTCAAAGCATTCATTATAGAAATCCAATTTAACAGGTATTTGTTGGCCATCTAATATATATTTAGATTGTTTAGGAAGTAAGAGTTATCATATGAAGAACAGGAGGAGTTTAAGACATGGTCTCTGTTCTTGAGGCATCTATACAAGATTAAGGTGACTCTCATGGAAAAGGTAATTAGCAATAAGTACAAAACAGTATGTTATCAATTCCCAAAATGAATAAAATAGATGTCAAATGCTCTGAGAAGTGAGAGAGGTGTGCAGACTAGATGATTCTGGCAAAGTTTTTAGGGGAAGAGGGACTCAAAGGATGGTTTTTGGGTGGAAAGCATGAGATAAACAAAAATAAGGATTCCTGTAAGTTCAATAACTTGAAAATTGGAAGCCCCTGCAATTTCCTTTTTGTCAGCAAAGGGAGCAGGTGTTCTTTCAAAGACAAGCTTGAGAACAAATTAGGCACTATAGCTTTTTCTTCATGGAAAAAAAGCAGTTGGTTCATTTCTCTCATTGGCAGATCTGCCTTGTGTTACAAATCTTGGTAAAATTTTAGGGTAGGGAAATGTATGATTCAGAGACCTATGCGTTTCCTACAGAATAACTCCTGAAAGGATAGAAAAGAGAAGCTCATTGAAACCCAGTGGTGGGGTAGGATTCCCTAGAAGATGTCTTATTTGCCCCTTATGCCCAAACTGGAAGCCAAAATAAGAACGAGTGGGCCCACTGAAATAAATGGGACCCAGCTAAAGACATACCGGTGGACACAGATGGGAGTTGCACAAGAACTGGGGTATCTGTAACTAATGCACCTTTCCCACTTTCCCTGTCCATGAGATCATGTTATTCATCTGAAAGAAAGGCCAACGGGAGACAAAAGACTGTCAATAAGTAGAATATTGTGAACCTTTCTGGCTTTTAAAAAGAAACCACAGAGCTAGCTGGATTGAAGGAGCAAGCCTGAAACCTGGGGGAAAGAGTACAACACATTTTATGAGGACCTTTCCTTTACAAATTAAATGCCCATCTGTAAATACAGGGTTTGAGGATGAGAGCTTCCGTTCTGCGATGGAGGGACATCCCAGCTTTGGGCTTCCCGACAGTTCCTCCTTTCTTGAGTTCCTGTTTGGCTTGCTTTTGAAAAGGGCAGCAGGAGGACTGTGTCATCAATCATTGGGTCAGAAGGCATAGATTGTGGGTTTTCTAAACATGGATCTGAATGGGAGCGATTTATTGGATTTTGGAGTTACGTTTGTTTACTTGGTCTTGGCGTGTATATCGAATCTGGTATCCGGAGGACAAGAATAAGAGGAATCAAATATTTCTGAAGGAAATGGCAAACTAGAATTGGAATTGTCAAACCAATGCTCTCACTAAACTTTGGATCAAAATAACCTATAACAAATTCAATTATGATTTGGAATCCCCTACCTGAGAGAAGAATGCTCATTCTGTTGTACGATTCAGAGGCTGAACAACTGTGTAATAACTCCAACAAATTATTTCCAGTCAAAAATAAAGATTGCAATTTAAATATCACTTATCCGACTTCATGTATACCTATAAAATCTTGTTGAGTTTTAGCTAATCAGCACTCCAGAGATGACCTAGAGTTTAAGATCAGTTTAGAAACCAGCAACTTATCAGGAAATTTGGAGTCTGTGTTTTATTTCTAACTTTAAAAAAAGCCCAAGAATCAACATTAAAAAAAATACAATCCCAATAAAACTTTGAAAGTCATATTTTGTGCTAAAGTCTATAATTATAGTTTCCATTTCCTGAGTGCCAGGTACTGTTGAATGAACTGGACTTGAGCATTATGTCATTTCTTACTCACAGAAATACTTTGAGGGAGCAGCTGTTATTATCCTCATCCTAAAGATGAAAATGCTGAAATGCTGAGGTAAAGTGAAGTGACCAGGTCTTAGTAAATAACCACAGGGAAGAAGGACAACCTGGATTTCTCCAACTCTGGATTTGATGGTCATTGCAATATCTGCCAGTTTCTTGATTCTGGCTTAGGGTTGAAAAAATAATCATTCTAAGGTCAAGCAGCAAGGAAGATTGATTAAAATTCTAGAGGATACACACAGAGATAAACATAATTTGTGGTAAAATAAAACAAAACACACACAGACACACACACACACACAAACAACCAAAAAAACCACAAAACGTAACTCTCCAGGAAAGTCTAACTTTTTTCCAAATGCTAGTGAAATGCTGATACCCCCTGTGACATGGTTATATAAACAGACCATTGAAATGGTCCATTTTTATCAGTACCATTGCAGAATTTGTCTGAATGAAAATGTGTCCATAATCAATAATAATGATTCCTCTGTGGTTTGGGAATGACCTGTTCTAGGAAAATGAATTTTCTAGATGGTTCTTATCAGTCCATCTAAATGCCAAACCTAATCACTTCTGATAGAAATATTTCTAAAGTGTACTTCATATTATTCATGCCTTCCAAAAGAGATTATACTGAGTATTTACTTTGTCTGATGATTTGTTATCCACTCTTGTCCTGGCTGTAATATTACTGATGGCCACTCACAGGCAACTGGGGGTGGCAGCCCAAGACTTATACACTCAATGGCCCTGTATTGCTATGGTTTTTTTTTTTTTTTGAGACGGAGTCTCGCTCTGTCGCCCAGGCTGGAGTGCAGTGGCGGGATCTCGGCTCACTGCAAGCTCCGCCTCCCGGGTTCACGCCATTCTCCTGCCTCAGCCTCCCAAGTAGCTGGGACTACAGGCGCCCGCCACTACGCCCGGCTAATTTTTTTGTATTTTTAGTAGAGACGGGGTTTCACCATTTTAGCCGGGATGGTCTCGATCTCCTGACCTCGTGATCCGCCCGCCTCGGCCTCCCAAAGTGCTGGGATTACAGGCGTGAGCCACCGCGCCCGGCCATTGCTATGGTTTTACTTCTTATGTTTGCTTTTTGTTAATTTTCTTCTGTTTTCCTTTCTTCCTTGCCCCAATCTCTCACCTTCCTATTGTTCTCCTGCCTTTTCCACTTGCCTTCCTTTTCTCCCTGCTTCCATTCTTCACTTCTCCAAAATGTATGTATTAAGAGCCACAATGACCAGCAAAGAGCTAAGCAGTGGGAATGCGTCAGGGAACAAGATGTGTTCTGTGTTTTTGAAGAGTTTTCTGTCTTTTATTTTTATTATTATTTTCCGAGACAGGGTCTTGCTCTGTTGCCCAGGCTGGCATGCAGTGGCGTGATCTTGGCTCACTGCCACCTCCGCCTCCCAGGTTCAAGCAATTCGCCTGCCTCAGCCTCCCAAGTAGCTGGGATTACAGGTGCCCACCACCACGCCCAGCTAATTTTTGTATTTTTATTAGAGATGGGGTTTCACCATGTTGGATAGGCTGATCTCGAACTCCTGGCCTTGTGATCCACCCGTCTCAGTCTCCCAAAGTGCTGGGAATACAGACATGAGCCACTGCACCTGGCCAAGACAAAAACAGTCACAGCGTTCCTTGGTGGGCTCAAAGCAGCTTGCTGTCTTGAACTCTCAGGCGTCACTCATTCTAGTTTCCTGTGTGCCTCTAGAGTGGGCCTCCGCACGTTCTGATTGGCTGATTTCACCATGCTCCACAGACTTCCACCTAAAATGAGAATAAATAGCCTCTGTTTCCAGGCTTGAGAGACCTATGGGGATTTTATGAGAATCAGTGATTTTAAATGATTTTTAGTATCTGTCACAACTTACTATTGAAACAGTGTTATGTGGTGAAAAGAACTCAAACGTATATGCTGCCATTTACAGGCTCCATGACCTCAGCCAAGTCACTCCACTTTTTCAAGCCTTGATATTATCATCTGCCCACCGAGAATGTGGTGAGGGTTCAATGCTAAAATATACTTCAATTTCAAACCCAATGCCGGCCATGATATTAATAGTATTTACAATTTTTACTGTTTTAGAGGAGAAAGACTTTTTATTTTCTTTTTGGAAAATGAGATTTTTAAAGAATTTTTTGTTCTATTTTTATTTTTTGACTGATGACAGAAGCAACATATGTCTCATTGTGGAAAATTTGGAAGTCACAGACTGAAAAAATTACGGTGAAATATTTTCTTTTGACATTTTTCTATACATACCTATATTTTCCCACATAAACGAGATATACTATCTAGTCAACTGCATTTCCTAAATTTTCTATAAACTAACTTTCAATACATTTGTGGTCAAATATATAAATCTTTTCCATTGTCAATGGTGTCTATAATTCTCAAAAAACATTCTCAAAAAAGCCCTGATTTCCAACATTTACCAATTAATGTGGTATAAATACTCCTTTTATGACTGATTTCTGGTTGTATTTTTAGTAGAGACAGGGTTTCACCATGTTGGCCAGGCTGGTCTCTAACTCCTGACCTCAAGTAGTCCACCCACCTCCGTCTCCCAAAGAGCTGGGATTACAGGCATGAGCCACCACGCCCAGCTTGGGGCCACTTGTTCTTCAGTTTCAGTTCCATAAACAGGTATTAAAATTTCTGAATAATTATGAAAATCAATATAAGTATAATATTACTGACTGTGAGTACTCTCTATATTCTCTATACATGAGTGCTCTGTATATAAGAGATGAGGTCTTAACTTCATTTTTTTTTCTATTAGCTAATATTATTCTAGTACTATGTATGGAACATTTTTTCCTTTCTTTTTCTTTTTTTTTTCTTGGTTTGCTTTTGATATGGTTGCTGCTTTTACTATATATTGCATGCTAGTATTTATTAGAATCTGTTTTTAGAATATTCTACTTTTTCATATCTCTCTCTGTTCTCCTGCCAATCCCAGACTATCTAAATTATTTTGGCATTATCATCTACTTAAGCTTGTTGAAGATAGTGGTTATGTATTTTTATCAAAGCACTCGCCTGGGCCAAGAGACATGCTTTCTATATGGTAGATTCTGAGAAAATGTGTGTTCTTGGTATATTTTACTTCTTGGAAACATTAGTCCTTCAGGGGACCTTGATGTTTTAAGGGATGTACCAAGTACTCATTGAACCCAAATATTTAGTAACAATTCTCTAGAATTTGGGCCCTAAAAGTAATATTTGGATATCTGTATTCATTATCTAGTGCTGTGCAACAAGCCACCCTAAAACTGAGGTTTGGAATAACTAAGATTTCTCGATTTCTCGATTCCCATTACTCTTTTCACTTGCTTGGAGGGTTCCTCTGCTTGTTTCAGCTGGGCTCACTCCTGAGTCTGCATGGAGCTGGAGGATCAGCTATAATGGTTGGGCTTCTCTCTCCATACTATCTTTCATCCTCGAGGAGGATAGACCTGGCTGTCTTAGGTGGTGACAGAAACATTTCAAGAAGGCAATACCATAGAGATTGCTTGTCAAGCCTCTGCTTGCAGCATATTTGTTGATGTCTCATTGGCTAAGACACGTCACATGGCCAAGCCCAGTGTTCTTGTGAGAGGAGATAACACAAGGTGGTAGAATATGGGGGATGTGATTCATTTTGGGAGGGAGGGATGTGATTCATTGTGGGAGGGAGGGATGTGATTCATTGTGGGAGGGAGGGATATGATTCATTGGGGGTGGGAGGGATGTGATTCATTGGGGGAGGGAGAGGTGTGATTCACTGGGGGAGGGAGGGATGTGATTCATTGGGGAGGGAGGGATGTGATTCCTTGGGGGAGGGAGAGGTGTGATTCTCTGGGGGAGGGAGGGATGTGATTCATTGGGGAGGGAGGGATGTGATTCATTGGGAGAGGGAAGGATGTGTTTCATTGGGGGAGGGAGGGATGTGATTCATTGGAGGGGGAGGGATGTGATTCACTGGGGGAGGGAAGGATGTGATTCATTGGGGGAGGGAAGGATGTGATTCATTGGGGGAGGGAAACATTAACATATTCGTCTATAGCAATGTTTCTTTCTCTTTTTTTGATCCAATCTGGTCACACAGTTGGCCTCCACGTAAATGGAATAATAAACAATGGCTTATCTAGAGCATCTAATGATAGAAACAAAAGTGTATTTTTAGGCAGATCATCACTTCTTATATTCTTGGCACACATGATTTTATGTACATGTGTTATTTATACACCACTCAAGGAGAACTAGAGGCTCCTTGCAATGAAAAGCAGATTCACGGTTAAGTATTAGAAATGCTCAAAAGCCTTGAAGGCTAAAGCTAATTTTCTTGTTTTAATTGAATATTCAATTTAACCTTGAGCTTCCTAGGAATCAAGGCAAAAAGGGAGAAACATGATAGGTTGTGTGCTCTTTATTACTTACTGAGGGAAAGCACACTGCTTTTAGGAGTGATCTTTTTCTTTGCTTTCTTCATAGAGTGGCATAGAGGGCTGTGTATTCTATAAAGCCTCACTGAGAGTAGAGAAGCATTTTTCATACATCCTGTAGTAAAAACAAAAGGTATAACATCAAAATGAGACTCAGGGGAGATGTTTTTGACACCAGATAAACTATGTGATGAAGGAATGCAGATTTCTTGTCATTAATACTACAGATAGAGAACTTTGAACTTTAAATACCAAAGATTATCAATGCAACCTTAGACCACAAGGACTAACCTTTGACTACCTAAAGTTATGAGTGCAACACTAGATCACATGAACACCGTCAGAGATACTTGGGGCCACTTGTTTTTGTTTTGTTTTGTTTTTTTGAGACAGACCCTCATTCTGTCACCCAAGCTGGAGTGCTGTGGCGTGATCTCAGCTCATTGCAACCTCTGCCTCCTGGGTTTAAGCAATTCTCCTGCCTCAGCCTCCCAAGTAGCTGGGATTACAGGTGCCTGCCACTATGCCCAGCTAATTTTTGTATTTTCAGTAGAGATGGGGTTTCACCATGTTGGCCAGGCTGGTCTCTAACTCCTGACCTCAAGTGATCCACCCTCCTTGGTCTCCCAAAGAGCTGGGATTACAGGCATAAGCCACCACACCCAGCTTGGGGCCACTTGCTCTTCAAACACATCATACACTCCCAACCACCACAGAATGACCCCTCATCAGAATGCCACTCAAGTGCCCCCTCATCAGAATCCCTCCCTGACCACACAATCAAATTAGTGACTTTCCCAATGTCCCCCATCCATATTTATATAAATATTCATTTACCCTGCTATATTTTCTTAATAGCTGATGTCACCACTCAGCAATTACAAGATCAACTGAATATTGCACTATTGCAAACAATGCAACATCAATGTTCCACAGTGACCTTTCTCTGATTGGGGACTTAACGTCAATTTTGTTGGAGCTATGATCAATCATTTTTATGAAGGTATTAGATACATAAAATTTAAGACAATGTGAAAGTGGGTCCAAAGTTCTTTTTCATAGAGTAGCTACTGCCTGTGCAGATGGGATCTGCTATGAGGATAAGTACAAGCAGTGAAGGCGGTCAGAGAGAGCTGTGTTTCAGTGTCACTTGGATGCCAATCTTAGCTCTGTCACTCACTACCTCTGTGGCTTTTGGTGACTTCTGGTCTCAATTTTCTCAGAGATGAAATGGGGATAATGATCGTGCCCATTTAGAAGATGGTTTTGAAGATTCAGTAACTTAACATGTGGAAGGTGCACACATTGCAAATTTTTTCTTTCTTGCTGTAATTCTGAAAGAGGCAGGAGTTGACAAAAAAGAGATCGAGCTGTTTTTTTCTGAAGGCAATTTATTGGACTACCACAGGGATGTTTATTTTCTTAACTAGAGGTCATGAGACACAAAGGCCACTAATGAGTGAAATTGGTGGCTGGGGGAGTCCAGGGCTTTCCTCACTTCTTCCAAGTTCTTCTTAGACTGAAAAAAAAAAAAAAGGAAAACAAACAAAAAACAAAAAAATGGTTCCCTGTAAATTTTATGACTGCAGTGTCAAAAGTCTTCTATCTAAATTGCAGTAAATATTCTAATGAAGTCTGGAAAGAAAGCCATTTGTAATGGCTCGGGGCAGAGTATTAAGATAGCCTGTTTCTAGTTAGCTGGTCATTAGAGAGATCTAACATGCATGGGAAATGGTTTCCTGTTCTAAGTGCTTTAAAACCAAGTTTTAGGAAACCCCGTTTCCTGCCGGCTCATTTGGAGACAACAGTGTGCCAACCGGTCAGACTTTTCAGATGGCCAAGTGGTCACCTTCTCAGCTACAATTTAGTTTCGCTGCAGCAGCCTCTACCAGGGAGAGTGGGCTTTGCATCTCAGGGGTCCTGGCAGGGAGTAGATAGCTCCACAGAGCGAGGACATCTGGACGGGGCACCACTGAAAGCTGTCCTTTGCCTCTGTTGTAAATGCATTGGGATTGAGTGATTCATGGGATGAGTCAAAACCTACAGGAGAATCTTCCAGTCATCAGCCTAGATACATCTATCTAGAAACAGACTGAGGGGACTGGTGAGAAAATGGTGGATAAACTCCCTGGTTTGGGAGGGACAGGGTAGCTGATGGGAGAGGAAATTCTTTTGGCTACCTGATGTGCTGTGCATTAAAATGGGATTTTCCAAAACAAGGAAGTCCCAGAGACTTCAATTAGGATGTAGATGAAAGTATTTGCTAATCAAATCCATTTGTTTTCTTTGGTGTGTGAGGTAAGGACCAATACTGTACTTGGAAGCAGGAAATTGATGGTTCCAGGAAGACTGCACATTTCCTCACCTTCGGAAGACACCCCCTCTAAGAGCTGCCCAAATCAAAGAGGAAAATCCTTAGCCCCAAATTTTTGATTGCAGCCTTATTACTGACCTTACTGAGAGGTCAGTAAAGGGCCCACCTCCAGGCATCCTACTATTATCTGAGAGGGCACAGCCCTCATAAGCACTTTACAGACACTTTCAAAACTAATTGTGAGGGCAATGCAATGAGAAAGTACTTTTATTATTCTTGATGGTAAATTACATTTGAGGGCCCAATTCTTCACTGCTCACTTCATCCACATTTTTGCCATAGCCTCATTTTGGGCAGAACTTCCTTTCATATCTCTTGACTTTACTTTAGCTTTTGGCCAGCAACACATAATTAAAAGTACACAGTGCCAGTTCTGAGCCGTGGCCTTCAAAGGCCACATTTCTTCCTGCCTTTTTGCAGCTCTGCTCTCACCTTGAGAAGAACCAGCTAGTCTGCTGGTTCCAGGAGGATGATGAGAAACACATATAGCAGAGTCACCTCTACTAACCCACAGACTGCAGTGAGAAGCAAAGCCTCCACAGCCAACCCTCAGATGCGTGAGAATAAATAACTGCTGTTTTAAGGCTCTGAGTTTTGGGGTGGTTTGTTATAGTACAATAGCTAACTGATACATCCTCATTTTACAAATAAAGACTTGGAGATCTTAGTAATGGTTTTCCCAAAGCACAGAACTGTTAGCTGACTGAATCAAGATTCAAACCTAAGCTGAGTACCTGTAATCCCAGCACTTTGGGAGGCCAAGGCAGACAGATCAATTGAGGCCAGGAGTTCAAGACCAGCCTGTGCAACATAGTGAGACCCCCATCTCTACAAAAAAAATTTAAAAATTACCTAGGTATGGGGTCTTATGCCTGTGGTTCTAGCTACTCAGGAGGCTGAGGTGGCAGAATTGCTTGAACCCAGGAGTTCAAGGCTGCAGTGATGTATAATCATGCCACTCCAGCCTGGGCAACAGAATAAAATCTCATCTTCTTTTTTCTTTTCTCTTTTTTTTGAGACGGAGTCTCGCTCTGTCACCCAGGCTGGACTGCAGTGGCACCGCTGTGGCTCACTGCAAGCTCCGCCTCCCAGGTTCACACAGTTCTTCTGCCTCAGCCTCCCAAGTAGCTGGGACTACAGACACCTGCCACCATGCCCGGCTAATTTTTTTTTTCTTTTTCTTTTTAGTAGAGACAGGGTTTCACCATGTTAGCCAGGATAGTCTCGATCTCCTGACCTCATGATTCACCTGCCTCGGCCTCCCAAAGTGCTGGGGTTACAGGCGTGAGCCACCATGCCCGGCCTCTTTTTTTTTATTTTTTAAATTAAAACCTAGAGACATTCTTAACCATTACGTTAAACTGCCCTTGCAAGTCTTACTGATGAGCTAGAAATTCCCTGGAAGTTTTTAAGAATTTGACTTTTCTTTCTTTCTTTCTTTTTCAGATAGAGTCCATTGTCATCCTTTTGACTGGGACAAGTAAAGGGCAGAATTGATTTTTCAGCCGGATTCTTACTCCTTATCAGTTGGAACAGGCAGGATGAGGAACAGAGCCCTAGAGACCTTATCTCATCCACTGTCTTTTGACCTAACTGCAGAGCTTGTCACCACTCCACATGTCATCTTATTTCTGCCAGGCCTTGGCCTTATTTCCTACCCTTCTTTTCCACCTAAGTTAATTTCTAGTGATAGATATTTGCATTTCAACAAGGGAAGCGTGATAGAATTTCAGATAAGTTGCTAGGCAGTTGGGATGAAATGTTTGGTCTGCCTAACACACCTAAAATCTCAATCCACAGGTACTGTTTGTTAGGCAGGTCCTGGTGGAATGATAAAGATAGCATCACAGATTGACAAAGCTTGGGCTGAGAGGTCAGGACACCTACACACCAGGCCCATTTTTGCCACTAACTCCCTGTGTGAACTCAAAAGTCTCCCTGTCTGATACAGTCTGGCTCTGTGTCCCTACCCAAATCTCCTGTTGAATTGTAATCTTCAATGTTGGAGGAAGCTCTTTGTGGGAGGTGATTGGAACATGGGGGTGGACTTCCCCCTTGCTGTTCTCGTGATAGTGAGTGAGTTCCCACGAGATTTGGTTGTTTAACAGTGTGTAGCACCTACCCCTTCACTTGCTGTCTCCTGCTCCGCCATGTAGGATGTGCCTGCTTCCTCCTCCCCTCCATGATGATTGTTAAGTTTCCTGAGGCTGCACCAGCCATGCTTCCTGTGCAGCTTGCAGAACTGTGAGTCAATTAAACCTCCTTTCTTCATGAATTACCCAGTCTCAGGTAGTTCCTTATAGTAGTGCGACCATGGGCTAATACACTATCTCTCTGTGGACCTTAATTTCCCCAGTAGTTACAGGAAGGGTTTTCAAGAAGGCATAATCTTTTTGATTTCTTCCAACTTTATCATGTTCTCACTCTCTGCCACCAACCACAAGGGCCCAGAAGATCCAGGCAGTCCCACAAATACTGAGCTGGAGTCAAGTTTCCCCCAGTTTAGATTATTAGACCTGAACCTGTTATTTTCATGATGTACTCTGAACAACCCAAGATTTCATGTCACTGGGTATAGCATAGATGTAATTTGGAAAAGAAGAGGTTTCTAGGAAGTACAATAACATTCCCCATTATTTATTTTTTTAAATCTTATTTAAATAAAGATTGTGCATTTAAAGTTGTATTTGATTGAACAACGGTCCTTTTTTTTAAATTTTCCCTGACAAAAGCTATGAATTATTAATTTCTGTCATTGTATTCACTGAACAAATGTAATTGCAAGTAAATGTCTAAAGTTAATGAAAAAAATTAAGAAAAAAGGATTTCTTTATAAGAATTAATAAAACATTTCCACAAACCTCTTTGAAATCATGATTATGAAGGCTTACAACGCTTCTTTGAAGCTGCATACCCAGAGCAAAGAGGCTTGAGCTCTGCTCTTTCTGTGGCATGAAGGATGAAAACATTCTATTACGATTGTGCCAGCTATGGAAATCAACACACACAAGGATTCTAACCTTAACCCTCCCATTATGTCCGTTCTGTTGTAACTGTTTTTCATTCTTTCAGAGCCACCTTTCATTTATGGGAGGTCACAAGAGCTCTCCCTCTTGTACTTTGGCTGCTGTTGTAACCATTTAATATTGTTATATTCACATACCGCAACAAAAAGTGATGCTTTCACTTCCAAAAGAGAGAAATGAAAGAAAAGAAGTGAAAGAAAGATGAGAAATTAAAAACAAAGGTGTATGGAAACATACAGGGATTGGATCTCTGAATTAAGCTGGCATTTAGCTTCAAAGCAGAGAACTGAAATAATTTCATGTCTCACCCCTCAAGCATCCTATAAATCCTTACCAACACCTGGATAAAACCAGAACTAATCTTCCAACTCCATCTAGTTCCCAACTCAGTTGAGGAGCTCACCTTTCCTTCCTCACCCGGTTCCCCACTTCATCTACTCCTATTCTGTTAGTACAGTAGTAAAAACTGCAAATCCAATACAGGGATACCTGGGTTCTGATTCAAGTTCTGTCCCATTTGTTTTGTGTCCTGGGGCACAGGCAAGTCCCTGCTCCCACTCAGAGCCCCATGTAAAAGTAGAGACAACAATACTTGCCTTGCCTCCCTCATAGGATAGGTGTGAGTGCTGAGGAAAATTAAACCCATTGTCAATGAGATATAAATGTAAAAAAAAAATTGTTTTTGTTATTTCAATTACTTTAGTCTCTGAGGAAATCCCAGAAGCCACTCAGCAGTGCAGCACGGTGGTTTCTATATTAAAATGGAAGCTGGAAGCCAGTTGTCCTTCCTGGGATCAGAGCTACTCCACATTTTCCAGCACCTTCTGCAGGTAAAATGGAGCCATGTGACCGAGTCTGGCCAATTATCCATTAAACCTCACATGAAGTTCTCCTGGCTTGTCTCTCTCTTTTTCATTTCCTAGGAGGATGCCGAGTATGTGGTAGAGTACTCCAAGTCTTTGCAGATTACAAAGTCACCAGTTGTACCAACACTGGGTATTTGAATCACCATGTAGAAATGCACCTTCTGAACATCCAGTAGGTCTATGATATAAGAAACAGATAGACCCTTACTGTGTTAAGCCACTGAAATTTGGGGCTGTTTGTTACATCAGCTAGTATAATTTATTCTTGCTAATTCACCAGAGTAGACCTATGAGAAACTTGAGTGCAAATCTACAGTCAATGCATGTTAAAACTAAGTGAATCATTTTTTTTCTGGGGCTATTTCAAAACCATTTTTCTAGGATAATTGGCTCCCAACTTGTACAATATAAAGAGAGGTTTATGTTGGGAAAACTCTGTCCTTGTGGGGTAACTGCTGTCATAGGCAGATTTAGCAAGGATTTCTTGATAGGAAACTACCAGGGTGCCATGTCCTTGGTCACCTCCTGTAGCCAACACAACCATATCGCCACCAAGAGATGCTTGTGTGGGGTGAGAGCCCGTGTACGGTTTATGATTCTGAGGTTTGCAAGGCAGGATCTTTGCTTTTCTCTCTAGTATTGCCAAAGAAACATCAATGACCAAATAGGGGCAAAAGAGAATCATATTTTGAGTGCTCTCTCATTCTCTCTCTGTCTCTCCCCACCCCCACCTCCCTTACCTCATGCATCCGCCTCCCAGATCTAAAGACTTTTGGAACATAAAAAAGAGATTAAGTGGAAAGGCATATTCCTATAATTTACCCAAATGTGCGCATTTCAATCTATGGATAACAGCGGCTCCAAATTACCCCCAGACCAACACACTATCCTTATTTAAGGGATCCTCTTAACTCTTACCCTGAAGTCTCCATAAATCTGCCTGATATATAGATGTCAGGCATTTTCTGGCAGTTGAAACATGAAACATGACATCAGCTGGGGATTAAGTTACAACTCATAAAGACCATGTTTATTTGCTGGTTCTGTTTAAAAATTTTTCCACTATCATTTTACTCAAATGGCCTCCTATTTTATGAGAAATAAAGTTAGAACTAATGAAGGAAGGTCTTTCTGAGCTCAGCTGGACATACAGGCTGTGGCTGTCTTTGTTGTAACCAAATATTTAAATTATTTAGAGCCAATCGTAATCTAATGTGTTGATGAAATGGCACCACAAGCTAATACAGAGACTTCAGACACAAAAATGAGAGGAGGAATCTGAGAACTAAAGAGGGAGAGATATTAAAAATTAGAAGAAGGCCAAGTTCAAAGAAGCAGTGACGCTCCCCCATCAGCAGCCCTTGAATCTCAAAGGGATCTCTGAGCCATTTGAAGGAGCACTCCAGGCACGTGGACACAGAGAGGGCCCCCTACTGCATCCCTCTGTCCGTTGCCCAGCAGGGGATATTAGAGTCACTGACCAGGGGCTCTACTTTCAAACAGCAGCAGTTGATATGAGAAGAAATGCCTCTTGTTTAAGGGCTCTGGGAGGCAGGAACAGCTATGATATAAACTAAGTTTTTATAATTAGAAAATCTGGAATAATTTATACCTTGCGACCCACCCTCTTTCAGCAGCCACCCCTCCAAACCAACAAACAAACTCAGAATATGAATTGAATATTCAAAGTATGAACATGAGGGAACCTTGTGTCTCAAGTGTTTAACTCAAAGTAGATGCTCAGTAAAATTTGCTGAATTAAATTCTACTCATCCAACGAATCTGGTCATGTATACAATGAGGTAGACGCCTGAATCATTTTATTTTAGTAGTGTTGGGAAGCCCCTACCCTCTTTCCTTGCAAATTTCCTTCCAGAAAGTATGCCATTACTATTTTTAAAAAATTATGCCTGGCATTTTATTTTAGTAGCAAGGGAAATTTCCCTTCCTGAGAATATGCTTTCTATAAATTTTACCACAATCGTTGTTTTTTCTTTCATTCTTTTTTTCTTGCATATGCTTTTTGCTTTATTTGAAGTGTCTGTTGCAGTAAAAAAAAAAAATAATCCTGTAAGAGATGTTAAAAAGCATTCTTAGCATCCTGTAGTGAATCAAATGGATTTTCTCCCTGGTTGGATCAATGGAGCATCCTGCTAGCCCTAGGGGCCTGATCCAATAGTGGGGCCAAGTTTCAAGAGGGAAAATGAGCACCAACTTCAGGTTTGTCTCAATTGTAGAACGCCTCATGCTGCCTGAGCCACTGGAGAACAGGTTTTCCAAGGAGGACGTTTCCCACTTGTCATGGAAAACCATCTCCAATATTGGAAGAGATTCCACATGTTACCAGTACGGTATTGTCTCAGCCTTGATTTGGGAGTCTAGCTCAGGGATCAGCAAACTACGGCCTAGAGGCCAAATCTGTCTCACTTTATAAGATCCATGAGCTAAGAATAGTTTTGACATTTTTAAGTGATTAGAAAAAAGGTCAAAAACAGAACAATATTTTGCGATATGTGAGAATTATAAGCGATTCAAATTCAGTGTCCATGAATAAAAATTGGCTGAGAAATCAGCCATGCTCATTCATTTACATGTTTCCTACAGTGACTTTGCAGACTCAAGGACAGACTTGAAGGGATGTAAGACAGACCCTGCAGTCTGTAAAGCCTAGAATATTCACTATCTGATCCTTTGACAGAAAGTTTGCCAATCCCTGTTCTTATTGGGCATTTCATGACTTAGACAATGTGGCAGCTGTGGCAGTCTTATTTTCTAAACTTTATTTATTGGTGACATCTTTTTAAGCAAATCTCATTCGTCAGGCTGGGCAATTTTGTGTCTGTGCATGGTAAAATGGTACAATACACGTAATATAAAGTTTACTATTTTAAGCATTTTTAAGTGTAAAATTCAGTGGCAGTAAGTACATTTACAAAGTTGTGCAGTCATCACCATTATCCATTTCCAGAACTTTATTATCATCCCTAACAGAAATTCTGCACCCATTAAACAATAACTCTCTATGCACTTGCCCTCGGCCCCTGATAACTTCCATTCTGCTTTCCATCTCTATGAATTTGCCTGTTCTAGATGCATCAGACCAGTAGGATCATACATGTGGCCTTTTGTGCTGGCTTCTTTCACTTAGCATCATGTTTTCAAGATTCATTCATGTTGTAGCTGGATGAGGACTGTATCCTTTTTTAAGACTGAATACTGTTCCATTATGTTTCTGTATCATTGGGTATATGTACACCACTGGGTATTCATTTTTAGCCAAGGCTGCATTGTGTGGGATATGATTCTTCAGGTTCACTCAACTACACGGTATCCATGTGGGAGCCACAGGCCAAGGCCTTTGTGCTTAGAGGGAAGTTAAAGGCAAGGAAGAAGTCCTCTGGTTCTGGACATATGCACCTTCATCCACCTTTGGATAAAATCAAGTGGTCCAAGCAATTTTTGGATCATACACTTACTTCTGTGTATGTTTGTAATGTCTTAGGGAGTGTATTAGTCCATTATCACACTGCTATAAAGAACTACCTGAGACCAGGAAATTTATGAAGAAAAGAGGTTTAATTGACCCACAGTTCTGCAAGGCTGGGGAGGCCTCAGGATATGTATAATCATGGCAGAAGGCAAAGAGGAAGCAAGGCACGTCTTTCCATGGAAGAGCAAGAGAGAGAGAGAGAGAGAGAGCAAAGGGGGAAGTGACACACTTTTAAACCATAGGATCTCATGAGAATCACTTACTATCACAAGAACAGCAAGGGGGAAATCCGCCCCCATGATCCAATCACCTCCCACCAAGCCCCTCCTCTGACAGGCAAGAATTACAACTTGACATGAGATTTGAGTGGGGGCACAGAGCTAAACCATATCAGGGAGCAAGCAAGTAATGGAACTTTTTAAGCATTTTCCTAAGTTTAGAGAAAATCTAGGAATCCTAGAGATAAAAGCTTTCTTCACAGAGAAATATCTATAAGACATTTCAAATAGAGATGACTCCATCAATTTCCTCCACCTAAGCTCTTTGAGTGTATGTAAGAAAATATATTCCTCTGCATTGGTAGTGACTATATATACATTGGATATATGTTATCAAATTGTGGTACTGTGATTAAAGTAATCTAAACTAGAAAAGTGTTAACCAAAAGCAACGTTCTTTAAACAATGTTTATTGAGTACATTAGTCCCATGCTAGGCTAATGTACAGAAAATATGGATATGGACATGGTATATTTCTTTTTTTCTTTTCTTTTTTTTTTTTTTTGAGACAGAGCCTTGCTCTGTCACCCAGGCTGGAGTGCAGTGGCATGATCTCGGCTCACTGCAAGCTCCGCCTCCCAGGTTCGCCCCATTCTCCTGCCTCAGCCTCTGGAGCAGCTGGGACTACAAGTGCCCACCACCACGCCCAGCTAACTTTTTGTATTTTTAGTAGAGACGGGGTTTCATCGTGTTAGCCAGGATGGTCTCGATCTCCTGACCTCGTGATCCACCCGCCTCGGCCTCCCAGAGTGCTGGGATTACAGGTATGAGCCACTGCGCCTGGCCTGGACATGGTATATTTCATGACATCAAGAAACGTTAATTCTTGTGCCTCAATTTCCAAACTGTGCACCAAGGCACCCAGTATGCTGCAGTGAATTCACACGAGGACTGTCTGATGTTTTAAATTTTTGAGGAAAACACAGTAACATTTGTCAGACACTGTGCAAACTACTAGCTTGAGGTAGTTTTAACTTATTTTTAACATTAGATCACAGTATATTTTTCTGGATGATAGCCTATCTTTAGGCCAGGTGCGGTGGCTTAAGCCTGTAATCCCAGCACTTTGGGAGGCTGAGGTGGGTGGATCACGACGTCAGGAGTTCAAGACTAGCCTGGCCAACATGGTGAAACCCCGTCTCTACTAAAAATACAAAAATTAGCCAGATATGGTGGTAGTAGCCTGTAATCTCAGCTACTCAGAAGGCTGAGGCAGAGAATTGCTTGAACCTGGGAGGTAGAGGTTGCCGTGAGCTGAGATCACGCCACTGCACTCCAGCCTGGGAGACAGAGCGAGACTCCATCTCAAATAAATAAATAAATAAATAAATAAAATAAGATAGTTTACCTTTGTGAGGCTCGGTTTTCAGAGGTTGTGTTAAAAAGCAAGAACCATGTGAAGATCAGTGTGGAACAGGAAATGGTGGTGGTGTCCAATCTGATGTTAAGACTTGACACATTGCAGACATCTCATTAGTAATTCTGAATATTGGAGAATAAAATAAACAGATTTTTTTCTTACAAATGTGTAATTTTAAAAAATGCCCATTAAGTTTTTTGGACGTTCATACTTGTTGAGTTGTTTGGCCCTGACTACTTACTAAAGGGAACTGATGGGTAATTCTTTTGAACTAGGAGCACTATGAAGAAATTACTGAGCCACTTAGGGCACTATGAATTGAGAAAGTTGTTGAACCTCTGATCTTGTGAATCAAGCATGCTACTCATGTTGAATATGAACACTTTTTAAATTAAACAAAAGCAAAGACAAAGGCTATATGGTATGTAAACAATGCAGCAACCAGCAATGTCACTGCTGTTATAATTCAAGGGTAATCAATGTGATGCCATCGACATTAATGACACAGAGTCAATATGCACAAACTTTTAATATAAGCCTAATTATGAGCATCTCTTTGCATAAAACTGAAAATATTGAAAATGTTGACTTTGGGGAGGTACCCTTGGATCAAAACTCCTGAAGAAGTCAATAATCTATTATGATTTTCATTTTGCATAAGCAGTGCTATTATTTCAAAAGGTCTCAAAAATCAATATGGCATTCAGTATATCTGTGTAATAATGACATCCTAATTAAAAATCCCAATCTGAGTAGTACAAAGGATGATGTTTAATCTCTAATCAATGAGCACCAAGTCCAGAAGTTATAGATGCAATAACCCTTTTTAATGAACTTCACTACTTTTCTCAGATTTGACCTGTTTTTCTCTTTGCAGTTTTGGAAGCCTTTTCTGTCTGAGAACATATCTGAGGAAGTGAAGACAATTTGGTGGAACAAGCACATAAATTAAAGCCAGTAACATCAAAGAAAAATACTGTCAGAGTTATGCAGGTTTCTTTTTAATTGGAATTTATAATTGCTCCTAATTATAGGACATACTTTAAATGTTACTTTGAGAGGCTGAGGGAGGGGGTGGAGCCCTGTCCACTCTAGCCTCATGAGCTATAACCTTGACATTTTAATTAGATATTATTTTGAAATATGTAAAAGGGATTTACATACTCGGTGAAACATATCATTGACTGTGCAATTTGCCCAAGAAGACAAAATGATACACAGTTTTAAAAATAATCAACTTCTCAAAGGAATGGTAGAAATTCTTAAGAGGGGTGAAAGCAACAAAATATGTCAGCATTGTGTACACGTTCAGGTTTTCTAGTTTCCTCTGAGCAAAATTTCTTCTTCTTCATAGCAAGCCTGTGTCGGTGGCAGTGTGCAAACAAAGGGAAGTGCGTCCAGTTGATTTATGGGCCACACACACCCATCCTGTAGATAAAAAGGGAGGTCAGAAGAGAGTCGGGAATCTTCTCTTTGAAGACAATTTCTGGTGCCATATTACTTGACTACAGGAGGATGATTAAAACAAACCCTTAAGTCTCTTTCTCATGAGATGCCTTGCTTTTTTATGCTTCAATAAATTAACAATTTGGGACAAAAGTAATAGGAGAGATGGGACAAGACCATCTTTCAAACTTTGCCATCATAAGTTAACTAGGGGTCTAACGACATGGAATTTATTGCGGATATCCAGCAGTTGGGGAAACATACTTATAGAATTTATGGAATTCTTCCAGGAAGGAAGAGATGGAATGGAGAGCCTCATTGTTCTCCACCCAAATTAAACATTATTGTAATCTTTCAGAATATTGGGCTCTATTCCAAACCCAAAAATAGGGAGGAAGTAGAAGTGTCCTAAATTAACTTTTGAAGAGGTTGAAACAGAAGGCTGGTGGTGAAAGGAGAGCTTTGCCATACATGAGGCTCTGGGTGCCAGACCCTACCCTGCCATCCTGGGCATTGTACTTGGAGACTTTGTAGGAACAAAGATACCTACTTTGAGTGTTGGTTCTCTGGCAGAATTTGGAAGGAATGCCCTGATTGTTGGGCTCCACTGTCCATTGAAGGACTTACCACCAGGGTCAGGATCTGAACTGGAGGATGTGGTGGCCATTGGAATGCACAGCTTGCCCAGAGCCCCTCATCTCAGGCCCAGCAGGCACCCTGGGCTTCAGCCATGGCTGCACCAGAGAGGGGAAATGTTTTCCATCCCGTGTCATGTCTAGGGCCCCAGTGAGGGGCACTCGCATCATTGCCTCCTCCATCCCCAAGGGGATTCCCCTTAACTATGTCATAGCATAGAGAGAGGTCAGGACTAGGATTTTTTTTTTTTTTTTTTTTTTTTTTTTTTTTTTTTAAGGCAGAGTCTCGCTGTTGCCCAGGTTGGAGTGCAGTGGCGCGATCTCAGCTCACTGCAGGCTCCGCCCCCTGGGGTTCACGCCATTCTCCTGCCTCAGCCTCCCGAGTAGTAGCTGGGACTACAGGCGCCCGCCATCTCGCCCGGCTAATTTTTTGTATTTTTAGTAGAGACGGCGTTTCACCGTGTTAGCCAGCATGGTCTCGATCTCCTGACCTCGTGATCCGCCCGCCTCGGCCTCCCAAAGTGCTGGGATTACAGGCGTGAGCCACCGCGCCCAGCCAGGACTAGGAAATTCTTATGGTGTTCATGGGCGGGGTGATGCCAGGGAAGAGAAGAGTAAGTGGGAAATGGGATGGAGTTGCTTCAAGGAGATGCGACCACATTCCTTTGACTCCACCTAAGCGAAGCAGATCAACCCCATTCATATAAAATCCTGAACCTGAAACTCTGAGTAGTTGGAGTGCTGGTGGAGTGGGAGCAGACTGAAGACTGCCTTTCAGGACACCACCTTATTCTCTACACTGGTTTGCCACTCACGACCCTTTGACAGGGAGGCATTACCTTGTTAGAGGAAGACAGATGCAAGGAGACTCTCCCGGACTGTTGGCCGCTGACCCTTGGCATGACAGTAACCAGAATGCTTTCCCACTTCCTGCCTTCAACTGTTCTTGCTATGCCACCCCACCCTCTGCCGCAGGACACTCACTCATCACCACCGGGAGCTGCCGATGGATTGCTCCATGCCCTCCAGCACTGGGTACTCATTCTTTGTCACACACTGCTTCCTGGACTTGCCCTATAAAGCAAGATAATGCTCCTGCGGAGAGGAGAAAGAGCTCAAAGTGATTGTTGTAAGGGAATGCAGAGGAAGCCTCCTATTGACTCCTCCATTCTCATGTTTATGGACCACCTTCCGGTCTCACATACGGCCATTTCTTTCCATTGAGGACAGAGACACTGGGAAAACACTCCTGGAGAAACTGCAGAGTAGGGGCACATCTCATAAAAATCTACCTTGTGTCCAGGATGAGACTGTATTTCCTCCACGCGCCTCAACCTAATTTCCTGTGGATTTCAGATCATCTTTTATTTCCAATTATGCTGCTGTTCACATTATCGATTTGGAGGATACAAATGTTGAATGACAAGAGAGGGAGAAGAAGGAGGGGGGAGGAGAATTCCATTTTGCCTGAAGGATAAGATACTCGAAATGCCACCCGCACAGCCTCTCTGAAGCGTTCATCAACGTGGCAGAGGCTGGCTCAATTATCTTTGTGTCAGATGATTATCTGAGAGCTTAATTTAATCTCCATTATCCTCCCCCGTCATATTTCAATTAAATCTGCTATCAGAGTGTTAACACATCTTTGAACCTGCTATTTCTTCAGTTAATTTTCCACTAAGAGGTGCTGGAGAGTAACAGATGTCATAATTATGCAATTATTAAGTGTATTTGACACTCGTTCTCTCAGGATTTTGTGGTTAGGGTAGGAGGGTTGGAAAATTAATCTGATGACAATATGCTTCCGTTGTGATCCGTAACACCACTGCAGGCTGGGGGACTGTCCTCCCGCTGTTTCCGAGGCTGCCGCCAAGGAAGATAAAGGATTAACTGATTGTGCGTCAGATTCGTTTCACTTTTGTATGTCTGGTAAATTGGATGAGTTCATTAGGCTGAGCAGAACACCAGAGGCATTTTTTTAAAAAATAAAAAAAAACCTTCTTCAAGACCTCAAGAAGTACAACAAGTACATCTCAGGGAATATGGTAAAGTTATCAACTATAGAGTTAAGGGCAGTTAATCTTGACTTTAAAATCTTGGGTTTTAGTTGGGAAATGAATGCCAAAGAATTGCATGACCTTGGTTAAGTCACATCCTCTCTCTGAGCTTTGGATCTATGAGGAATGAGCAGGCTTGATTCCATAGTCTACTACCTCTCCCAGCTCTACCACCCCCTGGAAATTGTTACAAGCTGTCTATTCCCTCTCCTCCCTCAATATAATCTATACCTATAGCTATTTAAATCCTCAAATTTGTTAAATTCGAAGCCTGAAAAGATGTCTCTATCTTTTGGTCTATAGTACATATTCATTAAGACCAAAAGCTCATCAGGTCTTCAAAGCCTGGTTTTGACATTTACTAGCTGTGTGACCTTAGACAAATTGCTTACCCCCTCTGAGCTTCAGTTTCCTCCTCTATAAAATGACAGTTATGATGAAATCTATTTCCTAGGATTGTTGAGATGATGAGCTAAAATTGTATTAGTCATAGTCCATTTCTATGTGTCTGTCTGGCTCATGTTCACAAAAGGAGTTGGAAATATATAAGGGAAGTTGAAGTGAGGAATGGATATGCAGACTGCATGATTGTAGATATCCTTGGAAATTTCTTTCTGACATCACATAAGGGCTTCCATAGTACTAAAGAACATGGTTGTGTCCTTGCAGGCTTGAGAGGTCATGCGGATGACAGCTTTGTCCTTAAGCACAGAGGGAGGGGACCTTCTCATGCATACTACCTGCTGCTGGGACAGTGGGGCTAGGAACCCAGTTCTCCCTTCTCCTGGTCCAGGGACTTTTCCTCACTGTACTTGGCCTCTTAATCCATGTGAATCAGTTTACGTGAACTCTGAGTCACCAGTCTGCCAAATCATTCTCAGACCTTTTTCTGCTCTTCATCAAACCTAGAAATTTTCTACCCTATTACTCTTCCAGTGCTACCCATGTGGGGTGAAAGGTAGATAATAGCCACCTACAAGCCAATGGACATGCCTATAGGCATTGCCTGGAACTCTTCTTTTAAGGGAAATATTATTTGGAAGCCAAATAGATAAAAATAGGTCAAAATAAAAATGCTCTGATGAAATCAGGATTATGATATTGGTAGCTCAGTGTACATACTTACACCACTCTGTCTCTGCAGGTTTCTGAGGAAACTTTGGATCTTGTAGAGGACATTTGGAAAACAATCATTCCATGTCATAATTTTTGCCTGTGGAGAATTGCATTGTATGGATGTAGAAAATCCATTTGACTAATCTCTTTTTGTCGGGCACCTAGGTTGTTTTTGATTTTTCATAAAAGGAGCTGCAAGAAACTGGATACTCCATTTATGAAAAACTCCCTTTCACGGGGGCAGGATCCTAGACAGATTTCCTGTCTGAAAGGCGTCACTTTCTTTCTCTCAGGGAGGATATTGAGATTGGCCAGAAGGACCTTAGTGTGGATCCCTGTGTTTCTCAGAGCCATGAAATTAAGTAAAATATATTACCATTCTCTGGCATTTAGGTGTTTGGAGACAGTAGCTCAAGTCAAAGAGGGACTTTATTGTATCTACAGTGGTGGATTCCAAGGATGAAAGCTTCAGGTATTGCTGGATCAAGGGGTTAAATGATATCAACAGGTTTGCTCATGTGCCTCCTGCTCACATACTGGAGGGAGCAGCCAGGATTCTTTCATACATCCAGGGAGGGGAGTTACCAACAGCCAGGTTTGGTAACTCTTACAAAAAGATAATTTTGTTTAGTTTTTAACCTAATACCTTTCCATCAATCTAATCTCATAGTCCCCACCTGCTGGATACTTTTTATTTTCCCCTGAAGATTCAGTCTCCACCTTTCCCATCCTTTTATGAATGGCTTCAGCAGGATCCTTTCACCTCTGGCTTTTGATTGGACTTGGCCAATGGAAAGCTATCTTCTTTTGCTCGTGCTACCTTGACAAAGTACCACAAACCAAGTGGCTTAAAACAACAGAAACTTACTGTCTTATAGTTCTGGAGGCCAGATGTCCAAGATCAAGGTATCAGCAAGATCATGCTCCCTTTGAAACCTGCAGAGAAGTCCCTCCTCTCCTCTTCCAGCTTTTGGTGTTTCTAGCAATCCTTGGCTTGTAGATGCCTCACTTCAGTCTCTGCCTCTGTGGTCACATGGCTGTCCTCTCCCTATGCTTCTGTCTCTGCATCTCTCCTCTTTTCATAAGCACATTCATATTGGATGAAGGGCCTGCTTTACTCCAGCATGACTTTTCTTAACTAATTACATCTGCAGCAACCCTATTTCCACATGAGGGCGCATTCTGAGGTCCTGGGGCTTAGAACTTCAGTTTAAGGGCCACATTCCAACGCCTAACAAAGACATTCACAGCAGATAGAGGGGGAAATGAGGGAGAGATGGGGTATCTATTTCCCCTTGGCTGGAGAAGTGTACATTCCCCTCTTCCTCCACTGAGGGCCACACTTGCCGTCAAAGGGCTCCCTCGCACAGCTTCTAGGATTCTGTTGACTTCTTGTCTTTGCCCTCTCAGAGTTAGGGGTGATGGCACCTCCCTGATTTGCTAGCCTTATTACTTCAATTTGTTGATTTCCCATCATTCAACTTTCTTCAGTTGTCCTGCTTGAATATACCCTCTCCCACATGGCAGAAGGGAGCGCCAAATGCAGGTGATAGGGGACTGTGAGAGCTTCCTAGAGCAGCCTGTCTGGAACTCTAATGTATATAAAAATCTCTTGAGGATATTGTTAACTTGTGGAATCTGAGGAAACAGTTCCAGGAAAAGAGCAGGGCCTGAGGTTCTGCATTTCTAACAAGCTATATTAGTCCGTTTTCATGGTGTTGATAAAGACATACCCGAGACTGGGAAGAAAAAGAGGTTTAATTGGACTTACAGTTCCGCATGGCTGGGGAGGCCTCAGAATCATGGCGGGAGGCAAAAAGCTCTTCTTACATGGAGGCTGCAAGAGAAAATGAGGAGAATGCAAAAGCGGAAACACCTGATAAAACCATCAGATCTTGTGAGACTTATTTGCTACCACAAGAACAGTACGGGGGAAACCACCCCCATGATTCAAATTATCTCCCACCGGGTCCCTCTCACAACACGTGGGAATTATGGGAGTAGGATTCAAGATGAGATTTGGGTGCAGACAGAGCCAAACCAGTATCACAAACTTATAGACGGCAATGCTGATGCTGCAGGATAGATCAGAAAGTGTCATCTAGCCACAGCAGGAATGAGCAACAGGAAAAGGGAGAAGTCACAGTGTCCACCATGGGCTGGAGATGAGGAGATAAGCAGGAGTGTGGTTAAGTCAGAAAATGAAGCCTTTTATCATGTCTACAGCCAGAAGCCTCACTGGATTGTGACTTCAGACTAGCACAGGGTTTTGCCGAATGGGGCCTGTACCATTTCTGGGAAGGGAAGTAAGAACTTAAAAAAATCACACTTCTTTGCTTCTCTAATATATTTTCACTAAAGTCTTATCTGTCTATTATTACATTTTAACAAGGCAAGACACATTACCTTAGAAAAGAATGCTCAGCCCTTTCCAGCTACCCTGGCCCACAGACCTCAGAGACAATGGCAGAAGGCCAGTTACCAATGCTGTTTGCAGGCTCAATGGATGCTTTGGAAACTTTGGGAGCTGGGAAGGTTCATCTCCGGGGCTCCAGCTGCTTCTTCTCTGTGATGTGACAGTTGTCATCTACCACCACTGTCAGTGCAAGTCCCTGGGCACCCTCTCTTGGAAGGGGCCAGTTTAGCTGAATCTCATGTCCCTGTGTCTAGAACTGAGTGACTCAAGGTGTAGGCCACAAAATGATGCTCATTCACTGCTTGCTACCTATCCATGATGAGGCAAGGCTAGAAATACAGAGGAAGTACTTAGAAATGTAATCCAGCAACCTGACCTTACTGAGACATCCACGTGCTGTGATACAAAATACTACTACTACCAATAATAATAATATTGGTCTTCAGTAGACTAAAAACAAAAGACACTGAGGATTTGAGAAGCACCTTCTAGAAGTCCTTATCCCAAGGAAGGGAATTTCAGTCAGTCTCTGGTCAGGGGAACTTGTAAGAGGCGAGGGCCTCCCTTTCCTCAGCCTCTGAAGTTGGGCTGTGTGGGTGGCAGTCACTCTCTGTGGCATTCCTGTGAGGACATGCTGAGTCAGGGAAGTGGGGTCGCTGTGAATATTATCTGCACTTCAGCCCTCGAATTCCATGGCAGGAGGTCTGTGATTTAGACACAAGCATTGGCAGTGAAAACACTGACCAGAGATAGTTAACAGCAAGTGTTGACCCTGAAAATGCAGACTTTTCTTTGGTGGAGCTTTCCATTACAAGTCCACCAAACACAAGTCTAGTTCACCATCTTCATACACATGGAATTCCAATGTGTGTTCACTCCCACTCCATTACATAACCCCTTTCTAATCTCCCAGTTTTATTTCTTTCCTTCCTTTGCCCTTTTCCCTCTTTCCACCCCTTCAACCTTTTATTTTCTGCAAAGCAATCTAGTGAAAGACCGCCCCATGGAAGGTTTCATATACAAGAAATTACTATTTTTATGTACGCTCCCTTAGGGTACACTCAAGCACAATCCATACTTTTGTGGGTATTTTTTTTTTCCTATAATATGTTTGTAGCTGGAATGTGGAACCAGCTCTGAGAAAATTAAACAGAACAAGAGAAGGCATGTGCCCCACAATTAAAGGAAACACTCCAAGTAGCAATGGGAACCCAACAGGACAGTGTGCTGTGCCAAGCAAAAAATGTGCAGCTGGAAAATCTGCCAAGTGTCCCCGATTTGTAAAGATTTTTTTCCATATTTAGGTAAATTAATGTAATTATTTAATGCCTCCTGCAATGGTAATAGGATTGTGCTTGGGCCCTTTCAACATATGGTGCTGGCACCAGAATCCCCTTTGAGGGAGGAAAAAGGTGGGGGCAGAGCAAGGCCCAGATCACATTTGCTGGGTTTCATGTTGGAGGTCTGCCTGGCCCTCAGCCAGCCTGAGGCGTGAGAGGACTGGGGCAATTGATTAAGGTCCTTTATAGGTTGGTGGGTACAGCAGGCACAAATGCCACCTACTGCCATAATTTATGCTCCTTCCTCAGTAACCCTGCACGCTCCTTTGGAAAGCCTGGCCTTTGAATTTGGAACCCACCTGTGTGTAGCCTCTTCCTTAGGACTTCCAAAAGTTACTGAACAAGGAGGAGGCTGATTTTCTTTGCTTTCTCTTAGGCCACCCCGTTTGCAAGGATGCCACCATTTTTAGTGACCTGTGTGCAGGGATGCCTAGGAGAATTGTACAGATTGTCCCATACTCAAAAAGTTTTGTATTGAAAACCATACATAGCAGATGGCAAACCCACTTAAATCCAAAATTTGGATTAACTCTTTAGAATATAGCCTCTAATAATAGAGGCCCGTGAGGACACAGGCCACATGCATTGTCCAAAAGACAACAGCAAAAACAGCAACATTTAATTTTTTTTTCAACTGAGTATTTAGTTTATGTACTCAAAAGGTATAAGATACATTGCCTGTTTTGCACAATGCTTATAATCTCAGAAAGTTGATGAGATAACACACAATACAATTCTCCTAGGCATCCCTGCACATAGGTCAGGGAACTAAAAATGGTGACTTCCTTGCAAGTGGGGTGGCCTAAGAGAAAGCAGAGAAACTCAGCCTCTCCTCTCCCTCCCAGGAACTTTTCAAAGTCCTAAGAAAGAGGCTCACACAGGTGGGCTGCAAATTCAAAGACCATGCTTCCCAAAGGAGCCTGTAGCGTTATTGGGGAAGGAGCATTTTTTTCTCATAAAACAATGATAAACACAGGGAGATAATGAATGGGGTAGTGTGGACCCCTGTCTCCAGGTTGTAGAAAGTTTAGGAGAAAGAAGTGATTCCATGACAAAGTTGAAACTGCCTTAGAAGACTGGGTAGGACTTGCTCCAACAGATAGAAGGGAAGAATGCTTTTCAGATAGTTTATGCAAAGTTGGGGAAGCAGGAATAAAAATGGTGTGGTTAGGGGTTTATGAGGAGGGGAATAAAGAGTACCTTCAGGGTAGGGGGGAAAAACGAGATTGGATAAGTAATCTTGGAGAGCCGTAAAAGCAAATTCTCTAAGGATTTTTTTTTTTTTTTTTTTAAATAAAAAGGTATTATATGCTCCAAAATCTCTAAACTCTTATTTTTCTGTGACAGTTAACTTTCAAGTCACAATGCCATCTGGTTTCTTCCAGGAGAATTTCTACTCCTCTGGGGATCAGTCAAGGAATTGGCGCTTCTGTGCATCTCACAGTGGTTGAAGGAATGGCCCCTAGTGGACATCCTCAGCTCCCTACCTTCTTGTGTTGATGAGAATAGCCTAGGCTGGAAGTCAGCATCTGGATCAGAGTGTCCTAAAGTGAGGAGAAGTGACCAAGTGGCCAGTTCCACATGAGATTGTCCCATGTTTATCTCAGATGCCACAACAGCTTGTAGCCAGAAAAGCTGGATTGTGGTGTGTATGGATATAGGCTCTGAACTGACAGCTGCATTTTTCAAATTGTAAATCTGAAACCTAGGCTAAGACACTGAGAGAACACTTCCAGACTCTTGGGGGCCCACCAAAGACCATCCAATTCTTGAATTTAGATCACTTCTTCATTATTTCCAGCCACATTCAAAACTGTGCATATTTCTAGAAGTGGGCTTCAATGCTTTCTTCCCATGTGACGTCCTTCCTACAACTTTGTTCGTAATAGTCTGATAAATTAATGTAATTATTTAATGCTTCCTGAAATAGTAACAGGATTGTGCTTAGATAGACCCTTTCAGCATATGATGTTCTTTGGGATAAGAAAAAGTAGGGGCATATCAAGGCTCAGATCAAATTTGCTTGTTTTCCTTCCACCAGGAAAAGGAAGAAAGGGAAGGGAAAGGACTGTACTTCATAAAATGCCAAACGTGAGAGTGTGTGATGAAATATCCATCTGCACTGTGGAAGCATGACATTTTGATGCATTAAGTGAGACCCAGGGGCCAGTAGATGCCTGACCAATAAGTGCGCATTGAATATTAGCTGAATGAATAAATGAAAAAGTCTGGGGTTCTGAACCTGAGTTTATCTTTAATATTCTGTGATGTTATTAAGTCACATCCCCTCTGGGATTCTCTCTTCATCTGTTAAATGGGTGTATTTCCTTTTGTTTTCTTTACTTAAATAGATAAAATAATCAAATGAGATTATGGATGCAAGAGTCCAGCTACTGCAGTTCGTGCTTTACAAAGGAAAGGGATAACCATCAGCACCGCTGTATACATATATTCTTGGAGGACTCCAGTTAAACAGTTTAACTACCTATGACATTCAAGACACCACTCAAACAACAGAGGGGTATTCCCCCTCATGTCTTCTGACACTGGATCTCAAGCAGATCTGAACAATTTGGATTGCTTTTTCTGTATAGGCAAGGTAAAGTAAAGTGTGAGAGGTCATCAATGACTACAGACCTACCATTCTAGGAAGTCTCCCTCAAATCCATTAAGAGTCTCAATATCTGAGTTTAATTATTATGATAATTATCAGTTCCCATGTTTTTAGCAGTTTTCTGACCCAAGGAAGTTGCAAATATATCAGAATAAGATCTTTTCCTTTCTGCCCTTGGACGCCGCCGAAGAAGCATCGTTAAAGTCTCTCTTCACCCTGCCGTCATGTCTAAGTCAGAGTCTCCTAAAGAGCCCGAACAGCTGAGGAAGCTCTTCATTGGAGGGTTGAGCTTTGAAACAACTGATGAGAGCCTGAGGAGCCATTTTGAGCAATGGGGAACGCTCACGGACTGTGTGGTAATGAGAGATCCAAACACGAAGCGCTCCAGGGGCTTTGGGTTTGTCACATATGCCACTGTGGAGGAGGTGGATGCAGCTATGAATGCAAGGCCACACAAGGTGGATGGAAGAGTTGTGGAACCAAAGAGAGCTGTCTCCAGAGAAGATTCTCAAAGACCAGATGCCCACTTAACTGTGAAAAAGATATTTGTTGGTGGCATTAAAGAAGACACTGAAGAACATCACCTAAGAGATTATTTTGAACAGTATGGAAAAATTGAAGTGATTGAAATCATGACTGACAGAGGCAGTGGCAAGAAAAGGGGCTTTGCCTTTGTAACCTTTGACGACCATGACTCCGTGGATAAGATTGTCATTCAGAAATACCATACTGTGAATGGCCACAACTGTGAAGTTAGAAAAGCCCTGTCAAAGCAAGAGATGGCTAGTGCTTCATCCAGCCAAAGAGGTCGAAGTGGTTCTGGAAACTTTGGTGGTGGTCGTGGAGGTGGTTTCGGTGGGAATGACAACTTCGGTCGTGGAGGAAACTTCAGTGGTCGTGGTGGCTTTGGTGGCAGCCGTGGTGGTGGTGGATATGGTGGCAGTGGGGATGGCTATAATGGATTTGGTAATGATGGAAGCAATTTTGGAGGTGGTGGAAGCTACAATGATTTTGGCAATTACAACAATCAGTCTTCAAATTTTGGACCCATGAAGGGAGGAAATTTTGAAGGCAGAAGCTCTGGCCCCCATGGCGGTGGAGGCCAATACTTTGCAAAACCACGAAACCAAGGTGGCTATGGCGGTTCCAGCAGCAGCAGTAGCTATGGCAGTGGCAGAAGATTTTAATTAGGAAACAAAGCTTAGCAGGAGAGGAGAGCCAGAGAAGTGACAGGGAAGCTACAGGTTACAACAGATTTGTGAACTCAGCCAAGCACAGTGGTGGCAGGGCCTAGCTGCTACAAAGAAGACATGTTTTAGACAAATACTCATGTGTATAGGCAAAAAACTCGAGGACTGTATTTGTGACTAATTGTATAACAGGTTATTTTAGTTTCTGTTCTGTGGAAAGTGTAAAGCATTCCAACAAAGGGTTTTAATGTAGATTTTTTTTTTTTGCACCCCATGCTGTTGATTGCTAAATGTAATAGTCTGATCGTGACGCTGGATAAATGTCTTTTTTTTTTAAAAAAAAAAAAAAGATCTTTGCAGAACACCTATTAATTAATTAATTAATTCACTCATTCAGCAACATTTTTGAGCTGCTGCCCTGTTTTCATGATGTGCTACATGATAGATTTGTAAACACCTGTCTCAATAAACTTATAGTTGTGTTGGAATAGGTATTATTCTCAGTTGCATCTTCATGAAACTCATAATAAATTGGTAATAATTACAATGTAAGAAGGATTCTGAGGCCACAGAAAGAATGATAAAAATGTTATAATCTCCTAATAACATTTCCAGTGGGCATAGTAGGTGAAAGCAGCAATATATTTGCTACACATTAATGCATGTAAAAAGAAGGTAATGTTCCTCAATCTTAGGACTTAATGTTACTTTATTGGTTTAATACTAGCTGCTCTTAAAAAATCCCCAAAATATAATGGCATAAACATAATAGAAGTTTACTTTGCACTCACTTTAAGTCTGAAACAGATCTACCTAACTGGCCATTAGCTCGTCTCCAGGTGGTGATTCGGGGATTCAGGCTCCTTTTATTTTGTGGCACTGTGACCTTTAACAAGCAATTTCCAGGTGACTGTGCTCTTCCACAGGAAGCTAGCAGAAGGAAAAAAGGAGGGGGATTGCAGGCACTTCTGCTTCTCAAGTTCTTTGGTCTGAAAAAGTCACCTGGGACTTCTGCTCATATCCCATTGGTGACATTCCACAGCCCCACCTACGTGCCAGGGAGACAGGGAAACATAGCCCTGTCTGGGAAGCAGCTTCCTAGCAACAACCTGACACTACCTTTGGTGAACAGGGAGGCATCTCTTCACAGTGTCCTGATTTCTCCCAGTCAAGCTTGCTGGAGCTCATTTTTGTCTTTTCTTCAATGAACTTGAACCTGACATCCTTTATCCAGTCTGAATCCGTATATATAGAAACTGTCCTCATCCAGCTTTTAAGTAAAGACAGTCATTTCTAATTCCTTTCTGACTTGCTATGGAGCAAAAACTCAGAGACAGATCCCATCTATTCATGTTCAGGGCTCTGCCAGGTGTTGTCAGGAGGGGCTGTTAAAGGAAAAACACCCAACAGAATATACAACCATAAAAGCTCTTACTTGGCCCCAGGGAGAATGCAAGGACCTGAGCTTCTCTTCCTCAAGCCCCTCACAGCGACTGGGCCTTTACAACTCAATGTTCGAAGCTCTGGTACTGTTTAAATAAACACACCATTCTAACAGTGCCTGGCAGCCCAATATACAATTAATTTTACTGTATCTTGCAAGCCATATAGAGCCTTTATTGTAGAGGGCAGCATTAGATCTTTGTATAAATACTAACAGATAATTTTATCTAATTTCATTGACTGGTTAAGTGGTTTTTTTTTTTCTTTTTAATTTAACCCCTGTGATTGCTAATTATGAGTCTCCTCCCAATTTCTCCATCACTCTGTCCCATGAAGCATAAAAGAGGGGACTCTGAGTGACTGAGTCATTCCTACTGATTTCTCCAGAGTTTCTCTCACTGGCAGTTGACTCTAGTGTTTTTCTGGAGCAGGAACAAGGATGAAACCAGTGTCTGGACTCCTCTGCGGGGTTGGGCTGGCCCACTCAAAGCCAGGAATGTGCGTCTTCCTCCACTGTCTTCCCACATCACTCCCCACTCCAGGGGAGCAGGCAGAATGACTCAGTGGAAAGAAGAAACCAGGATTGGGTTTGTATCCAAGCTCCTCCTTTACTTGCTGTGTGAACTTGACCAAGTGACAACTTCTCTGAATCTCATTTCCTCACTTATGAAATGGGGATACTATTTCCCTCTTTTGGGGTTGTCGTGAGGTTGACTTGGGCTAACCTAGCACAGTACCTGTGGAGCATCATGGGCTCAGGTATCCATTAAGGCACAGTGATGCTACTTCATGTAACAAGCAACCCCTTAGCTCAGCACCTCAACACCATCTAAGTTTATTCCTCACTTACTCAAAGTCTAGTGAGGGTGTTTCTAGTGGGGCAGTTCTTCAGAATTACTGCCTTCTAGGGGGTGACTTGAGGAGCCAGGCTTCTACCCTGTGACTCTCCCAGGCTGTCTTCCTTTTTTTTGAGATGGAATTTTTCCCGTCGCCCAGGCTAGAGTGCAGTGGTGTGATCTTGGCTCACTGCAACCTCCCGGGTTCAAGTGATTCTCCTGCCTCAGCCTCCTGAGTAGCTGAGATTACAGGCTTGCGCCACCATGCCTGGCTAATTTTGGATTTTTAGTAGAGACAGGGTTTCACCATGACTGTTCTTTGAACTCCTGACCTCAGGTTATCCTCCTGCCTCAGCCTCCCAAAGTGTTGAGATTACAGGTGTCAGCCACTGTGCCTGGCCCCAGGCTGTCTTCTATAGCCTTGGAGGACAAGAGAGAAAAAGACAGTGGAAGAGACTGCAGGAGGCATTCCAGCCAGCCCTGAGCATGTTGCATACATCATTTTTGCTTATGGTTCATTGGCCAGAATCAGTCACAGGCTCCCACTTAAATGCAATGGGTAGAGGTGGGGATATGGGAAATATAGTTTAGCCGAATAGAAAAAAGGAGAATGGCACATGAGTGAACACCAGCAACCTGTGCTACAGCAATCAATAAAGATGGTGCTCCTCCCTTTCCTCTCTGGAATTCATGCTCCCCCTGAGCCAGCACACAGGCTTTGAATATCCCTGCAGACGCCCTCGCCTGCCTCCAGCTTGCTGTCTCTTGGCCTTCATGTTAGTGTGCTGGACTCTGCCTCCTCTTTCAGACTGGCACACGATACTGCATCCTGGGGAGAGAGATGACTCTCTGAGTGGCCACTGCAGGGACAGATGAAGTGACCTGAAAGCAGTGAATTTTTACCAATGGGAAATGGGAAAAAGAGCTAGGCAGATAAATCTCCCTTCTTCTTGTCGCCCAGGAACTACCCCAGTGTGCAATCCCTCCTTACAGCCCGGGGACAGTCTGCCATGTCACTTTGTGGTGCATTACAAAGTGTAGTCAATGCGCTAAGGTGCGTACTGCATTGCCTCAAACCTTCCTTGTGTCTCATCCTCGCCATTCTGCGCTTGTACATCCTACGTGAAGTGAGGCATCTCAGTCATTGCCATAGACTCTATTTGCCAGAAGACCAGGGCTAAGGGTGCTGTCCTTCCATTATTAATTATCTATTCTATTATTGATCCTCCCCAGCCCTTAGTTTCTGAGTTCTGACAGCACCGGGCTACTTTCAGATCCTCAAATGAAGCATTTGCTCCTGTCATCTCTGGGTTTTTGCCCAAGCTCTTCCTTCTACTGAGGGCTCTTTTCACTGTAAAACAGCTGTTTCTCCAGCTCCCCTTCAGGACATCCATCTTGCATGACTTCCAAGTAGACCCAGGTCTCTCTTGTGATTTAGCTGCCTACACGGTACCCGCAACCCAGTAGGTAACTTAAAATATTTTTTCAATATATGAGTGATGTTCTTACTTCTTAGGAGACCCTCCTGTATGTGGGCTGTCTTTACACGTGTGTTTCAACGCAGAGCTATAATAATAATAGTAATAATGATAACAAAATATCATCCGTATCAAGCACCTGCTCTATGCCAGCCTGTGCTAGCTATTTCATAGTTATTATTTGGCTTCTGGATTCCTCTCAGTTGCCCTGCAAGGTGGATAAGTGACAGTGATTTGCTCAAGGTCGTGGTTAATGAGTGGCAGCGCTCGGATTTGAACCCAGCCTAGTCTGATTCCCAAGCATGTTCTACTACTTTTTTTACTCCAAAATGCGGCCCGCATTCAAGCTCCTGAATGATCCAACAGCAGCAGCGCAAACCATCCCACAGGCCGTGGAATCATATGGATGGTCAAGAAAGGTCATTGCCCCTCGGCCTTTGTGTTCCTAGGTGGAGTCCGTCTGCTGGGTGCGCTGCTTCCTTTCAGGGCTGTGCGGACTTTCCTTCGCTGCGTGGATCAGGATGCAAGATGGACTTCCCCCCACCCTCCGAATCAGTCTGTTCCTCCTGGGGCCATTCAGCTGACAGCTGCGGAAAGGACAGCGCCTGCTGAAAAAGGGTCCATAATTTCCCTCTGGCAAGAGACGGCAGCCCAACTTTGGAGGGGACAATTAGCGTGCTCTCAGCTGGAACAATGGGGAGCAGCAACAGATGCTTCTCGTCCCAGGGACGCTCCGAACCGCAGCCTCCTGCTAATGGGAGGCTTTCTTCTTCCCTGCCCGGGAAACCTGGCAGCCTTGCCAGCAGCTCGGGTAGGGTGGGGGTGGGTTTGGCTGCTGAGCTGGAAGGAGAGCAGCATTATCAGCGCAAACCAGAGGAGCGGGGCCTGCAGGAGTCAGTCACCGCCCTCCTGGGGCTGGTGCGCCCCTCCACCTTCCTCCCAGAAGGGGCCAGAGCCATTTCTACTCTGAAGCAGGGTTTTGGCAGACTCAGAAAATGCTGCCAAATGGTTAAGAGCAAGAAATCCACAGTGGACTCGTGCGAATTTGAGGCCCAGCATTGCCATTTACTAGCTGTTGCCCTGGGAAAAATTCTTAACTTCTCTAAGCCTCTGTTTCCCCCTTTATAAAATGAGGAAATGAGAGTATGTACGTTACATATTTATTTTGGGAGCTGAAAGAAAATAATATGTGAAAACACTTACCTTACAGTGAAAGTGCTGAAAAATACCTTTAGAGTTAAGCTCTACATAAAAAGGGCTGCCTGTGTCGTAGTCGCCTTTGTCTCTGGGCACTAGCACACAGTCTCTCCTCAATAAATACATAATCAGGTCAGGTGTGATGGCTGAGGCCTGTAACCCAAGCTCTTTGGGAGGCTGAGGTGGGAGGATTGCCTGAGGCCAGGAGTTTGAGACCAGCCTGGGCAACATAGCAAGACCCCTGCCTCAAAAAAAAGATTAGCCAGGCATAATGGCACACACCTGTAGTCCTAGGAGAGGCTGAAGAGGGAGGATCACTTGAGCCCAGGAGTTTGAGGTTGCAGTGAGCTATGATCAAGCCACTGCATTTATACATACATAATGATTTAGAGCCATTTAGAACTAGAGGAACTTTTATAAATCCTCTAGCTTAATGATGTTCAGATTGTTTACTTGGAAGTGCTTCAGGGGACCCAAAAATATTCTTTTGAATATTTATTAACCATATTGTGGAAATTAAAGAAAATCAGCTGCTCATAAGTTAATAAAATATACTTTAGCCTATTGGTAGCCCCAAACATGTTAAATTGTATTGCCAGGTTAACTTACATCTCTAAAGACTCGGAATAAGGCTTAAGTTGCCGTTTTGGTTAAACTGAAGATTATGAGATTGAAAAATAAGCATTTACTGTCTGAAAATGCTTGTCTGTGAAAATCTCCCGATTTTGCATGAAAACAAAATTCGAAAATAAATTATGTGATGATAGCAAATATAAAGTTGGCTCTTTCTTCCATTACCATAGATTTCAATGTTTGGTTTACTCTCAGGGGTATTACTGTTCTTATTAATATAAGTAAATGCTATATGTTTGAAAATACTATAATATACAAGAAAACTAAGTGCTAGTTTTTAAAAAACATATTGGGGTTCCTTGTATGACTCCATAGCTTAAAAATAAAGCCCAAGTACTACTGATTGTCTTCATCCCCTTAATTTTGAAGATAGGATTCCAGGCACAGAGAGGAAACAGTTCGCCCAAAAATCACCGGTGCAGAACTGTGGCTGGTAAAACTACTCCTCTACTTCCCTTTTTCTGGGAACCCTCCTTCATTTCCCATTCAGAATCAGTGTCACCAATTTATCTCTGACCTCCAGGATGAAAAGCAAAATGACCACAACAACATCCACAATGCACTGTGAAATCCATTGACTAGCTGGGTGCAGTGGCCTATGTCTGTGGTCCCAGCTACTCAGGAGGCTGAGGTGAGAGGATCACTGGAGCCCAGGAGTTTGAGGCTGCAAGGAGATATGAATGACCACACTACTGTCACTACAGCCCGGGTGACAGAGCAAGACCCTGTTTCCAAAACAAACAAACAAACAAACAAACATTTAGTCCTGAGCTAGTGCTTAGTTAGCATTCAGTGATTCTGGCCACGTTGTGGCCCCATGAAAATATTTTGACACAGTAACCGAGGGTAGAAAACCCTAGATGTGGGATCCAAAGCTAACTTGCTACTTAACCCCTCCAACCTCTAGAACCCAGATTTCAGGAGCCTCTAACTAAGCCTCTAAGGCTGGTTCAGGGAATGATAATGAATTACTTTCTGCTCTCCTTATTTTTTCTCCAGCCTTGCTTTTTTTCCTCCCTCCCTTCCTTCCTCCCTCCCTTCCTTCCTTCCTTCCTTCCCTCCCTCCCTCCCTTCTTCTTTCTTTCCTTCCTTCCTTCCTTTCTTCTTTCTTTCTTTCCTTTCCTTCCTCCTTTCCTCTCTTCCTTCCTTCCTTTCTTTTCCTTCCTTCCTCCCTTCCTCCCTCCCTTCCTTCCTTCCTTCTTTCCTTCCTTTCCTTCCTTCCTCCCTTCCTTCCTTCCCTCCTTCCCTTCCTCCCTCCCTTCCTTCCTTCCTTCTTTCCCTCTCTCCCTCCTTCCTTCCTTCTTTGCCTCCTTCCCTCCCTTCCTTCCTTTCCTTTCCTTCCTTCCTTCCTTCCTTCCTTCCTTCCTTCCTTCCTTCCTTCCTTCCTTCCTCCCTCCCTTCCTTCCTTCCTTACTCAAATATCAGTTGAGCATTTTCTAAGACCAAGCACTGTCCTAACTGATAGGATGTTCAACGAGATTCCTGTTTTAAAGGTGCTCACATTCTAATGGGGCAGATGTATAAGAAATGAACATACATAAACAAGTATCATAATAATAGTATAAAATGTATTTAAAATGATGAAGGTGCCCATGCCTGCCTCAGCTGGGCATATCTCTCTCTTGACTCCCCTCATACTGCAGAGAGGGTCCCCTGAAGGGGCTCAGTGGTGCCACTTTCCACTATGAAGGGCAGAAGAGCACTGGGTGAACACTATTCCTTAATGCCTTGTTTGAAAGGGCAGCCAGCCTCACTCCATCTAAGGCGCAGCTTCAGATGTGTTAACTCCCTGCATCAGCCTGAGTCCATGGCTTGTTGTTTTCAAAGGCTGCTCTCAGGACTCCACCATGGCGGGCTTTCTGGGAAGCACTGACTTTGTCTTGGATTACTTCTTGAGTGAGGTTGTGGGGTGCAAATTTGGGACGGCAGAGGGGCATGGTTACTCACTCTCACTGAAGGTAGAAGAGACCCACATGGCAATGATCAGGGATACTGACCACTGCTTGGAGACCTCTGGCACCAAGTCTCAGCTTCCAGTGAGTTAGGGATAAGTGGGCAGCTGCTCTGGCACCCTCCAGCAGATGCCATCTTGTGGCCCCCCTGAGCTGTGACCTTGGCTTATCTGAACCCTTGAAGGAAAATGGCTGCCTGGTCACTCACTCAGTAATACAAGGGCCTAGGGATACACCAGTGAACAGGACAGAGACATCTCTCCACATGAAATCTCCTTTCTTATGGGGGGAAGAAAGATGAGGAAGAAACCAGTTGTGATGGTCAGCCTTATGCATCAACTTGGCTACAGGATCCAGTTATTCAATTAAACACTAATCTAGGTGTTGCTATGAAGATATTTGGTAGATGTGGTAAACATCTGCAATCAACTGACTTTATATAAAGGAGATTATTCTTAACAGTCGGTGGGGGGCCTCATCTAATTGGTTGAAAGACCTCAATAGCAAAACTGAGGTTTCCCTGAGGAAGAAGAAAATCTGCCTGTGGACTGCAGCGTCAGCTCCTGCTCAAGGATTTCCAGCTGGCTGATCTGCCCTACAGACTTTGGACTTGCCAGCCCCCACAATCACAGAAGTCAATTCCTTGAAATAAACCTCTCTCTATATGTATATATATGTCTTTATATATGATCACAGAAGTCAATTCCTTGAAATAAATCTATATATGTATATATCTCTATATGTATATTCATAACAGTATATATACACACACGCTATATATATACACACACACATACACATACTGTTACATATATATTCTATATTTTATGGTTCTATTTCTCTAGTAGAACCCTAACCAATAAACCAGTCAACAATTGCAACAACAGCAAGAATAAGATGTGATCAGAGCATGTGAGAGCTATAAAGGAAATTAAAAGGGTGATGTGATATAAGGTAGTGGTGAAGACTACTTTGGGGAGGGTTGCACTGAAGCATCTCTGAGAAAATAATATTTGATTTGAGACCTGGAAGATGAGGAAGAATCAGTCATGTGAAGATCACGAGGAAAAAGTACAAGACAATGAATCAGCCAGAGCTAGTGCAGGGGTGAGTGGAAGGGCTGCTTCTCTAGTGAGGCTGGAGCAAGAGGGTTAGTGAGAGGGAAGAAGGGCAGACAGAGGCCAGATCAGGAAAAGCCCAGGAGGCTGGGAACAAGCATGTAGATGTCGTTCTAATGCAGTCATGGGAGAGTTTTAAGCAGGGACTTTAGGAAATCCACTGGGCATCAGCTTCTTTATTTATAAAGGGGAGATTTTCATTCCCTACCAGGCATATTTACAGACTGGTTTTGAGGATCACATGCAAATACGGTGTGTGAAAATGTCTTCAGAAGTAGAATGTGCCTGCCCAAGTTAACAGAAGACTTTTATTAAGTAAGGGAGATGAATTGAAGTTGTGGAGGAGGAGCACAGGTCCTCTTGGATTAAATGCAAATCTACTACAAAGCATGATCTACTTTGTCTTCCTGGGGATCTGTCTGGGTGTGGATGTTCACACACTTTTAGCTTTTCCAGCTACACTGAGAAGGGTATTCCACAGCTCTGTTGAGAGCTCTTCTCTGAGCAGCCCTCTGACTTTGACGACTGCCCCTCCCCTAAATGAGTTTCTTCTGCTTCCAATCCTTGGAGATCAACAACTTGGTTTACATTCACCACCAAATCAAGATGAAACAAGTGAGAGTGGCCCTCACTTTCCACTCTCCATGTCATCAGCCTTCAAAGAGCTATAATCTGGCCTCAGTGGGAGGAAAGTATTAGACAGAACATATCTGGGGACAAAGGAATAACAGTGATTTTTATTGGGGCACATTATTTTATTTATTTATTTACTTATTTATTTACTTATTTATTATTTATTTATTTATTTTGAGATGGAGTCTCGCTCTGTCACCCAGGCTGGAGTGCAGTGGTACGATCTCTGCTCACTGCAACCTCCAACTCCCGGATTCAAACGATTCTCCTGCCTTAGCCTCCTGAGTAGCTTGGATTACAGGCACATGCCACCACACCCAGCTAATTTTTCTATTTTTAGTAGAGGCAAGGTTTCACTTTGTTGGTCAGGCCAGTCTCGAACTCCTGACCTCATGATTCACCTGCCTCGGTCTCCCAAAGTGCTGGGATTACAGGTGTGAGCCACCACCGCACCGGGCCTGGTGCACATAATTTAAAAGGCCATACTAAGGTATGGTTGAACCCAGAAGAGCAAATTAGTTCTATCAAGAATGATTCCCCTTCACCTTGTCTCCTTTTTCTGCTGTATTTGGCTCCATTTTCAGACATCCTTTCTCTTGAAGAAGCAACATGGCACCAGTAATTTCACCAACTCTAAGAGAAAAAGAGCTCCTTTCTGGCCAATAACTCCTAATGATTCCATATTTCACTTGGGTCTCTTGCCAGTATATTTGTAACCAGTTGGCAAGATTTCCTATGAGGAAACTAGAGAGTTTCGAGTGCAGCCCATGGACTTTTGGTCCATCCAACTTTCCTTGACATTTTTTGTTGATGTGGCCTGTGTATCATCTCTGTTCCATCTCAATACATCAAAGGATGTTTCAAGAATCCATTGCTGACTTAGGAGACATGAGGAGAGTGTCGAAGGATTGTGAGATATGACACAGAGTTGGTTCCAAGCCAAGTGGTACTGATGAAGCAGAGCTCAGAAGGCCACTGTAGTTTGATTTTGTGCTTATACAGGAATGAAGAGGGGAGAGGGAAGAGGCTTTCCCCATATCACTGTTTCCTTTTTCTAAGAATCCTCAGTGCCCAGAATCATGACATCACCTCAAGGAATCAGAACTCCAGAGGACTTTAAGCAAATCTTTCCTGTGCATAGCATAGGTTTAAATTTAAACCACACAGAGTTACATTGCTTTTCATTTGTTTATCTATTTTAATTTTATTACTAATATGTGAAATATGTATAAAATTAAGCTTTTATCTGTATAAAGGAAAACCTTACAAATAAATGCATAGTGCCTCTTTAAAATCCCTTCTTTTCAACCCTGGTCTCCTCTCACCTCCACAGAGGTAGTCACTGTTACCAATTTGAGATGTAAACATCCAAATCTTCTTCTATGATTTGCATATAGAGAACTTCTGGAAAATAAAGTACTTTTGGAAAAAAAGGAGTATTGTTTTATGATCAATTGATTTAATGTAGAGTGTTCAGCTGTATATATTACTCAAAAATGTGTTTTTTCCCCACCCAGCCTTGTGTCTTAAAGAAGACCCCATGGTGACAAATTCAGATTCACTTCATTATATTTAACAACCACTTACGTATCATGGCTTATTTAACCTGTTAATGGACACTTAACTTGCTATTTATTTTTTATCTCATACAAGCTATGTTACAATGAACATCTTACATGTGCTTTTTGTGCACATGCATTTTTTCTAGGATAGATATTGAGAAGTGAATTCCTGGACTATAAGGTAAGCCCAATTTTCATTTTAGAAGATATGTTCAAATTAATCACCCTTTGACATGGTTGTACCAATTGCCATTCCTGCCAGTTTACCAATTCTTTAAAAAATCCTTTTCTTTGTATCTTGGCCTGTGTGGGTGTTCAAACTTTATTTTCCTTATTTGTTCTCTTGCCCAGTTGCTTCCAGTCTTGGCATCCCTGTTGACAGAGCCGAAAGTACACGTTGGCTTTGCTGAGCAAACAGAGGTAATTGATCAGACAAGTAGCCGACAGCTTGGCTTCCATCCCACAGATCTTCGGGAGAATGCTTTGCTTGTTTTCTGTTTTCTGATGCAGTAAAGACTACTCAAAATCAAGCAGCTATTTACTAGGGCTTGGAAATATCTTTGTTATAAAGATATTTGACTTAAAGTACAATTCTGCTTCTATATTAGTGGACATTTATCTTATGTGTAGCTTCCCATGTATTTATTTTTTCTATTCTATTCTAGCTTGAAAAGAATAAAACAGAAATTTCCTAAAAAATTAAAAAAGAATCAAACTACACTGCAATTAGCATGGATAAAATGGAAATACAGGTATTGATTTTGACAACTAACCATCGCATGGGTCAGCTCTTCATGCAAACACTCAGTTGCTGCTGCATTTTCAGCTGTAAAGAAGCCACTAACAATCTGGCTCAGTAAGCAGGCACACTGAAGAACTGATCTAAGAGAATCTTCCATCAATTTCTGGTACACATTTTCCTGTTAACTTTTAACACATGTAGCCTGCAGGCATGCTACACACAAATCTTCAGCCTTCGACGGAGCCAATGATCCGTCGGAGAAACGTGTAAAGACTTAAGAACATGCGCAATTTTCACTTTATATGTTGTTAGCGAGCAACTATTCTAAAGGTACTTTTCTCACCACTTGGCTGTAAAAAAAAATCTTTAATGCGTTGGCACTCTGACAAAGTTACACATTTAATGAACATACTACCCTGAGGAATATTTCTTCAAATTTGATAACTGCCTCACTGACATTCAAAGACATGAGAACTAGAGATTTTGAAACTAGTTGGAAATAATTCTCCAGTTCATCTAATTATAGTTAGAAAATCTCCAACAGGCTGTTCTACCTTGTTCAACATTTATTGAAGAATGGGCATGGGCTGGGTTTATGCTTGATCAGTAGAGAAAGAAGTTAGTAACTGAACTGTCAATGTAAATAAGCATCCACTGAGAATGTTTACACAAATCTGTTGTTTTTTTCTGACCCCCTACATAATTTACTGTACATCTTCCTCATTTAGACAGATCCCTCTAAATGGCCTACTATTGTTGTAAGGCTTGTTTCCTAGTTAGATTCCTTAACGGGAAAGATCCTATCTTTCTGCAATGACCTTCATGACTTCCATTACAAGGTATGAGATTTAACAGACACTGAGTAAATGTTGACTAAAATGTTGGACACCTCAGGAATTCCCATTTACCAATCAAACTAAATATACTAACCAGAAAATATTCTTATCAACTCATAAAGCAATTTTCCAAAAGTATCTGCAAATATTTTAAAGCTAATTCTGAGTTACTTCCTGTGCTTGAAAATATTACCATGAATTATCCTAAAAATTATGACAGTAATGAGAGTGATTTGAAGTTAAGAAGGTAATACAGGTTCACACTACATGCTTATAGTCTAAACACGTAGCAATAATAGATGCATCGGTTAGAATAATAAGCAAATTCTTTATACCTGATAAGAGAAGTAATGAAGGAGGGTGACTTCTGGATTGGCTAATTCAGTGACTGATCAGCATCAAGGGCCTGAATTCTCTTTGTTTTTCAGCACTGCCCTCCTTGGTATGTTGGCTTTGTCTTCGGGTTGACTCCCTCATGGTCACAAAATAGCTGCTGCTACACCTCACATCTCCTTACGTCACCATTCTTATGTAGAGAATAAGGCTAAGTCTTCTTCTTATGCTTCTTTTTAAGCGAGAGGAAACCGTGACCAGATTTCTCCTCCCATCTCATTGGCTAGTATGTGTCATGTGATTTTGATTTCCCTGAGGTTTCTCATGTAAAGTTGAGAACCAAACCAGTTTCATTTTTTTGAAATTAGGGACTAGGGTAGGATGCTCATTCTCATAAAAGAAGGGTGAGAAGGAAAATTAATGTCTGCTCCTGGGGCTGTAGTTTCCAAAAGCTGATTACCTGGAAAGGTAGACAGAAACACCTGCAGTCTCCCAGGCCAAGACCAGCTGAACCCATGACTGAATCCATAAAATCCTCAATATCCTTTGTCCAGGAGCCCCAACTCAAAGTGTGGTGTGGTGTCCCAACTGACATACCTGTGGACTATTTGCCATTTATAGCTTTCATAGTAATATATATGGCCAAGGTATACAAAACAGATAGTCATTTTTCTTGGTAATTTTTTTTTATCAAATTTTACAGAAACATCAGTCCTTCAAGGACAGGGTAAAAAATTGCTGTATTAACACAGATTATTGGAGAAGCACTGCTCTAAGCTACCAGTGTTAGACCTGAGCTGAAGGCCTAAGGGTGCTGGGGCCCTGGATAGAGCTAAACACAAAATATTTGGACAGCGAGAGAGGCTCATAGACTTAAGTAAAGAAAAAAATTAAAATAAGAAATTGCCACTCAAAATGAGTCTGCAGGCTAAACTCTCAAACACATAGGGGAAAATTAGTAACCAGCAAAATCAATATTTGGAAGAGGAATGTATTCAAGGTGAAATTTTCAAAAGCAGACATGCCTGAAAATGCCTTTAAAATAAGTATACTTAGAGTCACTCACGAGATTTTTAAAAAGTATGCTATCTACATAAGGAATAAAATATAATTGTGAAATAAAATAGGCAGAAATAAAATAGGAAAGGAAGATATGTGAAGGAAACAGCTAGAAATTCTGAAAATAAATCACATTTCACAGGATACTTTTTGCCTGGGAACAGTCATTTAAAAACATGACAGAGAATTAAGAAATCCACCAAGTACATGACAAGCAATAAAGAAATGAAAGATATAAAATATCAGTTCAATAACATGATATATTGAGAAGCTTCGGAAGACTTAGACAAAGAGTTTCAAAAGAAAAAAATAGAGTGCCTATAGTGAAGGTGTAATATTTGAAATGATGATGACTAAGAATTTCTTAATTTGATGAAAGTTCTTAGTTTTCAGAGGGTAGTCTCCCTAAAGTGCTGAGTGAACTAGTAAAAACCAGACTTGTCCTGAGCAAACCATAGAGTGATACCTTCAAATGTTGAGAGAAATAATGGAGTACACAGATCTTATGTCTAGCTATATTATGTTTAAAGAGTGAGAACAGGCCGAATGCAGTGGCCTGTAATCCGAGCTACAAGGAAGCTGAGGCAGGAGGTTCCCTTGAGCCTAGGAGGTCGAGGCTGCAGTGAGCCGTGATCGCACCACTGCACTCCAGCCTGGGCAACAGAGCGAGACCCTGTCTCAAAAATATACAAATTAAAAAAAAATAAGACTGAGAACAAAATTAAATATTTCAAGGCATATAGTTTTAACAACGCCCTTATGGAAAGAACTACTAAAGGACATACTTCATTCACCAAGGGGAGCATAAGTCCAGAGGGAAGGAATGAAAATAACAGAAAAAAAGAAAAACAAGTAATCTCAAAAATTGGTTAAGAAATGTTGATCAGTGTCATTAAATATTACCTGTACTCTAATATTCTATTCTTTTAAACCTGTAATTAAACTTTTTAAACTGCAATTAAAATTCTAGACAACACTGAAGAGGAAGCTTGTGAGGGAAACACACTGATAGTTAATGAAGTTCCTTGGTTTCAATGAAAGGAAAATAAAGCCACAGAATAACCTCTGGTTTTGTTAGAAGATATTAGAGCAACATATGGATGTTAAACATAGAAGGGGAGCCACTGAGAAAGTAAGAAGCAATTGCTAAATCCCAAAGGAGCTGAGGACATTTTAAAAAGCCCAGGCTGGAGTGCAGTGGCACTGTCTCAGTTCACTGCAGCCTCTGCCTCCTGGGTTCAAGCGATTCTCCTGCCTCAGCCCCCGAGTAGCTGGTACTACAGGTACGCACCACCACATGGCTAATTTTTGTACTTATAGTAGAGATAGGGTTTTGCCATGTCGGCTAGGCTGGTCTCGAACTCCTGACCTCAGGTGATCCTCCCTCCTCGGCCTCCCAAGTGCAGGGATTACAGGCATGAGCTACCATGTCTGGCTAAATGTATTGTTAATCATAATAGATTAAAGTCATCTACTTAAAGGCAGCAACCATCAAATTGGATTAAAAAACACAACTTAAAATAAAACAGCATAGAAATGTTAAAGATTGAAAGTAACTGAATGAACGTCAGGCAAATACTAACTAAAACACAGCTGATGAAACAGTAGTCTTATCAGACAATACGGAATTGGAGACAAAAAAGTTTTAATAAGGATAAAGAAGAAAACATGCATATATCATATATGCGTATACGTAATATCACCAATAATGTGATATTATGGTCATGCACTTGTATAAAATTGACAGAAAAATTTAGAAAATAATGCCCTGAAAAAATGTCATTACCTGGATATGATAACTGTTAACATTTGAAAATATCTAACTGGAATTTTTGTATGCACATTTATGTAATATATATATGCTTTGTTGTCATTCAACATCTTTCCATATCAAGTCATCTACATATATTAATAATTAATGTTTACAAAGTATACTACTGAATAGATATATCATAATGCATTTAACCAGTCTTCTATTATTAGATATTTAGGATTCTTCAAAGTTTTTTCTATCATAAGCAACTTAATGAATACCCATGTGCAAACACTTTTACTTTTCCTGCTGTGGACACCTAAAAAGCATACACACTGCAGTGCCTTTGAGGCATATCACTACATTATAAAGGCGAACTTTTCCCGGTGGTCTATAAGGGTGCGTTTCTTGTTATCTACTCATTAGCACAGGGAATTATCCTTCTTTCTTCCTTTTTAAAAAACATGAAAATACTTTTTTTTCAGCATCTGTAAACAAAACAATATATGATTACTATAAAGAATTTTATACAGTTTAGGGAGGTGGGTAGAGAAAGTCAATAGCATCCATAACCCATCACTAGATATAAGAACTATTAAAAATATGGCATATGACTTGCTACAATGTTTTCTTTTTTATGAAATTGAGATTGTACTAATTTTTCCATTTTAATAGTGAAGTATAATTTACCTACAGAAAAAAGAAAACGATTGTTTTTGTTTGTTGTTTTTGGTGTCAAGTTCTCCAAGTTTTCACAAATATATATAGTTGGGGAATCACCACCATAATCAAAATATAGAGTAGTCCCATATTCCCCATCTCCTCTGTAGCCACCTCCTCTCCCCACCCCTAGCTCTGTAGTTCTGCTGCTTCCAGAATGTCACATAAATAAAAATCACACAGTTTTGAGCCTGGCTTCTTTCAGTTAGCATAATGCATTTGAGATTCATCTATGTTGCTGTGTGTGTTAGTAATTTGTTCCTTTTTATTACTGTGTAAGATGTATTTCTTTTAAATCTTTGCTATTTCTATTGGTAGAAAAAGAGGATATTCTTTTAAAAATGTACATTGATTGATTACTAGTGCAATGAAATTATTTGTATGTTTATTGTCCATTAGAATTCTTTCTAGAGTGAATCACACTGTCTTCCTTTAAAATATATCGCAAGTTAGGTTTTTTCATTCTCCTCTTTACCACCTATCAGTGATGTGGTTTTACTGTCTAATATTTGGAGGCTTAATTGACCAAGAAATCTAGCCTCCACCCTAGCTGATACTGGCAGCATCTGTGTGTGATAGAGCGTTGACACATGACTCTCTGGGAGACGACCGTTAAGCCAGGACCTTTAATACCATGTAGGTGGAGGCAGGAAGAAGATGATTTCAGTCCTTTCCACCCAAGATGTAAGGAGAGGGGGATCTGGAAAACTGAATGCTCACTTCTAAGGCATTCTCTGGCTTTCACCTTGTTCTCACGGTGAGAACTGTTTCTCTCTAGTCAGCCCAGGACCAATACGATGAAAAGTAATGAGCTTGTATCAATAAACATTTATGAGGCTAGTTTCAGGCTAACAAACTAGGTCCCCCAGGCAAAGTCCATCCACATGCCAAGCTACAGAAAAGGGTTAGTCCTCTGGGATTTTCAGCCATCTTTCTTGTGAGACAGTGCATCCTTGTGCTTAAGGGCAAGGTCTTCAAAATCAGCTGGTCCTGGATTCAAATGCTGCTTCTGATAGTAGCTGGAGAGACCTGGTACAGTTTGCTTAACTTCTGGAACTTCAGTTTCTCAGCTATCGAAGAGAATAATTGTAATTCTTACTTCCTTAAGAAGTCAGTAAGATTAGGTATGTAAAACATCTAGTACAGTCCTTGGCACATGTTGAAGACTATTATATCCTATGAATGGTAGTGATTGCTATCAGACTTAAAGTAAGAATGACCACCCTGTAGGTGGATCTAGGGCTCAAGAATTTCATTTGCTCTCTTTCTTTCCAACCAGAGCCAAGAAGGGAGATGAGTAAGAGTAACTGGACAAGCTCTTATCAGAATTAGAAAGTTCAGTTCTGTCTTTGGAATGATTTCATGTCTATACACTTTCTTCCACTAGACACCAAGCAATGCTCCATGAGCACCAAACCTTGATCTTAGATGGCCATCAGCATATCTCTGTGAAGGTGTTATCCCAACATGGTTTTGCAACCATTGCCCTTCCCAACAAGAAGTCCTTTCTTTAGACCCACAAACTGGAGCACACACAGTGTATTATGTCAGTTCAGTGTCCCCGGAACTGTGTCCCACACAGCGTATTAAATCTGAAGCACAATAGGTGATGTGATTTGGCTGTGTCCCCACCCAAATCTCATATTAAACTGTAGCTCCCATAATTCTCACATGTCATGGGAGGGACCTGGTGTGCGATAATTGAATCATGGGGGAAGGTCTTTCCCATGCTGTTCTTGTGATAGTGAATAAGTCTCACAGATCTGATGGTTTTATAAAGGGGAGTTACCCTGTACATGCTCTCTGGCCTGCCACCATGTAAGATGTGACATTGCTCCTCCTTGCCTTCTGCCAAGATTGTGCTGCCTCCTGAGCCATGTGGAACTGTGAGTCCATTAAACCTCTTTCCTTTATAATTTACCCAGTCTCGGGTATGTCTTTATTAGCAGCATGAGAACAGACTAGTACAATAGCTCTCTTGACGTGCATTCATGCTTTTACCTTCTAAGAAGCAGAGTCTGCTATTGTTCAAAGAGTGTGAGATTTGGAGTCTGAAAGACCAAGGTTACTTGCTGTCCCTGAGCCTCAATTTCCTTATCTCACCCTCCAAGGACTGTGATAAGGTTTAAATCGGGGAAAAGGCAGCTGCAAACATGTGATTCCATTCATCCACTCTTCTCAATTATAATTTATCATTTTGGCTCTGGTTCACATTATTTATTTTGGAATCCAATATTTCTCTTTATTTTTTCTCCTGTTGTTCATGACGGGCTCTGTGATCAGAGTTGCTAATTTGATAAAGACACTTGAAGATACAAGCCATGGAGGATCTAGGGCATGCACATGGTCTACTCACCATCCGTAGTTGTACACCAAAGTACTGTCTTGCTGCTGGTGTGTGCTGATTACTTCTAGAGATTGTGGCTCTCACTGGCGGTGGCCACCTGTAGGGGACCTTCCCAAACACTGCTGTCCAGCTGTAAGTGGCCTTCTATCGTATGTTCCCCCGGCCTCACTGGAGCGGGGTTGCTACACAAAGCCTGTCAAGTAAATGTTCATCAACCCATTTAGCACAGGGCTGAAATGCCAGAGGCATCTTTTATTCTCACTAAGATATTGCCCTCTCTTTGGGGAAGGCAGGCCTTGGTGGCACCAGTCTATTTTTCCTGGCTCTCTTGTTGACACTAGAGGCGCCGTCTTCAAAAGCAGTGTGTGCTTTTGTGTGGTAGAGAACCAAGAGGGGTCCAATTTTGCCATCAATCATATTTAATAGCATATGCTATTAATGTAATTTTGTTATTGAAGATTCCTAAATCTATTCAGTGGCTTGCACAAGACAATTATGGTTTTTCAAAAGTACATGCATGCAATCAGATATCACCTTTAATTAGAGCTGTAGCAATTAAATATGGTCATTATAAATGTAATATCATAAAATATTCATTAAATAACAGTTGATGTGGCATTTCTTTGATTTAAAGGAAAATGACATTGGGATCAAACAATGAGAGTTCTTATGAGTTATTTGATGTCTTATAAAAAGATTGTCTGCTAGGAGGATGATGTGAAAAGGTATGGGGAAGTAAGCTTTTGACATTTTGAACAGCTTTCCTCTGCCTCAGAGCCACTCTCAGCTTTGCTCTCCCACGGCTCGTGGTTTTAAGATCTACTCATTGCCTAAAGCAAGGCTGTTTGAGTTCAGGTTTTGGATCTGATTAACAGCAAGGCCTCTGGGCTCCCCACACGATTCCCTTGTAAGTGAAGGCAAGAGTCAGATACGTTCGCAGCAAGTTTTCATTGCGGAGTCCATATCTCTTTGATGAAATGCTTTGCCTTTAGATTGGAAAAAAAAACAAAAACAAAAACAAAAACAACAACAACAACAAAAAGAAATTAATGTGAGCTCAGTGCAAAAAATACTTCCTTAGAGGAAGTTTTGTGGGCAGTGAGGACGTGTAGGGGGAGAAAGATCCCAAGTTCAACAGTAGAATAATCATATTTAGATGTCAGGAGACAAACTTGCTAAGCTCTCGTCAAAAACCAGGATGGCTTAATTAATTTTTTTCTTAGTAATAGAAAGTTATAAATACTTAAAATAGACTAAATAAAGGAGTACTTTTCCCGAATCTGTCTTTGTGCTTGCTGTTTTGCATTTTGAAGTAACTAAAAATTGAAGAGTTTTTTATCCTCCCCTTCTTTGGAAAAACTAATGGTCTCAGCTTACGTTCCTTTATTGTATGTTCTCTGGTCATTTTGTGACTTGTCATTTAAGAGCAGGGGAAAGAGGCTGCTTTGTATCAGGAGAAGGTTTCAACTAGTTCCCTGGCCTTGTTGCTACAAACACATTGGCTCGGGAAGGATATGGAAAGGAACTACAGAAGGTGAATAACGACTCCTCCAACAATTTAGAATGTTTGAAGTTAATTATCCTACTCTGATGACTGGTTGTCTAGACATTTTAAGTATTTATTTTGTGGTGTCCCCTACAGTTCATAATTAAAGACCTAAAGGAAGGCTCCCGGAGGTTTTTACTGGCCAGACCAGAAATTACCCACACAACATACTGTGCATCGGCAAAACACAGGAAGAAGTTGCATTCCTTTTTTTCGTGTAGCCTGATCGGAGGCAGTGGCTGGAGTATTGACCATCTTTGAACCACAATGGCATTAATGAACCCGGCTGAGACCCAGTAAGGCTCAGCTAAGGATCTTAGACTAGGACTCAGTTTGTCAATGGTTCCTAAGAGACAGGATGGGAGTGGGACAGATTTGCTAGAGTCATGAGTTTCCTAATCATTAGTCTCTGAATGTTACCTATGCCTCAGAGTCAGGGGCAAAATAGGGTCCACTGAACTGACACAGGCTTGGTAAAACTGTTCATTTATTCATTCATTCATTATGTTTATCCTGAGAGTATTTGCTCAGTGCCCGTATGTCAAAAGCATTGGGCTAATATTTTTGTAAAGAGCTCAGTCATCTGGGTCTGAATCTTGACTTTGTTACTAATGAGTATATGACCTGTGGCAAGTTGTTTAATCTCTCCGATATTTAGTTTGTTCATTTGTCAAGGGAGGATAATATTTTTTCTTGCATGATTATTAGACAGATTAAGTAAGATATAAAATTCACTGAATACAATCCCCAGCATATAGTCACTGCTTGATCATCGTGGATTATTAATGTTTGCAAATATTTGATAATTGATGCAAAGAGGGTGTGAAAGTTGTGAAGTTCTATCTGCTTGCGATGGTGTCTTCAGTTCTATGATTCTCTAGTTAGCCTGAGGTCTCTAAGATAAGCCGTGAAAAGTTTCAGTGAGGCTCTTTGTGTTACACCTTCCCTTTCTTATGAAAACAACACAAATCTCCCAAATGGAGTAAAATAACATCGAAGAGAGGCCAAACAAGATGCTATGGTATCCTGGCCGGTCAAGATTTCAAAGGGGCTGGGAGGAGCCAGTGAGGCTTTGTAGATAACACAGAATTTGTAAAATAAGCATCCTGCTATCAGGACGGCCTCTGGCTGGGGCTCTTGGCTCCTTCTCCTGGAGTCTCCCAACTTTCAGAGGAATACAAACACACTCATACACACACACACACTCAAATACAGACAGAGCTTAAGTGAAGCCTGGGGTGTATGCAGGGCATCTAAATTCCAAAGTGTGTTGTGTGTGTAAATTCTAGTTTTAAAAATTTGGTCACCAGAAACTGTCATTTCATGTCACACATGGTGGTGCCAGGACACAGCTCCAGTGCCAAATGCAGCCTTTCAGGGCCACCTCTTCTCAGTGGCTTCTCTGCATTCTAGCAGGTCCCAAATGTCATGAGGTGTACCCCTGATTGTAAACTTAACTCGTCACCTTTTCTCAGAGCCAATGTCTGCCTTCCAGGCCTCCTTGAATTTGCCTGGAAAACTCAGCCATTTTGAGACATTTCTAGAGAAGCAAAAGATTACCCCATCACTCTTAACCATATCTGTTATGCCACAAGGATTGGTGCTTGCAACAGCTACACTTGCAGTCTGTTCTCAGAGAGTCAGTGAAAGGGTTGCCTCTGGTCCCCAAAACTTAGCACATGAATAAAGAATAGGCTACAGACAGACAGTTGGACAAGAAGGCAATGGAATGGATGAGTGAATAAATGAGAGATTGAATTTCCCTTTCAAGCAAAGATTCAATTCAAAAGTCTAATTCATGGACAGTTGTTGGTATCCTTGGAAAAGAGAAGCCATTTTCCATAGAAATTACTATTAGAGAAGGCATGGTAAAATTTTTTGCCAGTACTTTTAATTGCAAAAACTGCAATTACTTTTGAACCAAACTAATAGTTATAAAGAAGACGTAATCCCAGAGTGAATGGGGGCTATCCATGTGAAAGTCTGCTTGAGCCAAGAAATGGAGGGAAGGAAGGAAGGAGAAAAAGAGAGAGAGAGGGAGAGAGAGAAGAAGAAGAAAGAGAAAGAGGAGGAGGAGGAGGAGGAGGAGGACGAAGTGGGTCCCGATGACATTGTCTAACCACCTGCTTCAGCTCAACCCAAGCCATGACACCCCTGGCCTTTTCTGGTGTATGAACCAATACATTTCCTTTCTTCCTTAAGGCTGTTCTTTCATTTGCAAACAACAGTCTTGATTAATACAATAATGGAGGTGGGCTTTATGCTTGATTTTCTTTTGGAAATATAGCAGAAGATGACTCAGAGAAAAGATAAACTGTTTTTATGGCATGTTCCACAGCAGTTTATATTCTGCAGTAATTTTTAAAGGATTGGGGAGGTAATCAGGCAAACAATAGTCCTGCCTTAAATTAGATTAAGCTGCCTTAAATGAGGTGGTTACCCTGGCTCTACTGAAAGTCATCACAGTGGGGAAGGGGAAAGTTCTTTGGGAAGGGGCAGCACTGGGGTGCAGACAAGTGGGATTCTGATTTTCTCTTATTGGGGAAGGAGGGAGGCTGTGTTTTAATCTCTATTTAAGCAAATTGGTCAATTGACACCTTTCTTTCTTCTGAAATCATTCACTCTGAAATTCATATCCATCTCTCTGATTTAGACACTGGGAAAATCCTCTTCAGGCTAAAAGTGGACTAAGATGGACTATTAGAATGTCTTCCCCGAATTATGTCCAGAATATTTCTCCAAGTGGGAAAAAGTGCATTTTAAACAGCTCTGATATTTTCCCCTTTGTTTTATCAATACTGCCTCATTTCAGCGTGGGGAGGCCAAACGGCTCTCGCTTCATCCCATGAATTAATGATTCTTCAAATCAATTTAATCTGGAGCCTAATAAATTTTCTTAATGACAAATCAATGTCAAAAATAATGAAAGAAGGAGTGATTCAATGTGTTTGCCCCACAATTTCTACTTTCCTAAGCAGAGATGTATTATCTGAAGGGCAGATTTAGCATTTTCTCTTTCTACAATGCATGACACTCTTTCCCGTGCAGGGTGAATTGTCAACAGCAAGAATACAGATTTCTTGCACCCCCTATAATCAGATGCTAGTATCTACAACATTTTCTTTTCTCATGCTTTTTAAAGCCTAGGAGGAGAGTGAGCAACAGAGAACCAACTTCTTAGGCATTGTCTGCTGGGGCAAACAAACAAACAAAAGGATGATGAGTGTGTGAGTGTGTGTGTAGTACATATGTTACTGGAAAATGTTTTAAACAATGTTGATATGTTGATAGGTGAAGGGGTGTAATCTATTAATATAGTGGAGTATGTAATGAAGAAGATGGCAAGGGGTGAGAAAGATAGCCTTCTAGTTTCTTCCTTCTAACCTAAGTTCTATTGCTAGAGACAAATAAATAGTGACACTATTAAACTAGCAATCCTTCCATCTTTAAATGCTTGGCTGGTAATTCTCCGCCCTCCCCCCTCCAAAAATTAACTAACACTTGGTAGGAGACTACTTACTATATGTCCATGACTGAGTCAGGTACTATTGGTGGTTAAAGAAATTAAGTCGCAACTTCAGGAAAATTACACCCAAGCTTAGGGATGAAAATCTAATACATGCATGACAATGAGAAGAAAAGGTGTGTGCGGATAATGATGACAGGGCTGCTTGAGCGTAGGGTGAGGTGAGAGCCAGTTGTGAAGGAAAGTAGAATGGGGAAAGTTGTATTTAGGAGGCTGGAATGCAAGGCTTAGAAGACAGGGCATTCCTAGTGGAATTAAGTGTGAGCTAAGTGAAGATAAGACCTGAAAGACAAGATGGTAAGCTCCTTGTTAGTTCTTCCCTATTTTAATTGTGAAGAGGGTCCACTCACACAATGATTTTTTTTTTTTTCTTTTCCATGCTGACTCCTGAAGGTGTGCTGGGCTAGTGACTTTGTGAGGTCCTGCTTCAAGTTACTCCATTTGTAAAGGGCAGTGGAGATAAATTCTTTTTTCTGCATTTATCTTAATTCTCTAAACTACCTTCAAGTTGGACTGAAAGGTATGGAAATAGAAAGGACAGAACTTAACATCTCAGGAAGATTTCCAGAGAAAGTTATTCTAGAAGTCTCACAGGCTAGGATTCAGACCTTCTCTTCCAGGATCATGAAACACAGATCATATGTACACAGTAATGGATGTTTTTAATAACACTCATTGTCCTTCTGGGAGCAAGGCTCAAAGCAGCTCTACCTTTCCCTTCTTAGAGATGAACATGATCAAATATTTAAGGCTAATTCTTGCCTTTATCCTTGGTCATTGTTTAAGATTGGGAGGGAAGAGAAATACCAATCTCAACCTGGGACACTTTGAGAGTTTATTTGCAGGTTCTAGCAGGGGAGTGCAGCTATTCATATATGCTTAACCAAAGACTGGTTCTCCTCCACCTGGGATGGTCATCCTCTTTGACCAAGCCCACAGCTTCTGGAGGGATGCACATGGAGTGGTAAGAGAGGGAAGGGACACACGCCTAGCCAGCCAGATCATCCAAATAAAGCCTAGTGATCAATGGGGTGACAGACGTCACAGCCAGACCGTCCTGACTTCCAACCTTGGCCACTTTGATATGCTGATATTTCTCTCAGACATTTAAGTAGAAAGGCCAGGTGTGGTGGCTCACGTCTGTAATCCCAACACTTTAGAAGGCCAAGGTGGGAGAATCACTTGAGTCCAGGAGTTCAAGACCAGCCTGGAAAATATAGTGAGACTCCATCTCTACAAAAATATTTAAAAAATAGCCCAGTGTGGTGGCACATGACTGTAGTCCCAGCTACTTGGGAGGCTGAGACAGGAGGATCATTTGAGTCCAGGAGTTCAAGGCTTCAGTGAACTGTGATTGCGCCACTGCACTCCAGCCTGGGCAACAGAGCAAGACCCCGTTTCTTTAAAAAAAAAAAGGCATTTACGTAAGAACGAGTAGGAACCAGGTAGATTTGTGACAAATTATATCAAGCTACTGGGACACAGGAACTGAACTTGGCAGCAAACCCCTCTTTTATGTAGCCTAACTTATTGAAAAGAAGAACCACTTTGTGTGATCCCTTTGATGGCTAACTTGTCCTTGTCAAGATGGCCCAATAATATTGCTGGCAACTCTGTTGACTGTTTCTGGTGAGAGTGGTCAGTTTACACAAGTTGAAGGCAGGGTTAAGACACAAATGGGAAATAAAAACCAGGAAAGACCCACACAGAAGATTTCCCCTATATCATCAAGTCATAGAGTGCCATTTTCAGCATACTCATTGCTTATCAAATAAATACTCAAAACCATGATTTGATAAAAAGAAGCATACGTCTTTCTCTTTACTAAATTAAATTGAATTAAAATTTATTTTTATTTGAAATATTTGGATGTTTCTTGAGATAAGTGTTACTGAGGTGAAATAAATTGAGGCTTACTAGCAAACAGAAGAGGACTGCTCTTGCTGTTGAAAGATCAATAGCTCTAACTCAAGCATCCCATTGCTCATAGCCCAATGCACATTAGCATATTACATGTTTTGAGAAGTCTTGCAGTGAAGAATTCTAGTTTTGCAGCACATCATACATTACATGACAATGGGGCATGTGTATTCAGGCAACATCTCTTCATTCTCTATAGAGTGCACTTTGAGAAATGTGCTGTGAGCTACGTTATAATTATTTGAATTCAACCCCACTCATTCCTACCACCTTGCACAGTGCTCAACCTATAGTAGGTGCTCGCCATATATTTAGAAATCCCTTTTCAAGGTGCTTTAGCACTCACGACATTATTTGATCCTTGAAACATAAAGTTGTCCTCTTATAGACAAGGAAGAAGAGGGACAAAAAGTTCAGTGATCTGCCCAGGGATCACACAACTAGAAGTGGTAGAATAAGGATTCTTATTGACATCTGCTCTCTCTAAAGTGTGTTTTTCATGCCACCACCCCAGGAACCACCAGGGCAAGAAGTAGAAAGTCGTTGCAATACCATAAGAATGAGAGCCACCTAACGCTACAGTCTCCTCTGCATCCCTATTCTCTCCTAAGACTCAGCATGAATGTTTCTATATCAGGCCTAGTCTCATTTTGCTTTGTTCAGGTCTGCAATCTAAACAATGGCTAAATGGGGCATGTGGTTTCCAGTCTAATTTTTCTTACTTTACCTCCTTATTTTTCTGAAAGTCTTGGCTAACCAACAACTTGGACTTTCATAGCAGGCTTGAGCTGCATCGAAGCTGGGTTACTCCTGGCTGAAATGCTAAGATACCAGGACAGATACACTGCGGTGTATGTTCCCTGACCAAGGACAGTAGGGTGTACGCGAAATTCAGGGAAATAAAACATGATTTTGGGCCCACCAAAGAGAGAAATGTTATACATTTATGGGTTGGGAAGGCTAGACTGAGCCTTGGTGAGGCAGGAAGTCCAGAAAATTCTAAGACAGTATCAGTTTTTAGTCTTTTTTAGTCCCGTCCATGTTGTCTATGCATGTGAGCTTCCTCCAGTACCCGCATATCATGGTCTTCCCTAGCACAATAGCCTAGATTGTCCATAGCCCAGGAGGCACACAGTACCTATGCCTGACCCTCAAGGCCTCCCAGAATACAGCACGCTGCCCTCTGCACACCTATCTGCCTGTCATTTCTCTATCCAGATTGGTATTCTCACTACTCACCTTCATCTCTGGCCCAAGCTCACCCAAACTGTGCCACCATTTACGCTGTCTCCTGGAACACTCTACCTGGTCCACTCTGTCTTTCTTACTCCTACCCATTCTTCAAAACTCAGATCTAGTCCCACTTCTCTGAAGTGTTCCCTGACAATTCTAGACCTCGTTGATTCTGAGTCTGACTTAGGTGGTCTCCCCTTTGGCTATATCAGGTGATAGAGTCCTGAACTAACACTTGAACTTTGCTCAGGTGCACTTGTCACACAAGATAGATTTTAAGTTTCTTGACTGTTATCACATATCTTCAAGGTCCTGTGCCACCACTTCCTCAGTTCCCTGGCAGTTAGCAGGGTTTGAGGCCCAAACAAGCACTCTAGTTCCCATTCAATCCTTGTTCATTGCATGATGTTCTCCAGATAACCCTGAAGGGGAAAGCATTTGTATAAATGAATGTACAATAGCGGATGATTTCATGAGCAATTTTTAAAGACTGGTTATTGCTAGCTTTTTTTTGTAAAGTGCTTACTAAACATCAGCTATTTATACTAGGTACTTTACATAAATTATCTCCCAACAATTCCATGATATCAGGGAATTGAGTGAGCCTCAGAGAGGTTAAACAACTTGCCCAAGCTCACACTGGAACTAGTAAAAATGAGATTCAAGTTCAATGAAGAACATTTCATTGGTGGCAGCTGCCACTCCAGGTAGGAAGTTATTCATTTTCCATTCCAGCATACTGATGCTGCAGTTGAAATCTTCCTTTGTTCCCCTAGCAGCTGGAAAATGGACTCTGCCTGTTCTGTGCCAGCCACTATGAGGCAGAAGAGCCGGGCTTTGACAAAGGACCCTTGGAAGACCAGCTTCGGTCTATGCTGTACCGCACCCCCTCTACCCGCCTATGGTCTGGAACCACTGTGGTTGCTGCCCTTCCTCCTGCCTCTTCCAGCTCCCTCCTCGTCCTCAGCCCCCAACCCTGCCATTAATGAGAATCAGAAGGAGAGTGAGTGAGGACTTGAAAGAGTAATTCCTTCCTTATTTATAGGTCTCCACTGGAGGACCAGAGGCGAGGAGTGTGGTCTCTACCCTGAAGCGAGGAGCAAAGCCCTCGTAGGGGGGCTGGGTCCTGGCTGGGCTCGGCCTGTGACCCTTTGTGCCTTAATCTCCCCAGCTGTACAATTAGGTAAAAGTTGGTCTACAATGAAAGCCAGATGTTCCATCAGGAGCAAAGTCTCCTGGGCAAACAAATTAAATAATAAATAAATGCTTTCAGTTTTACTAGCAACTGGCCATTCTGTGCCTCCTCCCAGGCTCCAATTAGAGTACTCCTGTTGTCTTGTGGGGTTTTAAAACCCAAGCATGAATAAGAAAGAGTCCTGGAAAGCCAGAAATGTTTGCTAGTTTTGATTTTGATTTTTGTTGACTGTTGGCTTGGGTTTGGTTTCATGCAATGTCACAAGACTTTTTTTTTTTTTTTTTTTTTTTGCAAATCATCGTGAGTTTTAATTTCACATTCTAGTTTGAGGGAGAGGGGCAGTTAACCAGGTGGTAACCTTTTTTGAGTAATTTGGGAGACATTGATCCTGGAACATCTAATGTGTGAAGGACTCTGGGGGATTACAGAGACATAGCGTCCTTTCTCTCAGTCTGCCTGATCCAACCCAAACCCAAGTCAGAAGGACTTGAGCTCCAGGAAAAGCACTCCTGAGCTTGGATTTCCAACTGCAGCCATTCACTTGAGAATCTCTTTAAAATGTTTATATCAGCCTTCCTGCCTTAGCATCATGTTTGTAAGTAGTCATATTTGGTTGAGTAAAGAACTTGAAAGGCCTCAGACACCTTGCTGTCATTCATTCTTTTATTAGCAAACTCATTCATTCATTCAACTAATATTTATGGAGCACCTGTTATGTACTCCACAGTATTCCTGGCATGGAGAGAGCAGCTGCAACTAAGAAGACTAAAGTTCCTGCCCCCTAATAGTAGAAAACGGAAAAAAACAGAATTCCAATTTCATAACCTGTTTTGGCATTTAGGGGTCCAGTCATTTCCATTTAAGCCTTTTAAAAATTTCAGGAAAATATGCATTGCCTGATTTAAAAAATGGTACAATTAGTGACTACCCTATGGCCAGCCACATTTGGGCAAAAGGGAGCTGAGCTTCCCGTTAGTGCAGTTGTGGCTCTCATTTAGTAAGTTCCTACTGTATGCCAAGCATGGAGATAAGCATTCCACATAAAATAAGTCACCTCATTTTATTCTCACTGCTTTAAAGTCAAGAAGACTGAATCTGCAAGCATCCTACTTGTGAAAGCTCTCCAATTTCTGCTAGCTTCTAGGAAACACAAGGAACTGTCTGGGAGAAGTGATCATAATATCTATACGTTTATTCAAAACCTACTATTTGGAAGACATTGAGCTGGCAACCCTCCATATGTTATCTTGTTCCATCCTCACAACACCTCTGTAAGGTCGATATTGTGACCCCTTTTTTTACAGCAGAGGAAGTAGAGGCTCATCAGGGTGAAGTTACTTGCCCCATGTCACACAGCTAGTTAACTATCCAAGCCAGAATTCATACCCAGATCTTTCTGATCCCTAAGTCAGCATTCTCTCAGTTTCCTCTAAGCATCATGTTTTATAAGCAAAAGAGTAAAGGCTGGAACTAAGAAAACAAGTCTGGATGGATTTATTTAGCTCCCCTTGACTTTGTAAGAGCCCGAACTCTCAAGACATGCTGTTGATATTCCCACATTCATCCCTGGAGGGTGATGACCTTCTCAATGAGCAAAAGAAGACACTAAAGCCTGGAACAATTGTGCTCTTTCCCTAAGCGCTCCTGGCAATTTCAAAGGCAGAGGGATTTCCTGGCTGTGTCCTGGTGGATTTCCATCAGAGATACTGAGTAGACACATGCTCTGGTCAGCATTTTCCTGGGTGGACGTGGATAGGGAAGGAGCTAAAGGAAAGTGACATTAGGGGATTGTCTATGCATCCATCCTTCTGTGTCCTTCTGCATAGTTCCAAATGCAGACGCAGCTCTTGGGTTCAAGAAAGATATGCCTGATTAGGATATGGGACTTTTCATTCTTCATATCTTGCCTTGTTTTTTGTTTTGTCAAAATGCACACCTTCTAATGAACAGCAATGATTTTTTGACAAATGTATACGCTCATGTAACCACCACCATTATGGCCCATATAATTTCTATCTTTCCTTTTCTCTCTCCTTCTCTTCCTCTTTTATTTTCTTCTCCTTAGATGATAATGTGTTTTCTCTGTGTGAAAGCTGGTGATCACAAATTGCGCACATTATTGGGTAGTTGTCTCTTTTGCTTGTTGTTTTTTCAATGTCTTTACTTGGCAAAATAAAAAGTTCACAACCCTAGGTCTGCAAATTTTACTAGTCTATGAAATCTAAAGAGCTATTTCTAGAAGAGGAGAAAGAGTTTGCTTGATTGGGAACATCAGAGAAAGTATGATGAAAAGGAAATGGTATTGTGGATGAGGAGTCAACATTTTTATTACAAGATGACAAACTCTGAACAAATAAAGTGGACCCAAGGCAGGATCTGAACACCACTGTCTGCCTAAGGAGGATTTAGGCAGCTAGTCCCCACATTCCACCTCGGAGTTCCCAGGTGACCTTAGAAGGGGCTGCCCCTCTCTAAGCTCATTTTGCTCATCTGTAAAGTAGAACTGGTTGGTTAAATTATATCTGTGGCTTGATTTTTCCTCTGGTAAGATTTGGATTAATTGGCATTGATTTCCCTAGAGCTGTTCAAGGTCTGAACTCTAGGCTAGCATTTCCAGCCCAAAACAAACACAGTTCTAAATATCAGGCTTCGAACAAGTTCTGCCTAAAGTTTCCCTCCACCTCTTTCTGGGAAGTAATCAAGGGGTCTCTTTCCCAGGAGACTGTAATTTGTTGAAAAGCATTTGATTGTTGTATTGAAAGGTTGCACTGTACATGTAAAAAGGTGTTTATGAGGCTTCGTACTGTATAGTTAATAACCAACCAAGACCAGAGCCTTTATAACAGGGACCCTGGCTGCGAGCATCTATACCATGCCTTGCTGAGGCCTGCGAATGTATAATTACAGTGGCTGGTGGTCTGGAATATAAACCTAGGGTGCTTGCTGCAGGCCTGGAGGGCAGCCTTCTCCTCTATCAATGGTAGCACTTTCTGTACCTTTTTCAGGCCAGGCCAAATTATGCATCCTTACTCTTTCATTCCAGCTCATTGGACACCTGCAGATTCTAAACAGTAGGCTGCAAAGTTGGCCAAGCAAGGTGCATTTTTAGATGCATTGGTAACTAAGAGCCAGGCAACAACCAGTCACAAAAGCGGTCTTGGTGTTTGCTTACTTGTGTGGGAAAACTTATGGCTAAAGGTCCAACTAGGTCAAGCTCTGACCATTCCTTGCCAGGAACAGGGAGACAGCCTCTTATGAGGTCTCCCAAATTCTAGTTTGCCCTCACTCCCCAATCCATGCCCCACACTGCAGGGAGAGCACTCTCCTAAATATAGATGTCTGACCAGGCATTTCCCTCCTTAAAACCTTCTGATGGCTTCCCCATTGCTCTCTAGGACAAAGCCCAGCCTCCTTGTGATGGACTTAGAGCCCTGCACCATCTTGTCTTCGCTGACTTCCCTGGACTCTCTGCACCACACTCCCCCTTGTTCCTAGCCTCTTTTCTCACTGACCTTCTTTTGCTTCCCTCCTGCCTCTGATTATCCATTTGAGTTATGGCAGATGCTATTCCCTTGATCTGAATGATCCTTCTTCTCTCCCAACTTCCCCCAGTACCTGGTCCCCTTCTCAGCTTGGCAAACACCTTCGTAACCTTTAAATCCCAGATCAAATGGCACTTCTTCCAAGAAGCCTTCCCTGATCTCGACCAGGTCAATTTCCTCTACTTGATTCATTTATTCTTTATTCCAAAATCACACTTCTAGAGTGCCTACTGTATGTCTGGAATTGAGTTTGCAGTTTACATGCAATAACTTATTTATGACACAGGTACTAAGAATATGGTCATTTAACAAATGAGAAACCTGAGACTCAGAGAGAGAAAGTTCTTGGCCCAGGCTGTGGGAACTGGCAAGCAACTGAACTCAAACTCCATGACTCCAAACACAAGCTCTTCTTTATGACGTTTTACTCCTGAGTGGAGAAAAAGAAGATCTAAATGATAGGTATAAAACTCAAAGATGTAAAATACCTCCCCCTAAAATGTAAAATAAAAAATGTAGGAAGACTCCAACAAAAGACACAGCCTATTAATAGCAATTGTTGACTGGTGATAGCTCTAGGAGTGCATTAATTTATCCTTTCAGTTCTTCGCTAGTTTCCTAATTTTCTGTTGTGAGATCCTATGTCTCTTACAATGGAAAGATACTCAACTTTAAGAGAGATTTAAGTAAGCAAAAGGTCTATGGCCTGAAATGTTATAACAGCCCTAGAATAAAAAAAAGTTATCCACAATATCACCAGGCTAAATAAACCAACTCTTCTCAATATTGTGTTTGCCTTCCAGGGCTCATCTCTTAAAAGTATTTTATTTATGCATAATCGTAATCATAGTGTACATTCTATTTTAGTTGTTTGTTCTTTTCACTTCATATTTGATCCTGATGATCATGTAAATAGCACTGCAATATTCCATCAAGGTGAACCTCAGTTTGGAGTCGTTAGTGGAATTCTGGCATTAACAAAGCCTCCAAGACTAGCACCATGTCTTCTACTAACACAGTCTGCTTGACTTTCATTCTATTCAGCAATTTAGTCCTTCATTCCAGAAGTATTATGTGAGTGCTTACTTTGCACCAGACATTTGCTAGATATGCTTTAACTTACCCATGCTATGTGACAGCTAGCTCCAACAGAAAGCAAAGCAATGTATTTCCTAAGAAATCTTTAAGAGACAGTAGGAAACTTCCAATGTTTAAGGGGTATCCTATACAAAGCCAATAATTTTGGCTTTCAAGATTTTTCCCTCTCATTTGATACATTTTAAATGGTGGAATTAGATAGAACCTTACAGTGTATAGAATTCTTTTGACTCCATTATCACCTTTAATTCTCCATCATCTGGAAAGTTGGAGGAATTCTCCACAAATGAGGAGACTGAGATCCCAAGAGGTCATTTGGTTTGCTCAAGGTCTCTTCATTCATGAAAAATAAGACCACACCACACATATTGTGTTTTGACTTGATTTTCTCACATATGAATAGGTCTTGGGAATATTTCTAAGCTAGAACATACCTCACTCAGTATTTTAAATAGTTGCAAGTTCTTCTGTAGAATGGATGAAACATAATTTGTTCAACTTGTTTTCTATTGATAGAAATTCATGTTGTCTCAACTTTTTCATTATTCTAATTCTACAATAAAAATTCTCGTAATATATATTTGAGTAAACTTGAGTATATTTCTGTAAAACCTGTTCTGAAATGTACATGGATCAGTGGGTATGTGCATTACAAATTTTGACAGACAGTCCAAGTAAGGCGTCCCCTCTTATTGTATAATGATAACTATTTGCCAGAAATGGTGTCAGCTCATAAAACTATTGATTTTTTAAATTTTGCCAATATTATGAGACCAAGATAATAACTCACTGTGACTTCCAGTCTGCATTTTCCTGATTGCCAGTGAGTTAGCTTGCGCATTTTTTCATATGTATAAACATCTTTCATGTTTCATCTAGGAAGAGCTTCCTAAAGTGTCTGGAAAGCTCTCTAAGAAGAGGGTCCTGGGGCTGGGGAAAGCGAGGACAGGCTTTATTCAGGGATCTTATGGTCTATGGAGTCAATCTAGAGGATAAATTGGAGCCAGAAAAGAAGAATAAATTTTAAGATCAGTAGATTAGAAATGGAGACAGAGAAAGAGAGGGAGAGGATAAGATTTAGGACATATCAAGCAGTTCATGAAATAATCCATAAAGGCAAAGAAGGCTCTGGACACTCCCTTTTTGTGGTTCCCAGTACGCACCCTACGAGTATACTGGGAACCACAGAACTCTTACGAGTTCCTCAAAGAGCCATACCAGCTTGAGCATGAAGCTTTAAGATGAAAGTCTGAGTCAGGGTAGCCCAGGGAGATTCAGATGCTTCATGAAGTTAATGGAGCTTGGTTCTCAGGGCCTCTTATTTTCTTATTAGGCCCCTCATCAGGCCCAGAAATGAGCCCTAGCAGTGAATTCACATAGTCTCATGTTTCTGTAAAAAACTTGCAAAATTAGATATTTGAACTTCAGTAGGTTAAGGCTTGTCTTTTTCCACCCTGGCTTCGTCTCCAATATACTCTGCATGTATTGAGTGGCCATGGACATTTTTTAGAAACTGATCAAAGGAACACTGAGTTGGGGGTACATTTAACTCGTATTTAGTAAGATATAGTTGACTTGTATTTAGTAACTTATATTTAGTAAGATATAGTTGAGGCAGTAGAGTAGGGTCTGGAGGCAGAGAACCTAAGGCCAATTCACGCTGACTTCCTACAACTGAGTAAAGAGGAAAACTCCAACTTTGCATGCAAAAGTAGCAAAAGGACCAGAGGCTACTCCGTTTGCAACCTTCTTCACTTTTTCTGTGTCACAGATGAAAAATGGAAAGTACCTCTAATCTAAAGTCTAAGTAACCAATCAGACTTATCTCTGGCCAGATCTTTATATGCATAAGTTTATAGCCTTGTAACTTCACTTCAACCTCTGATTGGTCTCTTTCCACAACTAATCAGACGTTCACATAGGGTCTAACTTTGTAACTTCACGTCAGCCTCTGATTGATCTCTTTCTGCAACCAATCAGGCTGATCATGGGCCACCACTTCATTTACATAAGGTGTACACCAAGTAACCAATGGGAAACCTTTAAACCCCAGAAAATTCTGTAACCAGGGCTCCTGAGCATTTGTTCAAGCCTGCTCCCACCTTGTGGAGCATACTTTAGTTTTTGATAAATCTCTGCTTTTGTTGTTTTGTTCTTTCCTTGCTTTGTGCATTTTGTCCAATTCTTTGTTCAAAACTCCAAGAACCTGGACACCTTGCAGTCAAGACCTTCCACGGGTAACTCCATGGGTAACATAGTTACCTGTCTCATAATGTCTACGGACAGTAAGTTGTTGCTAGTTGCCTCTGTGTAAGTGTGGCTTCAAGAACACTCCTCCTACCCACATGGCCAACTCATCTGCATAATGATATGAAGGAGTGAGTACAGAGACTGTGTATGAACAGGAATGTGTCCTGGGGTACTTGGCTTCAGAATTTGAGGGGCAGAAGAGAAAAAAGAAGTTTGAGAGATAGAAGGGCAGAAGCGAAGCTATGAAAAATTCTATGTTAATCAGATATGCGCAATTATAAGCAGAAATTTCTGTTCACATTGACTCTTAGTCAAAATAGAAGTTCTTTCCTGTCAGAATATACTCAGTAAAGTAGCATTTTTTGACTCTATAATTATAAACCCACCACAATTTTTGTGAGAATCCATGAAATATAATTTATCAGAAATATTGTGTGTGAAGGATGCAAATCTGTATCCTTCGGTGAGTACATCTATCTGTGAAATTGCATGTTTTATGCATCCCAAGTATCATATTTTTATGACTTTTGATCAACTCTACTAGAGGAAAGGCTAAATTATCTTTCTCTTCTTTCTTTAGGAAATATTACAAAGCCATCATCATAGGAAGAAGCAAAGAGTGTGACAGCCAAAATCGTAGAAAAAAATCACTGTAGAGATATATCAAGTAGTTAATTAATTAAAAAATTATTTTATTTTTCTGGATATTGCAGTTTATTAATATTGTCAGCTTTTTAATATTAGTATTGCCATAATTTCTTTTCTTATTCTAAATAAACATTATTTTTATGCCTAAGATGTGGTCATGACTGTGCATTCTTTTACTTGATAAGGGCTCCAAAATGGAAATATTCTGCAGGCCCCACAATCTATAAGAGATTAGCAGGCCTGGAGTTGGAGCTGGTCTCAGTGAATTTTTTTTTTTTTTAAATGAAGATGAATCCTCACCATATTGCCCAGGCTGGACTCAAACTCCTGGGCTCAAGTGATTCTCCCACCTCAGCTTCCCTAGTAGCTGGGACTACAGGTGTGCATTACTGCAGGATGCCCATTTACTTTAAGGACTTCTTTACTCTAGACTATAAGCACAAGAAAATATGGGTTTATTTCTTCTTTTGTTTAAACTCTTATATTACTAATACACCTTCAGTGATCAGTGTAAAGTAAGCCCTCAGTAAACATTTACTGCATAAATGAATGACCCCTTCTCATTCTAAGATTATCCTCCATGAGTCTTTTGTTTCCTATGACAGATCCCATTGTTATTCAAAAATATTCACTATTTTCCCTATTCTCACTGCCCTAGGAGCAATATACTTTCCCATTCTGCTGATACTGAGCATGGCCATGTGACTTGCTTCGGCCTCATGGTGGGAGGAATACACTGACTGTTCTTCAGCTAGTCTGCTGATTAAAGGAGATGAGTGGAGTAAACCTGAACCCAACCTGCAGCCTTTGGGCCTCTGAGCATAACTGGAGGCCGACTTCAGCCCCGTTTCCTGGTTTTTGTCTTGTGTCTAAAATGTAGTCAGGAAATCATACCCCTCCCTCTTCAAGCAGACACATGGGTAGGGGTACAATGAACTAGCAAAAGTGAGAGGCAAGAAAAACAGCCTTGCAATGCAACCATTTAGACAAAGTCAAATATAGATTTAACAACTAATTATAGGAGAAAGCTGCAAAGTGCGTTATAAAATCAAGTGTTTGCACAGAAACATTTTTGCTAGAAAGCAAAGTGGTAGCTCATTTGCATGTTTGGTATTGTTAGCATACAAAGGAGCTGAACTGCTAAAATTAAGATAGTGAGTTGTTTGAAAACCTCATTTTAAAATAGAATAAATCACACCACAGACAGATGTTTAAGAGGGTGCCTGATGTGTGGAGAGCTGGCCTCAAGTGTGAGGCTTGGCAGCATTTGAGACTTTACTCCAGAAAGGCCAACCCCAATCTCTTCCAGGAAGATCAGGGAGCTGGGAGCAGGAATGTGGGAAGCTCAGCATCTGAGGCTTCCTGGGGTGGCATCATGGTTGAGACTTTATAGTCTGAGTCTAGTCCAGGAGAGTGAGTGTCAAAGCTGGCAAGTCACCAGGGACTAAGAAATTGAGATGGAGAAGGAAATCCTTTTGGACCCTGTCGGTTCTCCCCACCCAAGCATAAAAACAAAGGAAAACCTTGAGTTCCTTCAAGGTAAATTCCAGGCACCTACCTAGCCCTGAGAACTCAATGAGCAATTTAGTAAGCAAAAAGGTGGTAGTGCCTGGAAACAATAGCCAAGGAAGCTGAAGTCACTGGATGTTTAGTTCCCCTATAAAAACTAAAGATTACATCTTAGCATATGTCCCTGAGTTGTTTGTCAGAAACCCAGACACTCACTAAATGGATCTGCTGGCACATAGACTTCAGATAAGAGGGAACTGAGGGCAGAGCTCTAACCTCTGATTTTTGTTCTAAATTTCTTCCTGGGGAGTCTGGAGGAGGTCATGCCCACGACCTGGAGCTAACATGCTTTTTCTGCTGATTCCAAATGTTTAGACAACTCTTTGCCTCCTTAACCAATTACAAATCAGAAAATCTCTGAATGCACCCATGACCTGTGGGCCCCTGTTTAAGGTGTTCCCCCTTTTTAGGCCAAATCAATGTAGACCCTTCATGTATTGACTTAAGACTGCCTGTAACCTCTGCCTGCCTGCCTTTAGAAACCTTTGCCTGCAAGTTATTGCAAAGGGATGAGAGGGACCTGGGTCTTAAGCATGAGCTGCCTGATTCTCCTCGCTTGGTGCCCTGCAAGTAAATGCCCTCCTTTCTCCTGCTGCAAACCTCAGTGTGAATATTTGGCTTTACTGTGCCAGACGAGTGACCCTAGGTTGGTTTGTTAATAAAATGTCTGTGTGCCAGGTGTATGTCAGTGGTTCCACATGCAGCAGGATGAGTCAAGGAAGGCTCTTGGGACACCCAGAATGTCACGGGCACCCACGCTTGGGGGCTGCCCCTGCACTTGCTTGGCCCTGTGAGGGAGCACCTCCCTTAGCTCACAAATGCTAGTCTTGGCTCTGACATTCGGGTTCAATTTTTACCCTCACCCATCTTTGTCATCTAAAATATTATTATTAAAATCCTGTTTTACAGATGGAAATGTGGAGGATGGGAGAGGTTCCAAAATGTCACCAAAGTCCAATGGACAATAATTGGGTTGACTCTGGCACAACCCAAGTCTAACTGCAGGGATCAGTCAGCATCAAACTTTTGAAATTACCCCAGTGTGGTGGGGCACGTGCCTGTGGTCCCTCCCAGCTATTTGGGAGGCTGATGTGGAAAGGTTCCTTGAGCTCACGATTGTGTCACTGCACTCCAGCCTGGGCTGGAGACCTTCCAGAATGAACAAACAAACAAACAAAAAACAACAAAACAAAAACCTTTTTTATTGTCTGCTTTACTGTGAAGAAAATGTGTGAACATACACTTCCATCTATGCCTACTTATTTATTTGAAAAGCATATGCATGCACAACTATATTATCTACTTTATATAGCATGCCCAGAAATAGAGTAATAAAAATGAAATAAAGAAAAAAATAAAAATATTATTTTCTTCACATACCAAAATTTGTTATTTTGCATTTTTGAGGGTGTGATAATTTCCCCGCATTGGAAAGAAGTGCTTAACTACTATGCCTTTCATTCTTACTTCTTCTAGGCTAGGGGAACATTTATTATAAGAGTTCACAGAACCCTGTCCCTCATTTTTATTGATGTACACTATATTAGTTTCCTATTTTTGCTATAACAAATTACCATAAACTTAGTGGCTTAAAATAATACATATTTATTCTTTTGCAGTTCTGGAGGTCGGAAGTCCAAAATCAGTCTCACTGAGCTAAAGTCAAGGTGTCAGAGTGTGAGTCCTTCTAGAGGAAGGAAACATTTTAGCCTGTAGGGGCCACCTTTGCTCACTGGCTATGGTCCCCTTCTTCATTTTCAAAGTAGATCACTCTAATCATCACCTGTTCTTCTCCTCCTCTGACTTTGCGTCTCCTGATGATCCTTCTGATTACATTGAGCCCACCCAGAAAATCCAGGATAATCTACCCATCTAAAGACCTTTAACTAAATCACTTCTGAAAAGTCATGTTTGCCATATAAGGTAACATTCACAGGTTCAGAGGATTAGGATGTGAAGATATATACGACAAGTCATTATTCAGCCTACCATAACATCTCCCACAATTTTTGCTTAATCATGGCTTTCTATAGATTCAAATCTCCACAAGAACAGGTCACCACCTAGAGTGACTGACTGCCCTGCTTTGCCTGGGACCTTACTGGTATTTGCCCTAAAATTCCCATGTCCCTGGAAGTGTTTCATTTCCAGGCACACCAGGATGGTAGGTCCTTTTACTCCCACCTGTAGGTGCAATGCCTTATTTAGAATTTGCACTTATTGAGTGTTAAATTGACTCCCCTTCAAAATTTCTCTAGACTTTTCTAATCCTTTTAACTCTTCTTTCTGGCCCAGGTCATCCCAGAATCTTGAATATTCATCCAAGCCCTAGCTTCATTTTATAACCTTTATATTCCTATATACATAGCACATTATGCAAATTAATTATTTTATGAAGGCAAGTCCTGATGTCCCACTTAACATGTTAAATCCATAAAACCGCACATTAAATGTCTTCAATTTGTATCCTGTTTAATACCTAAAACAGTCCTAACAGTCCTAAATCTCAACAAAAATTCAGAGTAGGTTCATTCTGCCTTGCCAGCAGCACTCACTCAAGATAGCTACACAAAACTGTCAAGTAATAAAGTGGTTAATGGAGATGAAGAAGAAAGCAGAGTGTGAGGGTCTTAAATGGTGATAAATTGTTGGACGTGGTAAATTCAAAGCCATTGCCTAAAGCAGAAGTTCCCAAACTTTAGTAATTTTTATGGTATTTGAAATACTGTGCCATGTCTGCATCAACTGTACTATTATTCTCTTATCTTCACAACAACTCATTTTTTTGGAACTTAAATACATTGACAAACCCAAAATATTTAGTAAAGCTGTATTTTTTCCCAATAGACATAATGATAAATATGAGATTATTGGAATGAACATCTTTCTTTATATAAGTATTAGTTATCTATTTTCTGTGTAATGAGTGTAATGTGTAGGGGCTTACTTGAGTCTTCTGGGTCAAGGTCTCTCAAAGGTTGCAATTGCGGTGTTAGTCAGGGCAGCTCTTGACTCAAGGCTGGACTGGGTGAGGACCTGATACAAAGCTCACTCAGTGATTGTTGGCAAGATTCAGATCTTCACTGGCCAATGACCAGAGGCCACCTCCATTCCTTGCCACATGTACCTCTCCATAGAGCAGCTCAGAACATGGCAGCTGGCTTCATGAAATTGAGCAAGTGAGAGAGTGAGAGAGGGTACACTTACTAGACGATGTCTTAGTCCCGTAACCCACCACATCTTGGAAGTGACATCCCAGCACATTGGAAACACGTCACATTGCCCCAACCCAAACTTAAAAAGAGGGGATTATCCAAGTGTGTAAATACCAGCAGGTAGGAATCACTGGAGGCCATGTTTGAAGTCAGTCTACCATAATATTCCATCTGAAATCCACTTGCTTACTCTTCAGGGTCTGTGCATAGTGCACTTTGGCAATCCCTCAAATTATGGATGCAGTAAGTTGAATTTGGCATGAGTTGCAATGGGATGAAAGGGATTTGGGGAGGTTGAGGAGGGAAAGAGTGCAGTACAGCCACAGAAACTGGAAAAGACATGGATGTGTGACAAAGAAGGTAAGTGAGAGGCTGCACGCAAATCAGAGTGGTTAGCTGGAGTGGAGGAATCACACTAGAAAAAGATGAGGCTCGAGAGTTTTCTGAACTAGGAGAAAAGCCCAGAACCATTTAGCCAGGCTCCACCCTTCCGTTGTACATGTCAGCCTCACCTCAGTGGAAAGCTGAGTAATACCTTCTTCGGTTACAAAGAAAATTATTCTAGATAGATTTTTACAGGTAGCATTTGATAAAGGTGGATTTGATGTAAAAGCTTCAGACTTGGATGCAGATTTTTCAAACTGTTCTTTGCTGCTCTCCTTATACTGAGAACTCCTCCTATTCCTTGAGAATCAAAATCTTATCCAGTTCTCAAGAGTAAGGGTCAGCAAACTCCAAGAGCCAAACCCGGCCAGCTGCCTATTGGTTTATGACCTAAGAGCTAAGAATGAGTTTTACATTTTGAAATGGTTACATTTTAAGTGTTTATACAAGTACCTGCACAATAGCTTTAATTTTGCCCCACAAATAGCACAGCCTAAAATATTTATTATCTGGCTGTTTAAAAAAAGTTTGCTAATCCCTGCTCTAGAGTTCCCCAAACCCTTGCCCAGCACAAAAAAGGGGATCAAAAAGAGTGAGCTATGTGGTTGTTTTATTTTTTGAGAGAGAGAAAGAGGAAGAGGGGAAGGCATGGAAGGCTGAAGGGCAGATCCAGTATGCACAGTTCTCTAGGGTCCAAGCCCATCTTTACCTGTGCTGCTTAATATACACCAGTGCTGGCACTTGCAGATGCTGTTTCCAGATTTTACTGTCTTTCAAATTATCAGAATCTCTAATAAGAAAGAAAGTGAAATATTCCCTAGGTTGAAAAATAAACATCATTTAACTCAAGCAAGAAAGAAGAAGCATCGCTGTCTTCAAAGTGTATCCCATTCTCAGGAAACTACTGTGGTAGTGATGTAAGAGGAAATGGAGCAGTGCTCAACACAAACCTTTAGTTCAAGAAACAGAGGGGAGAGAGATGGAAGAGAAACAGGTCTCGAAAGAGTACCAAGGGACCCAGAATCAATAGAAGGAGACATAAGCAAAAAGGTTACACACATTTTTTTCCCTTAAAAAGAGTACAGCACAGAAATTCCAACATCTTCAAGAATAGAGAATAAGATTTGAAGGCTTTCCCATAAGAGTCACGTTTGCAGCAAAATTTTGGGTGTCTTGTCATTAAAAATAGAATAGAATAAATTTGAAAACCCCAGAGACTTAGAACCTATGGCAGAATTATCAATCCATTGGCATGAAGGGATCAGACTGAACTACATGAGACAGAGGAAGTCTTTCTATCCCATAACACAATAATAACCTATATCTAAGAGTAGAAAAGACACCAGTGGAAGAAGCATTTGGCTTTCTCAACCTCAGAGGCCAGCCTTTCCAGTTGGTGTCATATCACATCCTTCATGTGTCAATGAACAGCTTGAAGACACTCTTTTTTTTTATTATTCTTGTTTTTCTGAAACATTCACTCTGTCACCCAGGCTGGAGTGCAGTGGTGAGATCTAGGCTCACTGCAACCTTCACCTCCGGGGTTCAAGCAATTCTCCTGCCTCAGCCTCCTGAGTAGCTGGGATTACACATATCTGCCACCATGCCCAGCTAGTTTACATATTTTTGGTAGAGACGGTGTTTTACCACATTGGCAAGGCTACTCTCGAACTCCTGATATCAAGTGATCCACCCACCTCAGTCTCCCAAAGACAGTCCCTCTTAACATCCCACAATGCTTCTTGGAAATGGGTTGGAACAAATAAATTCGTTAATGAACATAGGGTGAGTTGCACTGCCCCAGTCATTGATACCTTAGTTATTGGCTTTTTAAGCATCAGGAGGCTTTAATGTACCTATCACTGAAAACCCAAATCAAACTGATAATAAAATAAATGTATTGGTTCACTTGGAGAAAAAGCACCATAGTATTACATTTCAGCCATAGTTTTATCAGGGATCTGCCTCCATTTCTCCACACCTGTCTCACCTTTGCCCTTCCTTATGTGTTAACTACAACATCTATTTCCCTTGTGGTTGCAAGTGTCCATCAGCAGGAGCTGGAGCTAGATGCTCCACCATAGAGTGAGACACCTTTACTTCCCACAAGCATCTAACAAAGCTCTGAGCTTCATTCTGACCTCACCATTTTAGAGGACAGGTCCATTCATGAACCAATCACAGTGCAAGAGGGTGATGTGCCTCTGGCTGGTGTAGACCATCCAGGGTCCACTTCAAGATCTTAGAGAAGATCAGTCTCACCCAAATCACAGCACTCACTGTGGAGGAAGGAGTTGCCATGGATTAGCAACTTCAGCATGTGTTACTTCTGTTGGTCAGGTGAGAGGCAAGGGAAGCCTCCTTTCTCCTCCTTTTGTTTTTCCTCTCCTACAGATGCATATCTTGTTTACCTGGAGTTGGGTTTAACTTCCTGGAGCTGTGGAGCAACAGAAACTTTCACTCTCATGCTCCTCAATGGCCATGGAAACATATCCTCCCTTGTCTCCAGGACTCAAAAATGAACTGGTTAGTGTGGGAAAGTATTCTGCTTCAAAAGGAGTGGCCTAGAGTAGACTTTCTCAAAGTGTAACCCTTAACCCTTGGGCATTAGAAATGTCTGGGATTCTTGAATAAAAGGAAGGACTGAAAAACTGAACTCTATGTCTCACATGTCAGGGCTCAGTAAGCCATATTTCCAACACAATTCCCAAGTGATTTCACCTACTACACTTTTGAGAACTTGGGGTTTTGAATATAAGAAATATATTGTATTGATAAAGGGAACTTTGACATTCACCACTGCCACCATCACCACGATGTTCAAAAAAATGGCTTCTTACCTATTACCAACCAATCCTTACCATATCCATGAGGGACTGAGCAGGAATTGTGACATCCATTTTCAGAAAAAGAAGCAGAAGACCAGAAAAGAAGCAAAATATAGGTAGGTTAGCAGGGTAAATGACCTTTCAATAGTAACCATTGTGTCATTAATATTGCTTAAAGTCACATGGTAAACAGGAAGTTTACACTTCTGGCCAAGATAGATAAAGTAACAGATTTACCCTCGTGCTTGAACAATCAAAATAAACAGACAAAATATATGAAACAATGGTTTTCAAGACATTGGACATAATAAAATAAAGACAGTTGGCTGGGCACCATAGCTCATGCCTGTAATCCCAGCACTTTGGGAGGCCGAGGTAGACAGATCGTTTGAGGCCAGGAGCTCCAGACCAGCCTGGCCAACAAGGTGAAACCCTGTCTCTACTAAAAATACAAAAATTAGCCAGGCGTGGTGGCTCACACCTGCAGTCCCAGATACTCAGGAGGCTGAGGCATGAAAATCACGTGAATCCAGGAGGTAAAGGTTGCAGTGAGCCAAGATCACACCACTACACTCCAGCCTGGGCGACAGGGTGAGACTCTGTCTCAAAAAAAAAAAAAAAGAAAAGAAAAGAAAAGTAAAAAGACAGACAGTGATCCCTGAGAAAGAAAACACCAAACCAAACGGGCCTACAATTGCCCCAGCTTACTGCCTTGAGAGGTTTCCAGGCCATGGCATGGAGAAACAAAACTCAGGGAGAGCCCAGCAGACTCCTTGAGTTTAAGAAAGGGAGTTGAGGGTCTCGGGACTCAAGAAGGCTAGAGTTCACAGGACTAGTAACAGAAGAGAGAAGTGAACACAGCAAAGCCTGGAGCTCTTCTGAGAGTCCCCTCTGAATATTCAGCATAGTAGTGATTTGTGCATGCAAGTGAGGAAACTACGCAAGGCTGGGGAAAGAACAATTCAATTAGAGGATTAGAGGGAAGAATGCTGAGTGCTTGCACAGGGCTGGGCACCGTGCCTGTTCCCACAGCCCAGAGAGGAAAAACTCATAATTCGTGAAACATTGGGTAGAATACTCAGGAATCAGGAATGGTATTGACTCAGGAATTGGGAATAATTAGCCTTAAACTAAGTACTGCTCCTGACCCACCTAACAAATGGTATAGAAATAAAAGCTGGCTTCAAAAGGAACAAACTGTTTCTAAGTAACTCAACTGTATCTCAGAACAAAAGTCAAGAGTATTAACAGGAATACAAAAATATCCAGCACTCAGAGATTACCAGGCAGGCAAATTAAAAACACACTGTGATATTTTTACATACCTACTAGAATGGCTAAAATGAAAAAGTTTTAACACTTAGCTAAAAAGCTAAGTGTTGGTGATGATGTGGAGGAACTGGAACTCTCATGTCCTGCTTATAGAAATGTAACCACTTTGAAAAACAATTTGGCAGTTTCTTAAAAAGATGAACTTGTGCCTACCATATGACCCAGTCGTTTTACTTCCAGGAATTTACCCAAAAAGAAATGAAAGTATATGCCCATACTAAGATTTGTCCACAAATATTCATATGAGCTTTATTTGTAATAGTCGAAAGCTAGAAACAATCCAATGTCAATCAACTGTTGAATCAATAAACAAATTGTAGTATATCTACATGAATTAGTATTATTCCTCAATAGAAAGGAATAAACTGTGGGTGCATGTTACAACAGTTGTCACTCTCATAATAATTATAGAACGAAAATATATCACACCAAAAAGATTACGTGTGGTATGGCTCCATTTACATCAAATTATTGGAAATAAAAACTAATATATAGTAACAGAAATTAAATCAGTGGATGTCTGGGGAGGAGGGTGACAAGGGAGAGACTACAAAGAGTCATGGAGAAACTTTTGGTGGTGACTAATTTGTTCATTATATTGATTGCGGTAGTGGCTTTGGGAATGCATACATGAATCAGCATTTATCATATTATGATATAATAAATTCATAAATGCATAAACTGCACAATTTATATATGTGCAGTTTATTATATGTCAATTATGCCTTAGTAAAACTGATCTAAAAAGTTACATATGAAAAAACTCAATATTATAAATCTGTCAATTATCTCCAACTTGATCTATAGATTCGACACAATCTCAATATAAATTCCAGCATGCTCTTCTGTAGATATGAACAAATTGATTTTAAAGTTTATATTAAAAAAGCAAAAGCCTCAAAATAGCCAAGACAATGCTGAAAATTAAAAAAAAAAACAAAGTTGGAAGAATGACGTTACCCAACTTCAGGACTTACGATAAACCTACGGTAATCCAGACAGTATAGTATTGGAAAAAGAATAGACATATAAAGGAATGGAACAGAATAGAAATCCCAGAAATAAACCCCCACTGATATAGTCAACTGATCTTTGACAAAAGAGCAAAAGTAATTCAATGGAAAAAAGATAGAAGATAGTCTTTTTAACAAATGATACTTGGAACCATACAAAAAAAAAAGACAAAAGGAAGAGAAAGAAAGGAAGGAACAAAGGGAAGAAGGAAAGAAGAAATAATTTAAGCACAGAACTTACACCTTTTACAAAAATTAACTCAAAATGGATCATAGACTTAAATGAAAAAGTCAAAACTATAAAACTTCTATCATTTCTGAATTTTCTTGTGGAAAAAATCATTATAACACTTCAAGAAGGTAACACAAGAGAAAATCTAGGTGACTTTAGTTTTGGCAATTCATTTTCTGATATAGCACTAAATGCACAATCAATAAGAAGACAAATTGATAAGCTGGACTTTATTAAAGTTAAGAATCTCTGCTTTGCAAAAGATAGTGTTATCAAAATAAAAAAAACAAACCACAGATTAAGAGAAAAACTTTGCGAAACATGTACCTAATCCAAAATATACAGACAACTTTTAAACTTTTAAACAAGAAAAGAAATAAACAGCACAATCTAAAAATGGGTAAAAGATCTGAACAGACACCTCTCCAAAGAAGATATACTTATGGCAAATAAGCATATGAAAACTTGTTCAACATCATTTATCTTTAGGGAGATGCAATTTAAATGAACAGTGATATTACTATGGAACACGTATTAGAATTAAGATGTTAAAATTCAAAACACTGAATACACCAAATTCTGGGAAGGTTGTGGAGCAACAGAAACACTTCTCCTTCATTTCTATGAGAATGCAGAAAGAACAGCTACTTTGGAAGACAGTTTGGCAGTTTTCTCACAAAGCTAAGCACAGTCTTGCCATATGGTCCAGCAATTGTGCTTCTAATATTTATCCAATTGAATTAGAAACTTTTGTCCACACAAAAATATGCACATAAATGTTTATAGACGCTTTACTCAAGACCATCAAAAACTGCAAGAAACTAAGATGTACTTCAATGGGCAAATAAATCAACTGTGGAGCATCCGTGTTATGGAATATTATTCAGTTATAAAAAGAAATGAGCTATCAAGACACACACAGACATGGAAGAATGTAAATGCATATTGTTTAGTGAAAGAAGCCACTTTGAAGAGATTACATACCATTTGATTCCAATTATAGTACATTTTGAAAAAGGAAAAATTATAGAGAAAGTAAAAACGTCAATGATTGCCAGGAGTTTGAGAGGGAAGACAGAGGGATAAACAGGTGAAGCACAATCAGAGTGGTGAAACTATTCTGTGTGATACTGTGAGGGAGGATACCTGACATTATGCCTTTGTCAAAACCCATAGAACTTTACAGTGCAAAGGGTGAACCTTCATGTATACATATTTGAAAAAAAATTTAGGAGGTCAGGGGATCCCAGGAAAAAATGCAATCTGTGATAAGAGACTCTAACTGTAGCACAAATGTCTGAAATAACATCACTAGAGGGGACAAGGGTAAAGGTACTGATTGGAACATTGGAAATGAATAGGATCTGTAAGATTAAAGGCAGGAGGAACTGCACATAAGCACTGTACTCCCATTGATAAAGTTGTTTCCCATGGGGGACTAGATTAATAATTTTGATAATGCTATATGTGTAAACTAGAATGTTGTAATAGGGATTTATATAAGTATGGGCAGGAGACCAGAATGATCTATATGTTTAAAAATCCGAGTCAAAGACCTCAGTAAGAACTGATATTTATCTCAAAATAGAGATGATAACATATAGAAATACTTATAGATATGCATACATATATACACGGGTATTATACACACATATACAGTATTTCTTTGCTCTATTAGCTAAGAGGGTCTAGATTCAAAGATGGCTCAATAGCAACAAACATACTTATTGGCCAGATCTTGGTTCCTAATATTATTCTCCAATAAAAATAACCAGAGTTTCTTGAAACAATGTCTGATTGCAGGACTGGGGTGAGAAATAAACAAGATGAGCTAGGAACATCTTATAGTGCTAGAAAACCAGGAAGTCTTTAAGAACAATAATGCCATATCAATGAGGGTATGTCAAAGGCATATAGGAGCCAAAAGAGACGGCCCAGTAGTCAAAGCTGAAACAATTTGAGCAACAAAATAAACAAGGTAATATTAGGTTATAACCCAAAATATGAAATAAATATTGATGAGTGCATACTGATATAAATAAGTAATTGTATAAACTAATAAAAGTGGAAGAAGAGGCAAGTCTCCCATGTGACAGAATTCTAAACAAATTACTTAAATACTCCACCCTTAAGGACGGACTACATAACTGCCCATGCATTAAGTGTGTGCTACACACAGTGACATCCTTCTACAGAGTATGGAAAGGGGAAAGTAACTTAACAGTGGAGAAATGTGGCTAACACTGCCTACGCCAGGTGACCAAGGTCAACATCAACAGTGATAAAACACCTTGATGTATGATGTATCCTTGATATGATCTGATTAAAATGGTACGTTTCCTCTGTAATCCTCTTTCTAAAAAGCCATAGCCTCATCCAATCGTGAGAAAAACATCAGACAAATTCCAATAGAGAGACGTTGTACGATATATCTGACCAGTGTATCTTAAAGCTGTTGAGGTCATCAAAAACAAGGAAAGTCTGAGAAACTGTCACAGCCAAGAGGAATCTAAGGAGACATGATGACTAAATGTAACATGGCGTCTTGGGTAGGATCCTGGAACAGAAAAAGGAGATTAAGTAAAAACTAAAGAAATCAGAATAAACTATGGATGTTAGTTGATAATGTATTAATATTTGTTCATTAATTGTAACAAATATATCACACTAATATAAAATGGTAATAAAAGAACTGTGTGTGTATGTGTGTGTGTGCATGTGTGTGTGTGCATGTGTGTGCATGTCTGTGTGTGCATGGTAATAGAAAAACACTCTGGACTATCTTCTCAATTTTTCTGTAAATCTGAAACTGTTTTAAAGGGTAAAATCTTGCGGGATGCAGTGGCTCATGCCTGTAATCCCAGCACTTTGGGAGGCCAAGGCAGATGCATGCCTTGAGCCCAGGAGTTCAAGACCAACCTGGGCAACTTGGCAAAACCCTGTCTGTACAAAAAAAACCACAAAAATTAGCTGGGCATGGTGGTGTGCCCCTGTAGTCCCAGTTACTGGAGAGGCTGAAGTGGAAGGGTCGCTTGAGGCCAGGAGGTTGAGGCTGCAGTGAGCTGTGATTGCACCATTACACTCCAGCCTGGTGATAGAGCAACCCTGTTTCAAAAAGAAAAAAAAAAGGTAAAATCTACCAATTAAAAAACAAAGTCACATGATTTGTGAGGTCCAGAGATGAGACCCAGGCCCCAGGTGTCTAGACTCTAAGACCAGGCTCCTTCTATTACGTAAAATTTGCCTTGCCTTTTGCAATTAGTGACTAACATGAAATATTTCAGTTGCGGCCAGTACTACCTGGGGATGAGTTGGAGAGCCTACCACCTAAGTCTCTCGAAGCTGGGCCAGTTCTGTGTGTCCTGCCTGTGTCTCCGAATGGTTAACACCGCTCATATGCAGGAGGGGGAAGGGGCAGGTTTACCTCCTACAGAGTTTATGGAAGCCCAGGATCTCATACCATATACAACTTAAGCCTCATGTTTATGTCTGGGAATATATTAAATGCCATCTGCCTAACCATTTGCCATGTTATAAATTAAGGCGACATCAACAGTGCTGTAACACTAAGGAGCACTCTGCTGTCTTCCAGTTTGATATTAAATGGGTTTTGTTACCAAACTCTTCTGACAAACATGAAAAGAACAGTTGCAAGCCTTCTGGAGGAGCAGATGGTCCCGGAGGCTTCCCAGCACAGGCTCTCTGTGAAAGTTCCAGGGTTTACATTTTCTCTGCTGCAAAGAGTTGGCTGTGTTGTGGTTGCTATAGAGGAGAGCAAACACTGCTGTGGAGGAAGTTGAACCCTGGTCCTGTCGCTTTCTTGCTGTGTGAACTTGTGTAGGTTATTCAACATTTTAGAATCTCAGTTTTCTTTCCTGTAAAATGGGGATAACAATGCCAACTTTAGAGCATCGTTATGAGACTAAAATGAGAAAACTCAGTCTTTCTCTACTTATACTTGATACACAGTGGCAAATATATTTTACACTGTGACCTAGTGTGCACACATGTGCACATACACACACCCCCACACATGTAATTAAAACAGAGTTTTCATCAAACCAAACTAGTCCTTCTGAGGGATTAGACACTTTGATATTTTCCACTGTAACAAAATTTATTCTAGTCTATTCTGTTGTGTTCTCTTCTATTTCACAGGCAACCCAGTAAATTAATTTAGACCTACTGAAGGCTTACAATCTCCAGATTAAAAAACACTAAAGTAGTACGCTTAAACATGTAAAAAAGTGCTTGGAACATGAAATATATAAAATAAATGTTAGCTGTTAATATTATTATTATCGATAATATTATTAACTGTGTCAAGGTGATGTGAAAAGTTGGAATACAAAACAGCGTCAACTTTTCTCCCACTCTTTCCAGAAACCTAGTCAATGGGCTCATCCTGTCCTAATCCTGAATTGCATCTGCTGCCCCAAACGGTAGCATTCCAGTAATTCAAATGTCCAGGGCAATGTGCTTATTGAGCCCAAATACTTGAACTCAAGCAGGAGCTTCTGTCTCTCTTGGCTCCTTTCTGCCTCTAGCAAGGTCAGATTCTTTCTCTTTCTCATCTTTCTGCTATTTCAGAGTCCCGAGCAGGACCATCCCCCATGTGCCCACAGCAGTAACCTGCTCATTAACATGTGATGTATTCCTTCCCTTCCCTGGCTCACTTCCTATTCCCCTTCCTATTCACCAGTGCTTCCTGGGATCACCTCCAAAATAAACTCACATTCCAATCTCAGCATCAGCTTCTGGGAGAACCCAACCTAGGACAGTTCTGTGTGTGCTCTCCAGCCTTACTCTACCTACCAAGTCAGCCTCACATCAGACACAGGGGTATTAATGGTACAGGGCAGGCGAATCTCCACATTGGGGCTTAGCCTGGGAAGGTTCTTGGCTTTGCTCACGAAATAATTCAGGAGCAAGCTGGTAGTAGAAGAAAACAGCTTTATTGAGGCAGCAGTGTTATAGCTCTGTGACTGCTCCTGCAGAGCAGGGCTACCCTATAGGCAGTGTGTAAAGAGTAGCAGCTCAGGGAAGTTCTGCGGTCATACTTCTACCTGCTGTTAATTACATGAAAATTAAGGCATGGGTTATTTAGAAATTTCTAGATGAAGTGTGGTAACTTCTGGGTTGTTGCCAAGTGAAGGGAGGGAGGAGGGTAGCTTCCTGGTGTTCCCATGGCAGTGGTAAACTCTCATGGCACTGGTGGGCATGTTTTATAGGGAGGTGCTTTTGGTGACTCTTCCCTGTGTCAGCCAGTTCTTCAATCTGGTCCAGAGTAAAGTCCCACCTCCTACTTCATCAAGACCTATAGATTTATCAATGTCATTTCCACTCATGCAAGTTCCCAAGTCAGATGGAAACAGATAAAGATGGTCTACCAATCCTCAGATGAATGGGGACCACCTATTGAGCACCTAGGAGCTTTTCTTCTTTGTCTACATCCTCTACTTGTAGATGAGTCTTCTATCTCACATGGGTCTGTGTGCCTACGGACTTCTTCAAATAGCACATGACATCTATCTGCCCATCTTTTCAGTTTGTTTTTCAACCAAGTAAACAAAGTGCTCTGATCTTAAACATGGAATAGATTTATTTGCCTAGCTTTCTTAAAACATACCTAATATCCTCCAGGTCTAGAAGGGCCACCCCGCTGTATAACTCACAAAAGCACCCACAAAACTACATTTTCTTCAGACAGAACATATCTTTTATTAGGCTTATGTCTGTGATAATGATGCAGGTGAATTTTATCATTCCTTTCACCCTACTAGTAATGAACAAATTCACTGTGTATTACTTTGGACTTGATCTCTGGCAAAACACTACTGGAACAAACAATTTGATTTGTCAACACCTTTACAAGGGCTCCTCAATCAATGTCACAAATCCAAATTTAAACAGCAAAGTACATTTGACTGCAAGACCCTGGACTGATTAGAGCTCCGAGTTCAGAGAATTGCTCCAGACAGGGCAGCAATCAGATTATTAACTCCACTTGAAAATACTCTCTGCTGCCTGGTATTAGCATGCATATTTTGATATAGATCGATAAGCAATCTCCTTTCTATAAGAAATGCCTGCAACATTCATTTGGCTGATCAAAGGTAGATATCAGCTGGCTGTGACAGCTAGCTATTGTTTCCCCGCTTTCTTTACAGAAGAACCTCTATTAAAAAAAATTCTCTGCCTCTTTTTCAGCTAATAGTGGAAGCCAAGAAAGCCACAAAATCCCATCTCTTCTCAACACTGAAATACAATTAGTGCTGAAGGGACTTGAGTCTTTTCTGAGCTAACTTAACCCATTTTCACTGTGTACACTGTCCAGAAATGCCAAGTTTTTCTCCCTCCTTCCCCCACTCTTCTCCACTCTGATTTATTTTCCACTGGAGTGGTGGTCCCAGCCTGGAAGTGTTAGAAGGATGACACCCACCCTTTCCCAACTGGTTGTTTCCTTGGTGACATCAAAGCTCATATACTAAGTCCCCTGTATTGTTTGAAACTAGTTAGCTCAGATTCAGATTCTGGGTGGGGGCAAAGCATTGACTTACTGCTTTGAGTCTGTTATTCAATCCCCTCACCCCTCTCTCACCTGGATTCTGTTTTAAAATACCCATTTCCTTTTTGAAAACCATTTCTTATTTATATTCTTTGCCTATTTTGTCCATCTCAAGCTCTTCTCCCCTCACCTAAACCTTATCCAATCAACCAACTCAGAAATGAAAACCTAACTTATGCACCAACCGATTCCTCTCTTCTGTCCAAAGACCCTAAAAAATATAAAGCAAGATGTGTTTTTACTCTAAAGATAGATTACTAAGAGACAAATTCTAACTACAGTTTACACAGCATGATTCAGCGGTTCATTTTAAAACAAATACATGCTGTGTTTTATGTGTGTATATATATTAACCATATAAATACATATTCATTATATGCACATATACACATATACATGCATGCACAAACACACACAGAAAGCATTATAGTCCTATAGTTAGTGGTCTTAGAAAGGTAGATTAATAGGAGACTTTTAAATTATGTTTAGCTCTTTCTGTTTTATTTGACTTTGGAAAATCTTTCTTTGTATTATGTTGTAATTCAGGAAAACAATTACTTTAAAAACGAGAATTGGAACTGTCTCCCACATACTCTAGCTGCATTTATGCTCTGATTTGTTCTCAAACTACTTTCCATGACATGTCAGTGTGTTTGTCTTAGCTCATAGGGTCCATGAAAGCCAAGATGGCACATTTTGATGGCTTGGTCTCGGTGTGTACATTACCAGCTCGTGTCAAGAATGTGGCAGTTGTTCAGTGCCTGCTGGGTGGGTGGTGATGTGCTTTTCAGGATGATTTGATTTGTTTTAAAACCTCACTGATCTGAATTGATAGTGGGGGAGTACAGTCTGAACTAGTGAAAATCTGCATTTTAGTATTGTTTAAAATAAACGCACTTGGAACTGAGTCACTTAAGGTATACCTGAAACCACACAAACAGAGAATATCCAGATAGTGGCTGTTGAATACTGTTACCATTAAAAGGTAAAAATATAAAATAACTTCTAATTTCACAATCCTTCAAGTTTTGAAGTGTTTGAAAGAGTATTTTCTTGAAATAATTTGTTTTCTTTCTAGAGAGGGATTTGCTAAGCCTAGCTCTTATTCAAGTAACTCCAACTGTTTTATATGTGGAATTTTGAAGCATCCTTTGAGTTACTTATAACAGTCACAGGTTTTTACGTTACCTCACTGAATCTTCACAACAACATGATGAGCTAAGTTTATATATTTCCATTGTATAGATGAGGAAACTAAGTTTCAAATAATTGGATGAATTGCCCAGGAATTTCAATTTGAATCTGACCATGAAGCTGGAGGGGAGAGACTTATACTTAAATGGCATTGAAATCACCTCATGGTGGAATGATGTAACTGATTTTAAAAGCTAGAGTCAAAAACTGTGGATCATAAAAGTGGTATTTGTGAAACTAATCTTTCTAGAAAGACAATGGAACTGATTTTAATGTTTGATGTGGATGGAATCTTGCTCATGGGTCTAACTCCTAACTAGAAGTTAGAATTAGAGATTTAGAATTCTGACAATTCCTTTACTGATGGACCCCAATTATGTCCATACAGAAAATTTAGCTCTAGTAAATAACTAGATGTGGCAAAAATGTATATAAATGTGACTCACAGTTGGTGCATACTTCCATTTCCTCCTGATTGGACATGCATTCTGACTCAACTAACTAGTTAGGTAACTTTGGTTACGCACATTACCCTCCCTGTGCCTTTTCTGGAAAATGGGGATGATAATAGTGACCACCTGATGTGGTTGCCATGAGGTTTAAATGACACAGCATATATAAAGTGCTTAGAATAGCACCCAGAACATAGAAAGTGCTCAAGAAATATTAGATATTACTAGTAAAACAATGACAGTAAGCCTCCACAGGCCGTGGGTCACTCGTCTATATGTATAATCAGGGACTAGAAAATAAGCAGTTTCTTAAAATGAATTATTCTATTTTTCTAATCTATGAAGGCATTTAACTCTTTCCTCCTTTGCCATGAAGACTTAGGTCTTTAGTTAGAGAAATTATGACAATATTGGCTTCCAGTGTTTTTAAATTTCCAGAGTGATTTTATATACTTTACATTTTTCTATGTCTCACAAAACCTCCTCGTAGGAGGCAAACACAGGGTCATTTAAGAGATATTTATTAAGCATATATTGTGTGCCAGGTGTTCTGTTAGGTGCTGAAAAGTAAAAATGCTGATGTCCCTGCCCTCGGAGATCTCAGTCTCGTGCAAAATTATTAGTCTTATTTGAAATAAACATAAGTGGAAGTGAATTGCCCAGCGAGTATCAAAACCTGGGGCTTCTACATTACGTTTTGTTGCATGAAGACAGTGGCCTTGTATCTACAATCTACAAAGGTCTTTGTGAAGATAGGAGGAAGGAAAAGAGAAAGGAAGGAAGAAGAGAAAGAGGAAAGAAGGGAAAGAGGGAGGAAGCAAGAGAGGAAAGAAGAAAGAAGGGAGGGAGGGAGGGAGGCAGAGAGGGGGAGAAGGAAGAAGGAAGAAAGGAAGCAAGGAGGGAAAGAAGGAAGAAAGGAAGGAAGGAAGGAAGGAAGCAAGGGAGGGAGGGAGGGAGGGAAGGAAGAAGAGCACATTTGCCCATGATAACTGACATTATCTGTTATCATTAACATGATAACTAATAACATCAAGCTGAAATCTTAGCTGGAATTATAAACGAGAAAACAATTTAGTTATCACCTAATCAACATAGTTTGACTGGCTGAAGGAATTTCTAAATAATTCAACCATGCAAAGAAAACCAAAGAGGTAACTAGCAGCTTTACCTTTGTAATCTATGATCGTGATTTGTATAATTCAGAATTGTTTTCATTGTGCTGTCCCCACCAGGGTCTTCTGGTTTGAAAATTTAGTGTTCTACGTGCCTGAACATATTCTTGGAATCATCAGGTTTAGCTCCCTCAAGGGCCATGAATTTACAAGGGAAAGGGCTTTTCATAAGTTCCTGCCATGCAGGACTCTACTGAAGTAGAAACCCAGCCCCATTAGCAAGTATTAATGTGCCCTTGAATTCCATGATGCCAATCTACATGCCATTTTTCTGGATGCCTAAGTGCCAAGCCCTGATGGTGTTATCTGTAAGGGATCAGGGTCCATAGCTGGGGAAAATATGGCAAATTTTCTTTGCCATTGAACTTAAGTTTTGTCTTCTTGGTGTTGTGCAGTAACTACCTGCCTTGGGCATTTTTCTAAGTGCTTTCCACTACAATATATTGTATATAATGATGTGGCAAATGTTTTCTTTTTCCCTGACTGAAAAAGAAAAATGGTTTTCATTTCTAGCCCAATAATCTAGGACTTTTGCAGCAAGAAAAGCGAATCAAACTTTTTGATCCACCTAGTCAAGCCAAAAAGGACATTAAGACTATGTTACTAAGCAGCCAGAGTGAAGTCTTATATCAAATCACTGCTTTTTTTTTTTTCTTGTGTGAATGATGCTGTTGATGAGAATTCAGACAATTTAAGGGCATGTTTGATGAAAAATCTGGTTTTTCTCCTTGGCTTGCCACAGATAAATCAAATGCAAAGTTTGTGAGATGCACAGTGGGTGTCCATTTGTGAGGACAATTTCTCCTTCTGAAGTGAAAGATTGAGTGCAAGAGGCAATCCAGACTATTGGATGGCTGTGAGAATCAATGAATGAAAAATATTCTTCCCCATTCAATGGGGTAATTTATTCTCATTGATGGGACAAGGGGTCAGAGGATGGTTCTGGCTTCCTTAGCTCTCTCACTGGGAGACAGTTCTGATTGGGGCCACTCAAGACAGTGTTTACACCAGCACATAGTCAACATCCGTGCCTCGTAGTGTTATTGGAAATAAAACTTAAAGGAAGACAGTAAATAGCTCTACATTTTGGAATTTCTTTATTGTGTAGGGACAAATGCCATCTTGATGTTATTTAGTTTGATTTGGAATATCACCGTGATTTATGAGTCTGTTAAATAAAGGTCATTTAGTAGGGCCACATCACCTTACCCTTAAGATTTCCAAATATATTTTGGGGAGATTTTCTATATTCTGTACCAGAGTTTGACACATAACAGTTATATATAAATGTTTCTTAAAATTGCCTCTACATTAAAAAATGCAATGAAAATTACTGTTTGGCATGTAATAGGTAATCACAGATGATAGTTATCATTAATAAATAAAATATAGCATATGCTGTTAATTATAATAATGTGACTTTTACCCTAAATTATATCTTTGTTATCTAGTGGGAGAAGCAGAAAAACTATACATATAATTTAACATACTGTGATACAAGCAAGGATGAATACATTTACAAAGTATTATAGTCATGCGGAGGAGAAAGGAATTTATTTGACGTAGTTGAGGAAGGTCTTGTAAAGGAGGTAGTGGCTGAGTTGGGTTTTGAAAGATAAACAGGAGTTAGCCAGGTTGGGTGGGATCCGTAGAAAAGGAAGGGCATGTATACCAAGGGAACATCATGTGAACACAAAAGCACACAAACTCAGAATTTGTGTGCCAATTTATAAGTCAGTCAGTTTTGGAAGAGCATGATATTGTCTTGGTAAATGTTCCATGTGTGCTTAAAAATCATGAGTATTCTGTTTTTATCAAGTAGAGTGTTCTATAAATGTCACTTCGGTCAAGACGGTTGATTGTTTTGTTAACATCATTTATATTCTTCGACATGGTTTGGATTTGTGTCCTTACCCAAATCTCTCGTCAAGTTGGAGGAGAGACCTGGTGGGAAGTGATTGGATCATGGGGGTGGATTTCCCCCTTGGTGTTCTTATGATAGTAAGGAAATTCTCACGAGATCTGATGATTTAAAAGTGTGTGGCACGGCCAGGCGCGGTGGCTCACGCCTGTAATCCCAGCACTTTGGGAGGCCGAGGCGGGCGGATCACGAGGTCAGGAGATCGAGACCATCCCGGCTAAAACGGTGAAACCCCGTCTCTACTAAAAATACAAAAAAAAAATTAGCCGGGCGTAGTGGCGGGCGCCTGTAGTCCCAGCTACTTGGGAGGCTGAGGCAGGAGAATGGCGTGAACCCGGGAGGCGGAGCTTGCAGTGAGCCGAGATCCCGCCACTGCACTCCAACCTGGGCGACAGAGTGAGACTCCGTCTCAAAAAAAAAAAAAAAAAAAAAAAAAAAGTGTGTGGCACTTCCCCTTTCACTCTCTCTCTCTCTCTCTCCGTCTCTCCTGCTCCACCAGGATAAGATGTGCCTGCTTTCCCCTTTGCCTTCCCCCATGATTGTTAGTTTCCTGAGGCCCCTGAATCATGCTTCCTGTTAAGCTGGCAGAACTGTGAGTCAATTAAACCTCTTTTCTTCATAAACTACCCAGTCTTAGGTAGTTCTTTATAGCAGTATGAGAACTGACCACTACACCTTACTAATTTTTTATTTGTTCTATCAATTATTAAAGGAGTTATTAAAATCTCCACATGTCACTCTGGATGTGTCTATTTATTTTTGCAGTTGGATCAGTTTTTGCTTCATGTATTTTGAAGCTCTATTATTAAGTGTATAAACACTTAGAATTATTGGGTCCTCTTGATAAAATTACCTTGCATGTATGTGTATTTGGTTATATTCTTTGCTCTGAAATCTACATTGTCTGATATTAATATAGCCATTGTTTTGCTTGGTGTTAACATGACATGTTTTTGTATCCTCTTACTTTTTAATATTCTTTCACATCCTCTCTGAGTGAAATATATCTTTATATTTAAAGTTTGCTTATTATAGGCAACATAGAGGTGAGTTCTTACTTATATATCCAATCTGACAATCTCTTCCTTTTAATTTGGGTATTTAGGCCATTTATATTTAATATGAATATTGATATAATTAGAGATAAATATGTAATGTTTCTATTTGCTTTCTATTTGTTATATTTACTCACTTTTAATTTTTTATGCCTATTTGGATCAAATATTTTAATAATTCCTTTTTATCTGTTTTGTTTTTTATTAACTACAACTCTTTTATCATTTAAGGGGTTGATTTTGGGTTTATAGTATACATCTCTAGCTTGTTATCTTCAAGTGTTGTTATACTAACTTGTATATCTATAAGAACTTTTGAAAATTATACTTTAATTTTTCCTTTCTCAGTCATTGTGCTATTAACGTCATATATTTTGTTTCTATATAAGTTATGTACCTTACAGTACATTGTTATTGACTTTTGTTTAAAGATTTATCTTTGAAAATATTTGAATAACAGGAAACACTATATTTATCCATCTAGTTACCACTTCTGGTACACTATATTCTTCTGTGTAGATCAATATTTTCAACTGGTATCATTCTTCTTCTGTCCAAAGGACTTCCTCTAACATTTCTTATAGTGTGGATCTTTCTCGGCTCTTATATGACTGGAAAAATATGTATTTCACTTTTTAAATTAAACTGTATATTTTAGGATGGTTTCAGATTGACAGAAAAATTGGGAAGATAGTACAGACAGTTCCCATATATACTGCATCTAGTTTTCTCTATTATTGACACCTTATTCTAGCATTTACGTTCATTTTTGAAAAAATATTTTTGCTGGATGTAGAGTTCTGGATTCATAGTTATTTTTCTAATTCAGGATTTTATTTATTTATTTATTTTGAAATAGAGTCTCGCTCTTTTGCCCAGGGTGGAGTGTAGTGGCATGATCTAGGCTCACTGCAACCTCTACCTCCTGAGTTCAGGTGATTCTCATGCCTCAGCCTCCTGAGTAGCTGAGATTACAGGTGCTTACCACCACATGAAGCTAATTTTTGTGTTTTTAGTAGAGATAGGGTTTTGCCATATTAGCCAGGCTAGTCTTGAACTCCTGATCTCAGGTCATCTAGCCATCTTGACCTGCCAAAGTGTTGGGATTATAGCCATGAGCCACCACACCTGGCCCAATTCAGTATTTTAAAGACACTGCTATACTCTCTTCTTGCCTGCATAGTTTCTGATGAGGATTCTACTGTAATTATTTTCCTTTTCTCTCTGTAACATGTCGTTTCTTTTTTCTGGCTGCCTTAAGATTTTCTCCTTATAATTGCTTTTGAGCAATTTGTTTATGATATATCTTGGTATTGTTTTTATCATGTTTCTTGTGGTTGGGGTTCATTGAGATTTTTTCTTAACCCTGGATCCAAAGCAGTAGAGATTCTTGTATTTGTGATTTTATAGCAATTGAATCTATAATTTGTGCACCAAACCTCTGTAATATGCAATTTACCTATACAACAAACCTGCACATGTACCCTTAAACCTAAAATAAAGTTTTAAAAAGGAAATTAGTGGAATAATTTGCAAAATTTAGATATGCTCTGAATTTTTACCTTATCTACTATGTAGATAATAGTATTGAATCACTGTTAACTTTGTAGTGTGGTTATATAAGATGATAACATTAGGAGAAGCTGAGTGAAGGGTATACAAGAACTCTGCAATATTTGTAATGTTTATTATAAAATAAAAATAAAAATTAAAAACAAAAAATCTGGAATATTTTCAACCATTATTTATTTTAATTTTTTTGTACTATCTTCTCTCTTTCCTCTCCTTCAGCAGCACACATTGTACATACATTAAGCCATTTAAAATGGTCCCACAGCTCTTTGATATTATGTGCTTTTAAAAAATATTTTTTTCTTAGTATGCTTTATTTTTTATACTTCCTATTGCTGCGTCCTCAAGTTGACTAATCTCTTCTTCTATATTGTCTACATTTCTGTTACTCCCATCCAGTGATTTTTTTACCTCTAGATGTTTGATTTGGGTCTTTTTTCTATGTGTATCTTTTTTTAATATTTGGAATACTATAATAATAACCATTTTAATTGCTTTATGTAGTAATTCTAACGTCTGTTTCAGATCTAGGTCAGTTTTGACTGTTTGATCATTTTCTCCATGGGTACTATTTTTCTTCTTTATTGCATGCCTGGTGATTTTTTTTTTAAATCGGATATTCATATTGTGGATTTTACCTTATTAGGGTTTGGACATCTATGTATTTCTATAAATATTCTTTGCCTTTGTTTGGGATGAAATTACGTTCCTTGAAAGTAGTTTAATCTTTTTGGGTATTGCTTTAGGAAGTCTGAGTTTTCGCTGGGGCTAGTTTTCTCCACCACTGAGGCAGCACCTTATTGAGTCCTCTGCCCAGTATCCCATAAATTATAAGCTTTTCATTCTGGCTAGTGGAAACAAACACTATTCTTAGCACTGTGAGTTCCCAGTGTCATTTCCTCTAGTCGCTCCCGCGGTTTTTCCCCTGGCCCAGTGGCTTTTGTTATACAAACACGCTGATCAGTGCTCTGCTGCATACTCAAGAGAGTTTCTACTGACTTCTAGACTTTTCCCTCTATGTAGGTCTTTCCTGTCTGGTACTCTAACTGCAGCCACATTTGTCTTCCCCAGCTCTCAACTCCATCTTCCCAACTCCGAGAGTTCACTGGGCTCCACCTGTGATTCAGTTTCCCGGCATGAGAATCTGAAAACTTTCTGAAGGCAGTAGGCTGAGGCAATTGTAAGACTTGCCTAATTTATTTCCCATCTCCCAGGGACTGACGTCCTCAGTTGCTTGATGCCTAACAGTTTGAAAACTGTTGTTTTATGTATTTTATCTTGATTTCTAGTTGTTTCAAGAGGGAGATTATATCCAATTTGTGTTTCTGTGTCTTAGCTGGAAGTTGAAATCTAAATCCAATTGTGTGTTAAACAAAGGAATTTTATAACCTATTTGCTTTCCTGGAAGTTCTCTTTGGTGTAGTGTGGAGGATCCATTTTGCAGAAGGGAGAAAAGAAGGGAAGGGGAAGGAGAGAGAGAGAGAGAGAGAGAGAGAGAAGACTAGTGTGAGAAAATACTATTCGAGTTGCACTAGCAATAGTCCAGAAAATACATTTCAGGCCAAGTGCATGGAAATGATAGTGGAGCTGGAGAAAAGATGGATTTTAAAGATGCTTAAGAAGTGTACACAATAGGAATTGGTGACTTCGTGGCCAGATAGTTGTTTGTGGTGGTGGTGGATTTATCAGTCTATGTCCCAGCAGGAAAACAGAAACCATTCTAGATTTTTTAAGTGAGAAGGATTTAATTCAAGATATTGGTTACAGCATTTTTGGAAGAGCTGAAACAGCAAAATAGGAAATGAAGTTTACACAGAGACTGAGAACATGTACTGCCTCTGGGATGGAACCCATGAGCCAACATTCACTGCTCTTGTTACTGGAAGCACAAGCTTATGGTGCTAACCAGTGACCTGTGGTGTTGGCACTAATATTAGTGGAGCTGCTGCAAAGATACTGCTGGAAACCGAGATGTCACTATTTGCAGAGGTGTCACTAGAAGTAGATGGGTTTCTAGCGTCCCTCTATCTTCTAACTTGTTGAGAATGCTGCCTCCTGGCTGAACCTATCTGGAACCCAGCTGGCATGGAAATCTGGGTGATGGAATTCACAGGATTTCAGCCCCAGAGAGACAGAGAATACAGAAGGGTGAGTGCTGGCTGGGAGCCCACAACACATATTTGGCACAAGAAGTGAGGGAGGAGGAGGAGTCGGGGTGAGCCCATGGCTTCTGATTATGCTGGAGAAGAGGATACTAGCAGACCGTCTGTGGTTTGCCAATTGTATCATGGTTCCTTGTTCTATAGTAAGACCAAGGTCATCCCACAACTTGAAAAGACAAACTTGGTATCTGGCCTTGAGACGTGTATAATTCCTGATGGGTCAGAATCCCATGTGTACTTTCCTGTCATGACAGTCCCAATTATTGTAATTAAACAACTGATTTGTTGAGACTATAAGCTCCAAGAAGGCAGGTAGCATATCTGCCAGGATTGCCCCTATATTCTCAGTATCCTGAATGAAATCAAACATATAGTCAGTACTCAATAAATGTGGGTTGGATACATGCATGAGTGGATGGTGAATGAATCTTGCTAGGGAGAGTAACACATGTAAAACAACAAACTGCAACCCAACAATAATTCCACAAGAAATTGCAAAATGGTTGGGTGGTCAGACAGATCTGGAGATGTGGGAATGTGGTGATTTAGGGGGATCCAAGAAGCCCTGTGGAGGACGTGTCTGTTTGGAGCTGGCCTGGAGGAGCAGCAGAGAGAGGCAAGATCCCTGTCTTTCTCCTTGGCAACCACCATGAAGGAGAGCCTATGAGGAGGGCTCCAGGCCTCTGCATGCAAGGCCATCTGTATTTTTGTTTCTGCCATCTAGAAAAGGGGGATTTTCTTTCTTCAATGGGGAAACACAGACTTATCCTGGTATGAAAGAGCAGAGGCTTTTGGGTGTACAGAAAGTCTTAGCCACAGAGACAATTATGGATAGACAATAATAAATATCATAAAAAAACTGATAAGAAATGTTTATTTTTCAAGCACTAAAATGCAAAAGCCCCACACTCCACTGAAGGAAAAAAAAAAAGCTTAATTAAAAGCAGAACTTTTCTGAAGGGCAATCAGACCTAGTATCCACATAAAATCACCACACTGGGCACAGGAGACACCAGCAACCCAAAGGCCAACAATAAATGAACCCCGTAAAACCAGAAATAAAATAAGCTCTCTGTCTGAGGCTTGAGGCATGGGGAGGGCTGGCCCCTGTGGCTGTATAATTGTCCAGCTCTTACCTCATTTAGGCCAATTAGGAAATGACCTGGAGGTGACCACTTGTGCTTTATATCGAAAACCCAAAGTAGAAAGGGCTCGCCCAAAAGACGAGGGCTGGAGGTGTGATAAGACTGGAGGCATGGGCACGGAGGAGCATTGTGGTTCTTTCTGTCCTGACTCTCTCAGGAGACGCACAGTGGATTTTCTGACTCACAAGGTGATGAGACCGCAATTCCAGCACGCATTGGCAGGACCTGATTGGCCAGAGCCATGAACTGGATTTAAGCCTCTGAGCCCCGGTCTGAGGCAGCACAGGAAGGCAGCAGGGGTGAGGGCGAATGAGCTGAAATCGTGACTCCTCAATGTGTGGTCCTGAAGCAGCAGCTACATCCTCACCTGATTGCTGGTTAGAAACATTTCGGGCCCCTCCCCGGACCTGCTGGAGCAGAATTGCAGTTTAATAAGATGCCCAGGTAATTCATGATCACACGCTAGCATGAAAACTCTGGCTTATCTGAGGCCTGAAGGGCACGAATGTACTGCACCCAGCCTCCAGAGCCTGGCTCCAGCCACATTCACCACTAAGACTAAGTGGCGTTACTAAGACTTTCAGAACCTGTAAAATGGAGAATGTCATCCCTGACCTGCCCAACTCTCCGGAGAGAATGTTAAGGAAGGAAAATGAGATGCATCCATCAGAAAGTGCCTTCGAAAGGTAGATATGTTAAATGTTTTTTAAAAAAAATGCCAAAGATATTCCTATGGCACACATAAACAAGTTGCTGCAAAAGGCGACCCAGGGCAGTCTCCCACCTTCCAAAAAGCAAACATCCAAGGCAGATGTAGTCATATAGAGAGATACCCCATGTGGAGCTTACAAATATGGGCTCTGAGTCAGACTTCTCTCTGGGATTTATCATCTGCAAAGTGGCAATATTATAGGATGTTATGTGAGTTAAGACATAAAGCACTGAAAATGCCACTTAGTCCAGACCAAATGATAACCATTATTATTATCTCATAGTAGTGTGTTAGGGGTTAAGTGATTTATGTACCTAAAGGAACAACAGCACTACTTACATCATGGAGTTGCAAACAGTGAATGAGATACAGAACCAAAATTTGTGAAGTGCTCCTCTTGCTGCCCAAGAAGGAGTGAAGATTTAACAGCTTTTCCCAGCAGTGATTTTTGCTGACACTACTGTTATTGCTATTAATATTTGCAGACCATGTGCACAAATCCTCTGCCTTCAGATCTTCCTTGAGTATACACAATCCCTAACTGAAGCTCTGTAGATTCTCAACAGAATTACTATATAAGAGCAAGTCCCACCTTTGTGCATGTGCACATGCACACATGCGAGCATCATGCACACACACACACACACCATTTTCAGCTTCCTGGCAGGTAAGTGCCAGGTGGAAAATGGCCTTCATGGGAAGGGATGAGATGACAATGCCAGCAGGTAGAGACTCTGCCCACGAAACCCAGGAAAGCTAACTTGGAGCAGCAATTCTACAGCAGTTCTACTGCTCCAGGACTGTCAGCCTTCGGGTGGGCAAAGCCACCAATGAGAAGGCACACCTGCTTCTTCCCAACATGGGCTGCATGTACACCCAAACCTGCTTGCCCTCTGGGGAGACACCTGGCTGAAAACTCCACTTAAAAAAATCCTGAAGGAGAGGGATATATTCAAAGACGCCACCTGGGTCTTCTGAATCCCCTGCCTTCCTAAGGGTCTTTTCCTTTCTAAAGCTCTTCCCGCGAATAAAAGCTCTGATGTGATCCTGACAACCACTCAGAACAAAGGAAGCCAAGCCCACTGTACACACAAGGAGGCACAGACGTAGAGATGAAAGCACCAGCGGGGGTCATGCCACAGGTTGGAGCTCTGGCTGGCTTAGAACCCAGGTGTTTCCACCCCTCATCTAGGACTGGCTTAGGACAAGGAGCAGTGCACACCCCACGTTAGTGTTTGTACGATTATCTGTTCAATGACTAGCACCACTGAGTTAAGCTCTGTGTAGGAAGGAATTCTGTTTCCTTCTGTTGATGTTGTCCCCACTGTCTAGCACAATGTGCAATACACAATAGGTTCTTAATACATATTGATTGAATACATGTGGGAAAAGTTTTTAAACTGAATCCTATTACCAAGAAGAAAATCTTGACACCACCCTTAGAAGAAAGCCTAAGAGTGAAGAGGGACTCGGCAGAGCTGCCGGGCTTGTCTTTGTCCAGCTGTGGTCCCTTCAAGCAGACACCTGCTCCTTTGTCCATTGTTCATGTCTGTGAGATTAAGAGTATTTATATTATTAACTAATATTAATATGTTCTGTAAATAATGGCAGTGACTCTTGACTGAGCACAAAGGCTTGTGCTATAAATAAACATACCTTTGGTCTCATTTGGCCCCCATGGCTACCATGAACTAGAGATATTATTCCCATTGTTCAGATGGGGATGCTGAACCCCTAAGAGGTGAAGAGTCAGAGGTCATAGAGTTAGTAAACGGCAGAGCTCCAGTCTACCTGATTCTAAGTTTGTTTTCTCTCCATTGCATGAGGCTATCTTATTAAAGGGGCTGCCACTGCTGGGCTTCCTGTTATCCTCCATCAAAAGGCAAAGGCTTTCCACACCAGCAGATTGCTGTTGGAAGGTGGCCTCCCTCAGACCCAGAGTCCTGATGGATATAAATTGCAGGACACTAAGGAGCAACTCCCCCAGTCACCCACCCTCATCCACCCAGCTATCTATCTCTTACATAAACCTTTGATGACACTTCCCAAGTGACCTCTGTGTGTGTGTTTGTGTGTGTGTGTGTGTGTGTGTGAGAGAGAGAGAGAGAGAATGGGCTGTGAATTAGGGTGGAGAAGCAAGAAAAGCAAAGACAAAGTGATTCTTGCCCCCAAGGACCCTGCAGTCTAGGGGAAAAAAGATAAATATAGTCAACTGTAATAATATTAGGCACAGTGATATAGTTTGGCTGTGCCCCACCCAAAATCTCATCTTGAATTATAATCCCCATAATCCCCACATGTCAAGAGAGGGACCTGGTGGAGGTGATTGAATCATGGGGGCTGTTTCCCCCATACTGTTCACATGATAGTGAGTGAGTTCTCAAAGAAATCTGAGAAGTTTGATCTGATGGTTTTATAGGGGCTCTTGCCACTTTGCTTATTCACACTTCTCCTTCCTGTCGCCTTGTAAAGAAGGTGCTTGCTTCCCCTTTGCCTCCTGCCATGATTGTAAGTTTCCTGAGGCCTCCTTGGCCATGCAGAACTGTGAGTCAAACCTCTTTCCTTTATAAATTACCCAGTTTTGGGCAGTTCTTTATAGCAGTATGAGAATGGACTAATACATACAGTATGATGAGGGCCAAACAGGTTCTTCCCACCAGAGGAAATACTAATTGATTTTCTCATGGGCTTGAAGGAGAATTCCTGAAGGAGAAGTTGGTATTTGAATTGGACTTTGAAGAACAATTCAGATATTGGTAGGTGGAGAAGTGTAAAATGATGATAATGATGATGATGACGATGATGATGATAACAATAATATGAAAAGCATTCTAGCCAGAAAGCACAGCACAGGCAAAGGTGTGGAGGCGGGAAAGTGAATATCTTGGGTGAATCCCAGTTATGGGTTATGGTTCCCCTGCTGGCCTGCCTCAGTCCATGATATTGTCCAGCTTTAATTACTCTTTCAGGTGAAGAATGAGAAGGTCCATTTACAGTGCTAGTCTAGAACCAGGCAAGGATGCTATATTCAGACTTATAAATCTTTGGGCACTTTATAAAGGAGTTTTGAGAAAATGGGGCACTGGAAATGTGCACTTTTAAGGTGGAAGGAAGAGAGTAGAGCAAGAATGACATGTCTGTGGCATGTGTGATGCCCCTCCCTCTTTCTGAACTCGTAGCAGACATTACTAATCAATAACAGCATTTCCTCAAAATTTTTTCAATCCAGCACTTTCCCACCCACTGACAACAGATTAGAGTTTATGAATGAAATGCAATCAATTCGCCATCCTTGGAATAGTGCATAGAGCTTCTAGGTAGAGATCTCCAGCAATCAGATGACTTGAGTGAGTCCCAGGTTCACTACTTCCTGGCTGTGTCACTTTGGGTTATTTGTCTGGATTCCTCTGAGCTATTGCTTAGCCATCTGTGGATAGGAAGGGAAGGAACTAACATTTTGTGGATGCTGCAACAGAAGCAATGCTACATCCTCACTTAATCTCATTTTCTTCTCTTCCTGGCTATGTAGTAAAGGAACATTCCCCAGGCAGCTGCTCTGCAGTTAGGTGAAACCAAGTGACTGATTTGGCAAGTGGAATACAGATAGGAGGGGTATATACAACTTCAGGCTTGATCCTAACCACCATGCTCCTCCACATCCTCTGTCCCTTCATCTGCAAAGGGTTCCATGGAGGACTTCAAGGCCTTAGGGTATGTGAGAATAACTAGATGAAAGCAGCCTGGATCCCTGAGTCACCACATGGAAACTGCCCACCAAAGTCTCCATTAGAGTCCATTTAAACGAGAAATCCACTTCCATTTGGCTAAGCCACTGTGATTTGGAACCTGATTATAGCAGTGACCATTACTCATCCCAATTATAAGAGTAAACACATGATTTCATTTAAATGCATTAACAGCCCTCTTAGAAAGGTGTAATTCTGCCCTTTCTCCACCATTTTGCTATTTAACTAATGACAAAACTGTGGCTCAAAGTTAGATAACTTCACTAGTGTCCCATTTTTGGAAGATAAAGGACATTGAAAGACCCCTCCCCCTAAAGGCCCCTAATCTTTATAAAGCATCCAGAATCTTTTGAAAACTCTGTCTACAGTGCAAGAGCTTGAGGAGATTTTGAAGATCTGATGAACTCATGGAGTTGAATAGATTTATAAATACTTAAGGAAATGTACAGAGGCTGATTATGACAATGACGATGACAGGACCAGGCAAGACAACTTCACCCTTTGCAGAAGCATCCTGGCTCTGGCTCTTTCTAAAGCTCAGGCACATGAAGTAGGAGGGGCTGCCCTCTTGTGCTCCTTGGGAGGAGGCATTGGCACCAGGGAGCATTGGCATCAGGCACTGTTCCCCTGAGGAGCCCCAGGGATTGGAAGGGGGTAGGGTGAGGAGAGGGTGAGGAGAATAATTATAATGGCATAGCAGTAAATGAGCATACTTTTAAATATGAGCCTGATTTACAGGTTCCGCCCACTTAATTGTTTCTTTCATAAACTCTGCACATTCCATACATCATAGGAAAACATTAAAGAAAGATCTCTCATGTGAAATATTAAAGGCAAATGGCCTCTTCAAGGGACAGCCACCCACTGCTTCCCTGTGTGGCCAGGTCTGGGGTTTAGACCGGACACAGGCCTTATGTGAAAGAACTGCCCTTCCCCCACTTTGCTGAAGCTGGCCAGCCTGTTCTCCAGTCTAAAGGGACAGGGAGGAGGCCCCTGGCCCTTAGCTGCAGCCCTTGCTTCTGGCTTTATTGCCATTTTCTAAGATTAATAAACCCTCCAAAACATATAAGGCTTTTGCAGGGGGACAGTGCGTCACTTCCAGCTTTGCAATTACAGGAAGGGGATCTCACCATAAATCCCCCAAGTTGATCACAGCTTGGAGTAGAGGAAACCTCACTGAGATGTTCAAAGATTTTTAAAGATGCTGCTGAAAGAGGCTTTTTGTTTACTTTAAAGAGTAGTAAAACTGTCCCTCACATCTTGATTTTGAGTCTCTGGGTACTGTCGACCATAAGGAAATAGACAAGTGGATTTTCTGCTTCAAAATGGAGGATATTATTTAACTCCCTTCCATAATTAATCCACCACCTATTATGTGCCCAGTGTGGTTAGGCATTGTGGAGAATGTAACAGATTTCCTGCTTTCAAGGTGTTTTAAACTTGAGGGAAAAGATTAAAAATATATGATAGCACTCCACAATCATTCATTCAATTGTTGAAGACCTAGTATGTGCCATACTCAATGCTAGGCACAGGACAGATGTAGAAATGGGTAGATGGATTCATAGCTATGGGTAGATAAAATTAGTGGTGTGTTGGTAAGCTTGTAACAATGGGTTCACAGGGGAAAAAAATCCCTGTTTTGTTATATTTGTTGTGGTGTAAATACTCCCAACATGGCCCATTTCAAGCTACCAAAGTAGCATCAGTGAACTTGGGAGTTGGAAAGAGATTGCACAATAGACACACCCTTGCTGGCCAATATGAAAGAGCCAGTGCTGGAGCCACAGCAGACCACTGAATATCTAGACACTCAAAATCTAGCGTGTGTGGTATGCATGGTAAATGTCTTGTCATTCAGAGGGGAAGGAGGACAGAGTATCCTATCTCAATTCAGGAAAGGGCTTCTTGAACAGGAAGAATGTGAGCAGGCATCCTGGAAGAACAAGGTTTGGAAAGAAGGAAGAAAGGGGCTTTTAGGCCAAAGAAGCTAATCAAAGCAAAACCACAAAGACAGGAATGGGTAAGAAAAGTTGTTTTTCTGGAAGTAGATTGCATTGACAAGCTGAAATATTGTGAAGCCAGAAGGCAGACTATCTTGGAAATAAGGCCTAGACTCTTTGTGCCATCTTGGGCTAGGAAGGAGATTTCGGTACATACTTGGCCCAAGGGGTCTCCATCCAAGTCAGATCACAGATGCCTGCACTGATACCACAGATATGCACCCAGTGGCACAATCAGCTTCAGGGCAATTAAAAGGCCCATTGAATAAAAATTACAATAATAGCAAGTGCTTATTGAGAGCTAACTGTTCCATGTCAGAAATACACCAATCACTTTCCATCTATTAGCTCACTTCGTCTGCACAACCTAATGAGGTGGTTGCTCCATTGAGCCCATTTTACAGATCAGGAAACCAAGTCACCACAAGCTTAGATAATTTTCTGTACTCCTTGTTCTGGGATCACACAGCTAGTCATGACAGAAAGAAGATTTGATCCCAGGCAGTTTGGCTCTGAGCCTACCCTCTTAACCTCTCTGTTATTTCTTTTCCTTTCTTTTATTTTTCTTTCATTTTAAATTCATGCCCAATCTTTTATCTATATAGTACTCTTATTCTTTTCTACTCCCCAATTATTTTGAAGCAAATCCCAAGCACATGTAATTCCATCCATAAATAATTCAGCATGTAACTGTAAAATATAAGGACTCATTAAACACACACATACATCCCATTATTGCATTCAAAGTTAACAATAATTTTTAATATCATCCAATATCCAGTCAGTGGTCACATTTCCCCAATTATCTCATAAACACAGCATAAAAATAAATAACCATTTGTTCAAATGAGGATCCATGAAACATCCAAATATTGCATTTGATTGCTCTTTAAGTCTCTTAAAACTCCTCTCTTTTTTTATCATGCAGTGTATTTGTGGAAGAAATCATATTGTCTGTCCTATGATGTTTTCTACAATTTGGATTTTGTAGTTTATATGCCCACGGTGTCTTTGAACACGTTTCTCTGATCTCTGTAATTCTAGTAGATTGGTTGTTATTTCTAGAGGCTTGATTCGAATTCAATATAAATTTTTTTTTTTGTCAAACTTACTTCTCAGGAAAAATCGTATTTTTCTAATAGCTGGCACTTAAAATCTGGGGTCTTTCTTTTTGTGATCTCAACAGCCATTGAAGATTTTTTGCCTGGACCCATTGTCTCATTAGGGACCACCAAATGGTAATGTTCTAATTTTATCATTCCTTCTTCATTTATTCTAGAAATTAAAATACTTCCATGAAGACAAATAGACAAATTTTCCTTTACTATTAACTATTTGGTTACCTCAATGAATATTTTATAGATGAAATACAGGACAGATACTCTAATTTTTTTTTTTACTATTTTCCAAATAATTTGCTTCCTATCAATGTCCAAAGATGAACATTGAGGCTGTTGTTGTTATTGCTGTTTATATGTTTGTTTGTATGTTGCTTTTGTATCATTTTGAACTCAAAGATTTGAACATGTGATGTATTTTAATCTATTGCACTTGTTTTCAATTTAATGGTGCACTTGTTCCATTTTTGACCCATGGGCATATTCTCAGTTCTTTTGGCTCCTGAGTCCTTTTGGCATTGCAGTCTTTTACGTCTTTTTTGTTATCTGGAATGACAAGATATTCTCATTTGCCTAGTACATTTTCTCCTGACCCAGAATCAGCCATTTCTCCAGTGGGAAATGGTATTTAGAAAGTGTACTGTAAAAGCTAGAGAAGTTTTCCATGCTTCTTCTAGAGGTAAATAGTGGCATAAAAATGCCAAGCTGCAGCTCAGTCAAAATATTTTCCATTTGGGTTTAGTTTCTGCTTGAAGTAAAGAAGGGGTGTGACCTAGGTACATTTTCAAGTTCACCAAGTTGCTATGATTTTTCCTCTTTCATTCCTTGCTTCACCATTAAGGCTTCCATGAAAAAGAAAACAAAGCAAATAAACAAAAATTAAAAATTTCCCAAAGAAAACACTATTAATTTCAAAAGCCAAATTTGTTAAATTTTATTCTGCAATCTCCACCTCCTAAAAAGGAAACAGAAGGCCGGGCACAGTGGCTCACGCCTGTAATCCCAGCACTTTGGGAGGCCGAGGCAGGCAGATCACGAGGTCAGGAGATCGAGACCATCCTGGCTAACACAGTGAAACCCCGTCTCTACCAAAAATACAAAAAATTAGCCGGGCGTGGTGGCAGGTGCCTGTAGTCCCAGCTACTCGGGAGGCTGAGGCAGGAGAATGGCGTGAACCTGGGAGGCAGAGCTTCCAGTGAACCGAGATAGGGCCACTGCACTCCGGCCTGGGTGAAAGAGTGAGACTCCGTCCCAAAAAAAAAAAAAAAAAAAAAAAAAAGGAAACAGAAACTAACCCCTTGATCATGTTAGTATTGACCCTAGTGCTGTCTGTTAACTTGGGATATAAGGAAAGAGTTTGAAAATATTATTCTCAGCTTTCTTTACATATTCTCTTTACAAATTTGCTAATATCCTCTAAACAAAACTGTTCTCTAGAGTTCAGAGTATAAACTTTCCAGCAGATGCTGCTGATGCTAAAAATGTCTCCCAATAATACCTTTTAACTCAATTTCCAATCCTTAGTCCTTTTCTACATGCTTCAAGATGGTCTGAGGATTGGCTGTGCAACAAATAGTCTGGGCAAATCTTCCTACTACAAAGCTCTTTAGCACCAAGAGAAGTGAGAAACTGATAGTTGCCCACCAAAGTCCTTTTTCCTTATTCTTCCTGGGCACGCAGCAAGCTCACATTTCCCAGCTGCTCTTGAAGTTAGGTATGGCCAAATAATTACATTCTAGTCAATGGATTATGGGGAGGGATGTGATGAGTCACTCCCAGGTTTGGCCCATAAAATCCTCCTCTGTGGGCTTGCCTGTGCTTTTATTTGCTTCTGGCTGGATGAGATGGAGAAACCATAAGATCCTTGCAGGCAACATGTTGATGATGAACGAGATTCTATCTGCCTGAATCCTTGAATATCTGCAGGGAAGAGAGTTGCCCACCTCCACCAGGAATTCTCGCATAACTCTATTTGAGAAAAAAATACACTTCCATTAAATTTCAGCCATTTCTTATGACTGGGTCTATTTGTTACCAAGTGAAGCTCACTTATACCAAAAGACAGCAACTCTGTAAGGGCCAGATGCTCTGGGTTCCTGTGATCCCCGCCCATACTGTCCACTAACTCTCAAAAATCCTCTTGAAATTAAAATTTGAAGCACATTGTGTAGATATAGATTTCCTACTCATAATATTAAATTGGCTTCAGAAAGTGAAATGAAACTTTCGGAAGCATAGCCTCTCCTAGGAACATGAATAGCCAGTATACTATTGAGTCCAAGAAGAGGACACTTCAGTTAACAATCAAACACAAAACAAAGCAACAAAAATTGTGAACTATTTAGTCAGATTGCCTGGGTTCATACAGCAGCTCCAAATTTTACTACCTGCAATAGTAGTCTTGGTTTTCTCACCTGTAAAATGTGAATAAAGTTTTGAGTTAATTTATACAAAGTACTTAAGTCACTGCCCGGTGCATAAGTGCTCAAGCATAAAAGCTACTATTCTTGAAATTACATGAATTAATGAATCTATTTAACATATATGAATGTCATGCCTCCTATGGTCCATCTCTATGGTTGTCACTGGGGTTTCAGGGAAGTGGGTCCTAGAGGGAAAGGAGTTCTGATCACCATCATTAGACCAAGATGTGGAATGCAATTCTAAAATGGAGCCTCAAGTAATATATTTCCATGCACCCATGAGGGGTAAACTTTGTCAGCCTCAGACAAGAGTCTCATTTACTCATTCATCCATTCAACAAATCATAAAATAGATGTAAGGTATAAAAGTGGACACCATAGCTGGGGTTGGGGAGGGCAAAGATGAGTAAGTTATTACTAATTATTATGAGCTGAAACATTTTTCTAGGAGAGTCAGAAGTCTTCAGTGCCTTCTAAGGAAGCATGAAACAAACTGAAACTCAGACACCCATTGCTCAGCCTCCTGCCAATTCAAAAACAAGCTTTCTGATAACATGTCTGTAAAACTGGTTATTTCAGGGTGTCAAATTCAGAAACTAGGAGGGGGCCAGGCACGTGCCTCAGTGATGGCAATCAACCAGGCTGAACAACAGACCTGCATTAGAATCCCTTCCGATGGGGAGAATGGACTTGGCCGCCATATGGGAAGGTGGACACAGTTTGCCAGTTCTCCTAAGTTTCCAAGAAAAATATCTTCACACAGTTGTTTCTGTTTTCAGGGAAAAATCCATCAACTATTCTATAAACCTAGATTTGTATATGAAAATTTCCAATTTTTAAACATTAACCGATTCTTTAAAGAATGTTTTCCAACTGTGCATGCCCACCAAAACCCAACTGTGGGCCAAACCTGGCATGTGGGCCATCAGCTTGAGATCTCTGGTGTGTTTACTGGACAAGAGTTAAGGGGATTTGGGCAGACAGAGAGTGAGAATCATTAGTGGCAAATTTTTTTTGAGAAGAAAACAAATCAAAACAACAACAGGGAGGAGTCCAGGGCCCTGGGAAGGAAGCCACCGGACTCTCTCTTCTGTTGAAGGAAGCCACCAGCATGGCAGGGAGGCCCAGCCACACAACAGCACCCTTCACTCTAGGCATTCCATATAAATCAGAAGTATTCACAGAGCAAGAGCCCTCCAAAGCCATTTTTTCCCAATACGAATATTGTCCGAGTGATTGTTGGGGGAATACACAAACAGACTGCAATAAAATTAAAAATAACTTTTGAAGGAAATAGTATATTGGAAGGATTCATTACAGAAGTTCAAACAACAGCCCATATGTTTCCCCCCTCTTTATGGTAGAATATACAGAGGGTCTGTAATAAAATGAGGGCAGGGAAGGGGGGTGAAGTAGGACTTGCTTGCTGAGGTAAAGGATAAGATCCAAACAGCAGATAAATAACCAAGATATCTTTATGATTATATAGGCACTTGCCTCCTGAGTTAGCAGAAATTTCCTTGCTGATATACATTTGCAATGAAGTTTTAATTAACACTGGTTGACTGTGATAAGAAATGAATAGTTTTCCTGTCTATTTTTCTGTCCATCTCCCAACCCCCACTCTCCATTTGTCGTTAAGTAAACCTATGAATTTAGTCCCTCTGGATATAAGTCTCTCTCTAACTTTATTGCTTAGAATCTAAAATCCCTTGTGATTTTCAGGTTGACTGAAGGTTACATGGCGATGATACAAGAACCTACCCAGAAGTTATGGTTGCTTATAATTTAAGAGAATTACATTTATTCTCAAAGTCTGTCCTAGGCTGTATACAATGTAAAATTTTATTTTATCTTTAAGATAATAAATTTTCCTATAAATCCTGGAACATATTAACTGTTGTAGACAAGTTTTTGAGGGCCTGAAGGAACGAAGAGTAGAGGAGGAACTTTTTCATACCCACACACAATTGTGCTCAGCCTTAAATTTTCATCACAGCATATATATTAATGATATTTTTATTTATGCTTTGTCCTACAGGCTTTGATTCACAGGAGTTGATACCAAAAGCTTAGAATATACAGTTCAGGCTTAATGAGGGATAAAGGGAAGTTGAGATTAGTTGTATCCTGAACCATCAGTGTAATTAATATTAATTAATTTACTTTTACAAAGGAAGAAATCATCTTTTCTTTTGAAGTTTATTTTCTAAGAAGCCCTGGAGGGAGACCATATCAGACACAACTGAGCTTGAAAGGTTTAAGAAAGTACACATATGAATTGTACACATTTATAAACAGAAAGAAAAGGAGATAAGGAAAGAAGGAAGAAAGGGAGGAAAGAGGAAAGAAAGGCAAAGAGGAAAGAAAGAAAGAGGAAAGAAAGGAAAGAAAAAGAAAAAGAGTAAGAAAGAAAGGAGGGAGGGAGGAAAGGAGGGAGGGAGGAAGGAAGAAAGAAAAGAAGGAAAGAAAGAAGAAAGAAAGAAAAGAAAGAAAGAAGAAGAGAAAGAAAAAAGAAAGAGAAAGAAAACAGAAGGAAGGATCTGAAGAAAAGAAAGGAAAGAAAGAAAGAAAAGAAAAGAAAGAAAAAGAGAGAAAGAAAGAAAAGAAAGAAGGAAAGAAAAAAAAGAAGACCTTTCCACTGTCATTTTAGCTAGGGAGATAATGAGATGCTGCCACTATCTTTCTCAGACCACCTTTAAAGTTTTAGGCTCTTTATTTCCTTTGCTTCCTGGTTAACCTTAAGTTTAAGCCCTAATAAAATCCAAATTTATGGGGATCAAGCTTGTCACCAGCCTTTCATTACTGCCAGTTTCCCTTCAATTTCATCTAACTCAGTTTGGGGCATTTAAAAATGTTTTATCACACTTAGTAGAGACGTTTGGTGTAGTCGCCAGCAAGCCAAATAATGAGTGTTTTGAAATAAGCCAATACGGAGGACTCAGATCAGGGACTAAGATATGGATAGTGCTTTAGAGAGGGGGGTCTTTGCTGGGCCCCAGTCCCTCATGTTTTAATCAGGAAAGGCGGGTGGCAGGTCACAGAGATTAGGTTTAACCTTCCTGATATACATCATATCTCTTGCCCTTTCAACCTTCTAGCAGTGTGAGGAGGCATTCTTTCTGAAACCCATAAATTAGAGACCAAGGTTTCTTTGCAAAGTATAATGACAAGATGACAGAATCCCCATGAAGCCTAATTCTTTTCCCTAGACACGAGATTTTTATTTATTTTCTTTGGAACGTTAAGCTACGATCAGTGGGTCAATGGGAGTACTGCTTTTTTTAAAAAAAAAAAGTTAAAAAAATGCTTTGGTCATGAATGCATTCTGCTAAGATTTAAGATAAAAAAGTTAAAAAAAAGCAAAGGACTCTTCCTCCTTTACATGCTTGTTTCAAAATCCACTAAGTAAGTTATTTAGGTTCTGAAAGTTGTATACAATGTAAATCCATCCGGGCTGAAGTAAAAAAAAAAACCCAGGAGCTGTAAAGCTGGTTTCTATATTGTTTGGACATAATACTGTTCTCAAGTGAAGCCATAAGGGAATAGGGCACTTAAAATAGGGTGTCACATTTCAAGGTAATAAATAGCAGATTGATTCTACCTCCCAATTGATCCTGCAGTTTACTTATACACAAGATGGAAAATAAAGTAACAAAGCCACTGTGATTTACTTTGTAGAAAGGAGACACTCAGTATTAGCTTAAGTGAATGCACAGGCCAACTCTGACAATTTATTACAGGCTCAGTCCAAATGTAGTTTGGATCAAGTTGCACTATTGGCACACACATATTACCATGCATTTAGCATCTCAACAATTAAACACACTTTAGGCCTCTCTATTTCTTAACATACATTTTGCTATGCTCTTCAAACTAGCCTTGTCATTCAACATTAGAAATCTGCCCCTTTTCTTTGCTTAACATAGGCTCTCTTAAATACTGGGACATCAACTTGTTCCTGTCTGTGTAGGAGTGGTTCCTAATATTTGGAAATTGGGATGTGATCTAGATGTTTGTTTTTGAAATTCCCTTCAATTATTTTCTTCCTTCCAAGCACAATGTTACATAATATGGCTGTTTCGTATTATGAATTGAAAACACTTTTATTCCAGGAGTGTTTGGGGGATTTCCCAGCATCCTTTGGGGCACCCTTATCCACTTGTGTGGGTTTAGGGGAAATTGATCCTGGCTTCTGAATGGCTGGCTCATATTGGAAGGTGCTGACTGGCTGTATCACTTCATTCTGGACAAAAGTACTGAATCACAACGATAGAACTTACGATTTTTTTTTTTTTTTTTTTTTTTTAGTTTTCACAATGTGTCATAAACTGTGGTAAGTACTTGTCAATTATTGCCAAATACAGTTTGCCTATTGTCAAAATAGCCCTATGAAGTAGGTGCTAATCTCTGCCTTTTTCAGAATGGGAAACTGAGGCTTACAGAGGTCAAACCACAGAATAAAGGATTCACACCCAGGCCCATCTGATTCCAGAGTCCATGATCTGGGCCAGTATTGTATAATGTCTCCAAGAAGGGCACATAAATATTGTCCCAAACTCTAAATTACTAATGGCTAAAAGTTCATTGTAAAGCTATTGTTTATAATTCTCCATTAATTTGTTTCATTGAAGCAAATTATCCATCCTAAACAGAAACCTGGTGTGAGGGCTCATGATATTGGTATGCAGTTTATATTACCCTGTATCATCTCCTCTTTTGTTTCTTTGATGCCATAATAGGGCATTTCAGTTTTGTTTCTAATCAGTACTTTTTTTGGTCTTCCCATGGACTTAGAATGCAAAAACAGCTTAATAAACTAAAATTGTTTAAAAAATGAATAGTGTTGAGAATGCATGAGCATTTAATTTTTCTCCTAACTCATTGGACAAATGAGAATACATGAGCATGTTTCTATGAGGTATAAGAAAACGATGTCAAACATTGCAGTGGAAGGCATACTTTCAAAAAAGATAAAGGAACATAGAGAACAATAGTCTTTCTGGCTTTCTGGTTCTATAAATATGACAGAGTAGATTACCCACTGCACACACACACACACACACACACACCCCACACAGATGTTCACACAATTAAAAAAAAGACTGCTAAAAAAATGGGAAAAAACTTCTTCTATTTTCTAAAGCATTACTGAGCTCTGCATTTTTGTTTAAGTAAAGAATCCTCAGGGAGAATAAAACAAAAGGAAAAGACAAATCTAGAGAAGGAAAAGACAAATCTAGAGAAGGAAGGTAGTATTCAAATTGGCTTTTGATTTCTAAATGGCTACAGAGGGCACAAGACATGGAAGACGAACAGATACCATTGTACCTCATTCTTCCTGTAAGGATGAAAGAGAAGCATTCCACATACACACATGTCACACCAGGAAGCATCACGGGAACTGGACTCCACTGTCTCCACCTTGAAACTGGATAGAAATAATTTTTAATCATGAAACTGCTCTCATTGTTGTTCGAAAATTCCTCAAGCTGAAAAATTATTTTAAAGTGGTGGCAGGTTTATGGAGCTCCCAGACAACTAGCAGAAGAAAATCAAATATTCTCTGCAGAAACAGAATTCCAAGTATATGCTCACAGCTAAAAATCACAAGCAACAAATGGAAGGAGATCTTATAGAAATAAAAGCCATAATCACAACACCGAAGCCTTTGGTAATGAAATAACAAAATGCAAAATGTAAACAAAATATGTTTATTATAATTAGAAAATATAAAAGGAGATTAAAATATGAATTAGATGTAAGAGGTGATACAAAAGATACAGTAGATTTGAAAAAGTACCAAATAGAACTTCTAAGACTGAAAAAGTAAATATAATTCTTGAAGTTAAAAACTTAATGGATGTTTTTAACTGTAAATTCTAAATAGCCAAAGATATTGTGAACTGGATTCTCAATCAGAAGGAATAATGCAGAATACAGTACGGGGTGACAAGGAAATAGGAAATAAAAGAAGAGGTTACGAGGAAAGAAAGAAAAGGTCCAACATATGATTCACCAGTTTCCCCCAAAAAACAAAATGAGAAACTGAGGGAGAGGCAATATTTAAAGGCTGAGACTTTTCCAAAATTTATGAAAGATACAAGACTCCAGATTTTACGAAACACAAGGATCCACCCCAAACTATATGCAGTCACCTTATAACAAAAACTAAAACTGTAAATGATCTTAAATTCAAGCAGAGAACAAATTATCCATAAGGAAAAACAATTGAACTGACAACTGACTTCTCAAGAGTGACATAGAAGACAATGAGATAAAATCTTCAGTACGCAAAAAACAAAAACAAAAATAAAAAACCAGTCAATTTAAAATTGCATGCAATGTCCAGCTATCTAGAATGAAGGCAAAATAAAGACGTACTCAGTTAAATGGAAATTGAGTTTAACACTAAAAGATTATCAATTAAGAAAAAATATGTTTTGCTATGAGGTAAAAGGAATTTGTATTTAAATTTAAATTTAGGTAAGCATTAGCCATATTAAAAATGATAATGCTATTTTGAGAAATTAAAATATATAGATACAAGATACTAGAAAAATTACAGTTGGAAGGTGTTGACTGGATTTGTAGCATTCTAAAATTTTAGGAGAAAAATACAGATATTAGTTAACTGTAGGTTTTGTAACCATGCATGCAAAAACCTTAGAGTTGCCACTACAGTTTTAAAAAAGAGGAAGCATGGATAATTTACAAAGCAATGAATGAAATAATGGAATTAATGGGGGAAACAAAAATATGGAAGACACAGAGGAGAAAACAGGAAAAAATGGAACACACAAAAAGCATGTACAAGATGGTAAAAATAAATACAAGTGTATCAGTAATCACAATAAATGTAAATGTACTAAATTTATTCCCTACTTAAAAAGCTTGACAAACCAGATTAAAACAATATAAGCAAAATGCAGATGGATGCTGTTTTTATGAGACATATCTGTAATATAAGAACAAATAAAGTTTGAAAGTGAAAGGATAAAAAAAGATATTCCCAACAAAAGCAAGTCAAAAAGAAAGTTATGAGGCTATCTTTCTTTCAGACAAATTAGAATTTAAGGAAAAAAACTGACCAGAGATAAAGATAATAACTGCCATATGAATAATAGAGTCAAATTAGTAAGAATCTTACACAAAATTTCTAAAATTATAAGTGCTTATTACCTAGCTTCAAAATACATAAATAAAAAAGCTAGACTCTCAGGAGAAATTAATAAAATCCAGCATCATTGTGAAGAATTTTAACATCCTCTTAATAAGTGATAAATGAAGCAGCCAAAATATTTTTTTTAATTGTAGAATATTTGGACAGCATATTCAATAAGCTTGATCTAAGGGACCTAAATAGATGAATGAATCCTCAAATTTAAAACAGTACACTAAATGACACTCACTAAAAATTTTTGAAAACTGGCCATGCATTGTTTTTCTTTTTGCTAGTATTAACAGTTTTTAAAAGCTTACATCATACTGTCATGTGAATCACATAATCAACAACTGATCAACAATAATAGTTAACATGCATTAACACTTAATTGTAACTCATAAATATATACAATTTAAAAAGGAAGTGAAAAGACAACCCACAGAATGGAATATATACTTTGCAAATCGTGTGTCTTATATCTTATAAGGAACTTCTATCTAGAGTATAAAGAAAGCTTGCAACTCAAAAATGAAAGACAAATAACCCAACAGATAAGTGGACAAAACATATGAATATACATTTTTCCAAAAGTTGTACTAATTGCTGATAAGCCCATGGAAATGTTCTTAACATCTCTAGCCGTCAGGGAAATACAAATCAAAGTTACAATGAGATACTATGTCACAACCATAATCAAAGGAAAGTTAATAATAGGTGTTAATAAGAATGAGGAAAAGTCAGAAAAACAATTTCAAATGGCTAAACATGTTGTTCCTATCACTTTCACTCCAAGAAATGGAAAATTAGAACAGTCATAATCACTAAATAAATTGAATCCATAGTTAGACATTGTTCCTTAAAAAGACTCCAGTTCCGAACAGGCTTCTGGTGAGTTCTACTCACTTTTAAAGAACAATTCCAAACAAACACAAAAATTTCCAGAGAAGAATAAAAGAAAAAAACCCTCTCCAGCATATTTTATGAGACTAGTAAGTTGTGATTCCAAAACCAGTCAAAGAAAATATGATAGAGAAAAACACAGGCCTATCTCACTAATGAAAAACAAATATACTAAACAAAATATTACCAAACAGAATCTAGTTATGCATAAAATAGATAATTCATCAAGACAAGTCGGATTTATCCCTGGAATTCAAGCTTGAATTAACATCTGGAAATCAAGGAATTATTCACCATGTTAATAAATTAAAGGAGAGAAACTACATGATCATCTTATTAGATGCAGGAAATAAGTGTTCAATATGTGTTACTGTCCATTTAGTTAAAAAGTGCTCAGGAAAAAAGAGGAACTTCTTAATATGACAAAGGATGTATTTTAAAAAAAATTAAGACAAGCATTTTATTGAATGTTGAAGTGACAAATGACTTCTATTTAAGATCACAAAGAAGGTAAGGCCAGCTCCTAGTACAATTTCTAGCCAACATCCCATGGCAGAGTCTAGAAAGCGAAGTAAGACAGGAAAAAACATATATGGAAGGATTATTAAGCAAATAAAAATGCCATGCTATGTAGATGATGTAGTTTGTCTATATAAGAAAGCTAAAATTATCTACCAAAAATTATGAAAGTGAAAGAGTTTAGCAAGGTTGCCAGTTTCAAAATAGCCAAAATATAGAGGTCGGTAGCTTTTATAAACACCATCAACAGTTAGAAAATGCAACAAAAATATTATTTACAACAGCAGTTTAAAGTAAAATACATAGGATTAAATCTAGGCCTTTTACTTTTCCATATATATTTGGAAAGTAAGTTGACTTTCAACTTCCATTGGGATTTTGAGTGAAACTACAACCAATCTATAGAAAACTCTGGAGACAAATTATATTTTTATGGCTTTAATCATTTTTTGTGGATAGCTAAACATTAACATTGATGATGTTCAAGATATAATGCTGTGGGAATAAAGTCATAGCTGATTACCTAATATAAAAATACTTTTGCTCAAAAACATACAAGACTGAACAGATTAGAGACACAAGGGACAACAAGAGAATGATCACACACCATTTAGAATATGGGAGTACCAAACACATTGCTAATCTATTTCTTAATAGGTTGATGAATATACAAATATACACTTTATTATTTTCCTTATTCTTAAAATTCAATATAATTATTTTGTATTATTTAATACAAACATAAGTGTCTTTAGGAAGACATAAACTGAAAGAAAAAAGGATGTCAAAGATAATCTACAGTGATTCTCAAACGGAGCATTAACAGTCAGTTAAAATGATGACGATGATGATGATGACAATAATAGTGGCTTTCTCTATGACATGCTACTAAGAAGTTTATTTCTAGTAATAATATACCAAAGCTGACGAATGGTTTACCTTCAAAAATTATCAATTAGAGCAGAATCAAACTTCTTTCTATTGTAACATCATGTTCACAAACTGGCTTTATCATCTGCTTTGAACAGGGCATGAAGACAGCCACAGCAGGAATCATGCCTAACCCAGGGCCAATTTTGCTATGCCTCCCTTGGAATGACCTACTATAACTGGTAAAACTTGAACAATTGAGGTGCTTAGATGCATAATTAGATGTGTTTTCCTAAAATTTTTTTTTGGAATTCTTTCAGATTCTGGGTGCATCCATGAAAATGCTTTGCATGAGTATATATTATTGATTTATTTCACTTTGACATAACAGTAGTCATCCAGAAAGGGATTAACATTTATTGAATATCATGTTAGGCAGTGAAACATATGATCTCATTTAATTTTTATGATAGTCTAATGAGATAGGTATGTCGACCTAAAAGGAAGAAGTTGAAGCAAAATCAATATACGTAGACATTTGATTTGGGTCAAGCTTGAGGATTGCAACCTGGGAGCTTAGATTCAAGTTGCCCTGAATATACACTCTGATTATATTAGGAGCAGTTACAAGTGGATTTTTAAAGGCAAAAAAGGGGGACTGTGAGTGGGTTTATAAAAAATTGTCAGGAATTCTCATTGGTTTACAGAAATAACATTGATTAGTGATTGGCTATACATTGTGAGGCTATAGGGTGTGGGTACAGCATCCAGTACCATATTATTAGGTTACTTTATAGCTTCCTGTGCAGTTTCAAGAGATGAATACACAGCTCAAGGGGGAAGCAGGACATGACTGCTGTCTCATTTTAATGTCTCTCTGGGCCTGATTATTTAAAAGGACTCACATTCCTTAGATAAAAGTTCTTTTCTCAGGTACTATTATTCTGTTTTTTATATCGGTGAAGAAATGCAGGCCTTAAAATGTCAAGAAATCTACCAAAGTTTTCTTTATTCAGGAGTGACTGAGTTGGGTTTGAACTCAGATCTGGCTGGTTCTAGAGCCCATTTGTCTGGCCCTCATCCTATTCTTCCTTTCTCAGGAGTTGAAAAGCTCCATTCAAATAAAACATCATTATTTTAGAGATGAATGCACCCTAAGATGGGGGTAATTTTGCCACATAGTTCAATTTAAGACCCCAAAATAGGCAATTAATGATAAGCATGGCAGGAAAAAGAGATCATATGAAACTGGGAGAAAGCATTTCAGCTGATTCCTAATGGTTTATCTGTTAAAGAGAAGAGGGCATGGGACTATCAGTGATTCTTAAGCTGTTCAGGCCACAGTATCTCTCCCTGGAAGGAAGTGCATGTGTACACATCCATGCATAATTTGCATATGATGCCAGGGGTTCTCTAATCCCTTGAGCTCCATCTTCAAGTCTTACCAGGAAGAGTAGATTCTTCTGGATCCCATAGATCTGTGAAATCCCTTCCAGCTTAAAAATTCGGTGATTCTAAAATATCTCTTCTAATAGCTACAAAAGGGAGCCTTCCATGCCAGAGGAAAGAACAGGCGCCTTTGGTCCTCAACCGTAAGCTATCTGCAAACTGAGAAACTCAGTGGGGTCTCTCCGATATTTTAGTGTGTCTACTGAGGAGGGCTTTGTGTCAGGCTTGTTGGCAGGAACACAGGAAATGAGGACAGGGGCATTAACAGCCTTTGTAAACAGCACCTTCAAGGTCTTCAATCACCAATTTGAGGGTGTTCACCACCAGGGTGGAAAAAAAGAGAAGAAGAGGTAAAAGCCAAACAGGAAATGCAATGAAGGGAGATGAAAGAAGATCAATAAAGGGAGAAACATTTGGTTTGAAGTCTTAACTTTAAAATAATGGAAACCCCCTGGCCACCCCCTCCAGAAAGTAATTTGGGGCATTACTGCAGGTCTGGCCCTTAGGTGTAATTGCCCCAAATTCCAGGCCCGCAGAGGTTTAGAATTCCAGGGCTTGTACAAATAATTCAGTTTGGGGATGTAGATTTATTACTACCTTTTAAATTAAAAAAAGATTTTAAGATTACTTAATGCTAAAAGAAGATACTGTGGATTTTAATTTTTTCCCTTCTTTCTGAATTAAGGAGAGGCAGAAGGAATTTTCCTTAGAGTATATGTCCAAAAGACAATGCAATGCCATATTAGAGAAATTAATCTCTATCTGAATTTCTGGAGCGGACAGGGAATGGGATTTTCCAGGGCAAGCAATCCTTCAGATCATTGAGTGTGAGACACTGGTCCCTGTGGCCTCCTAGGTCATTCAAAATTCAACAGTCTTTGCCTAAGGAAATATGTAGCATCATCCCTAGAGATGCTAGGACTCTTGAAAAACCAAGCACTATGGGGTACTTTAGAAATTCCAGGTCCAACTGGCAGCACAGGAGTGAGTAGAGAATGAAAACACATTGCTTCTGAAGCCTTTAATTTTCTTTTAGGCATTCATTTTGTTTTTAAGATCTTGAACCAAATGCCAATTTTAGGAACACATTTTTCCTTTGTGTTTTGCACAGAGGAGAACAGAGAGTTGAAGATATTCTAGAAGGAAGGCAAAAGGATTGGAGATTTAAAAGAAGATAAGGAGACAGACACACGATTCCAATTATATGACTGAAGTGGCCATTATGTGGGGGCATGAAAGTATGAGCAATTCCAATCCCATCCCTAAATCGTTTCTCAAATTCCACCATTTAGAGAGCTCACCCTATCTCTGTAGCTTGGAGAGTCTTGAGGTGAAATGAAAATCCCAAATGATTTTCCAAATTGTAGTTTGCAAATTAAATAGGACCAAGTCACCCTTTCTGCTAATTTTATAACAACAGCTGTGTTTAAAATTAAACACCTGTCTTTCCTTATTATTATGGCTCAGCAAAAGAAAGAAGATCCATTATTTTGAGAAGAATTTATTTATTCATTAAATAATTTTTTTTTAAATTTACTTTGATTTGGTCTCTCATTGAAGCACTCAACCAATAGGGTGTGGACAGCATAGAATAATTTTTTTTCTCCCACATTCTCCTTTCTTTTTCATAAATGTAGAATTCTAGGCAGAAAGTGAATCCCTGTAAAATTTTAGGCACACAGTCAGAGTGACAGAGAGATATTAATAAATGCCATTGCAGGCCGGGTGCGGCGGCTCACGCCTGTAATCCTAGCACTTTGGGAGGCTGAGGCGGGTGGATTGCCTGAGCTAAAGAGTTCGAAACCAGGCTGGGCAACATGATGAAACTCTGACTCTACAAAAATACAAAAAAAAAAAAAAAAAAAAATTAGCCGGGCATGGCAGCATGTGCCTGTAGTCCCAGCTACTCGGGAGGCTGAGGCAGGAGAATTGCTTGAACCTGGGAGGCAGTGGTTGCAGTGAGCAGATATTGTGCCATTCCTCTCCAGCCTGGTGACAGAGCAAGACTCCATCTAAAACAAAACAAAACAAAACAAAAAATGCCACTGCAGTTACTTTTACTTTTATTCTCTGATGTTTTTTGTTTTTTTCATTTTGGGGAGAGGCAAACATTTTACAATAGATGCTTTGTGACATCTAAATTACTTATCTCCTCTGTCTAAATCCTAGTGATTTATAAGTCTTAATTTTGTAGATATTCCCCCATGATTCCTCTCCTCTGGGACCTCATGCTTTCTTTACATTCTTCTACTTGGGCCACAGTTTCTATGGTCACCAGGTCACAGAGCACTAACTGTCACCATAAACCATTGAGATTGTTACCTCTATCTTGGGCCAATTTGAGGGAGGCCAGCTTTTATCAGAGCTGTACATCATACCTGCGCACACATAGGGCAGTAAGTTGGGGAAGCTCCCATCAAAAACCCACTGACCACTGGTTCTCAGTCATGGTGGCCCGCTAGACTTATCTGGGGACTTCTAAAAAATACCACTGTCCAGTCCTCACTTCCAGACTTTGAGATAATCTGGTATTTCTAAGCATCAGGATTTTTTAAAGTTCCTGGTAGATTCTACATTGCAACCAAATTCAAGAAATACTATCTTAGAGTCTTTATCTTTTTTGATTGCAGATTTCTTTCCTGCTCCATTGACAGAATTAATGTAGCTCCAAATATGGGAAAACTTCTATGCACATTTCTTCTGCAAACTTCTGAGACTGGGAATTTTAATAGCCATCAAATAACCTCCCTTTTCCTCACCTTCCTGCCCCCAGCCTGGAAAAGCTGCCCATAGGGTTATTTATGAAAGTGGAGTCCATGCCGAGATGCAAATTGCAACTGTGTCCGTAGAACCAAATCAGCTCTTTTAACAAAATGTGTGCTCTTCTCTGATTCCCTGAAATCTGTATCAAAACCCAACTCCTCAAATATTTTGATGGGATTTGGCACCAACATAAGATTCCTCTCCTGCTGCGGTTCGGTGCCTGGGTTCTGTGGTGTCTGGAGGCACCTTTGTAGGTAGTCTCGGTCTTCGTCAGCCGGCAATTAAATCAGTGCCGAAGCGGCTTCATGTTCAGAACCTGAACTATGTGATGTTTTAAGAAATGATTGTTCAAGCTTAGTGGGAGTGGGAGAAATCTGATGTTTAATTGTAGGAAATTTCACATGAAAGGCATTCAGCAAACTCATAAGGCTCTTCCTTCCAAAACTCTCTTCTTTATGCCAGGTGCAAAGTGGCTTTAACACTCAGAGGCAAAGTATCTCTTACACCATAAAACACTGTTCTGGGTAAACATGAAGTGGTTTACTAGAGAGAGTGTAAACTTCCCAGAAAGATTAGATAATGGCTCCTCAGCAGGTGCAGCCTCAGACATCTATGGCCATGGATGGAAAATCTCTGCATGACTTGATTTAAACAGCAACTATGAAGCCCTCTCTTCAAATTAGGAAAGAGATATAGGAAACAAGAGAATTGGATCTAAATGTAGGGTTTCATTTGATCCTCGGATACCTTGCAGATTCTAAGATCTATTTAAACACTGAAAAAATCTAAGAGCATGATGGCAAGTGAATTTGCAAGTGAAAAGTGCAAATGACACAGTTAATAACCATGGAAGAACAACGCCAGCTGTAGCACACTCTTTGGCCTTGCAAGTTCTCAGTCATGAAAGATGCAGAAAGTGGAGGATGCAGTTTTGCTCACTTGCAAATGATTGGGTTCAATATGAATAGGCTATGCATTGAAGCTCTGGCAGACAATGCAGGTTAAAACCGTGCCTTTTGCTCTGCCTGGATTTCCATGACCTTTGAGTAGACTTCTGGGGCAAATGATCCAACTCCCTAACCCCTCACCATATACAGGATCTCTACCGGAACCTCTGTTTAGATGAAAATGCCATCTTTCATGAGCATGAGAATTTAATCCAGTAAAATAGCTCTGCAAAATGACTGCACTCAGCTTTGATTACTTCCTTCTGATTTCCTTTGGCATTCTGCTCATTTGGGATGAGTAGAAGGAGTGACCTATTCTGTGTGAAAGATGTGGTTAAAGAAGTAGGAGAAGAAAGGGAAAGACACATTCTCCAACTTAGAAATTACTGCTGTCACTGTATTTTAAAAAATATAAGCAGTGGTATAAATTGAAGGCAAGAGGGGCTAAAATTAACTTAAAAATGCAGCAACTCTTTGAGAAAACTGAAGGTCTTTTTTGGCACTGGGGAATCAATATTCTACAAAATAATTGTTTATCTATCTGAACATTCTGATTTGAATTCATAGCCCTGTTATCTTTTCATTTTTCTTTATAATATTTTAAAAGAGGTACCTAACCATTTGCGTAGAACAAAACATAAACAGAACAGAATGGTACGCAGTTAAAAGTAGGTGACTTCCCATGCATATCCTCCAGGCATTGTCTTCCATCCCAAGAACAAGCACCTGTATCTTGAAATCCAGGCTGAGAGCATGGGGCTAGATACAAAATCCATGCCAGGGTATTCAGATTGCTGATGACACACGATGGGGCAGCTTATGAGGTCATTCCACAGCCCAAGGAGAGAAGCAGTATTATTTATGGTGTGCCATGAGTCTTATATTTGACACCACATTTGACTCCATCAATACCATGTCAGGACCAGCTACATAATTTGTGGGACTCAGCGCAAAAAACATAAGAATTTTAAGATGGTGCCAGAAGAGCACTAAACTATGATTGCATGGGTCCACATGTCCACAAAGCCTACCTGAAGCACATACTGGGGGAGTATTATCCCCAGTGAACAAATGAGGGAATGAGGCCAACAGAGGCAAAACGACTTGCCCAAGATTGTTTGGCCAATGGGAGTCACATTCACACCAGACATATTGGACCCCCAAAACGGCAGCGTGTCTGCAATCTTGACTGGCTTAGCCCTTCAACTTTTCAAGAACATCTTCCTGGGTCACAGGGGCAAATCACCATGCCATAATGTCCGTATGGTACTCTTAGAAAAGAGTCCACTTGAGGAACGTTTAGGATGACCAGCACATTATGATAATTCAAACCAAATTACAATCCTTATCTTGGATTATGAAATACCATTCAGAGTGAGATTTCATAAGATGAATCGGGCTTATTTATAATAAGTATGTCTAGTCAAAATAGGAGAACTACTTAACATTATAATTAAAACCGATACATATCTAGTTGAAAAACTATCCGGTCCCTAAAATACTTCCACAGGAGACGGTTACATACTTTGGCACAGAATCCCCCTGTCACTTCCAAAACACTGACTTTTTTATTCTGAAGGGGAGATTTTAAATTTTCCCACAATATCATATCAAACAAGAGTCCAGCATTATGCATTCAATGAGCCTCAGCACGCAGCAGCCCCGACATCAAACGCACTTGTGTTGTAAGTTGAGACTCAAGGAAATATTTATTTATTTAAAATATTTTTGTCCATAAGTTACACAAACAGCAATATTTTATTTCACTGTGTTTTAAAACAGCCCTGTAGACAGAAATCCTACAGACCCCGTCTATGATCATGCTTACATCTGTAGACAGATTTAATTATCTTTTCTTTAAAGTCAGATACCTACTGACAATTTTACATATGAACCTAGTTCACTTGGAAGTGGGCGGGAGAAACCAACTATAGAAAATCATACAATCTTTTTGCATTATATTCATTATTTTCTCCGTAAATTTGACCAAAAGCACAGCAACTCTCCTGATGGCAGATACGGAAGTGGGAACCAGTGGCAGACAGAGCTGTATGGGTATTTTCAAGGAGACCCAAGCAGGGCAGATGCAGGTGGCTGGATGATGACATGGTTACTACTGGGAGAGATTGGAATCATCTCTTACAAGTGGTCCCATTTTCAAAATCTTCAAAGGAGGGGTTTTTACAGTGTCACTGCTGATTACTTAAGGTATCGAACATTCGTCTTTAAGACCAACTGAAATCTTTCAGTGTTTTTTTCTGACGTCTTTTATTTTGAAATAATTGACATCTTCCTTCCTTCCTTCCTTCTTTCCTTCCTTTCTTCCTTCCTTTTCCTTTTTTGAGATAGTATCTCACTCTGTCACCTAGGCTAGAGTAGAGTGGCATGATCACAGCTCACAGCAGCCTCAACCTCCCAGGCTCAAGCAATCCTCTTGCCTCAGCCTCCAGAGTAGCTGGGACTATAGGCATGTGCCACCACACCCAGATATATATATAATATATATATCATATATATATTATATTATCTAGATAGATAGATAGACATGTTATCTAGATAGATATATAGATAGATAGATAGAGAGAGAGAGAGAGATAGAGATATATAGTAGAGACTGGATCTCTACATGTTGCCCAGGCTGGTCTTGAACTCTTGAGCTCAAACAATTCTCCCACCTTTTCCTCCCAAAATGCTGGGATCACAGGTGTGGGCCACCATGCCTGGCCTCCATTTATTGCTATTAGCAGTGAGCATGAGCTAGACTAGTGGTTCTCAAACTATGGCCCCTGGAACATAGCAGCATCAGCTTCCCCTGGGCACCCACAGAATCAGAAACTCTGAGGTTAGGGCCCAGCAATCTGTGTTCTAACAAGCTTTCCGATAGATTCTGATGTGGACTACGGTGTGGGAAACACAGAGCTGGAAAATGAGAACCTAATTTGGGATGAGTTTTCTGGAGAAATAATACAATTTTGGTGACGTTTCAATTCTATCAAAGGAGAGATCCTGCCTGGCCTCAAAGCGAGACGCTTGGCCTCAGACAATGAGGAAGGGTGCATATTCACACACTTCTCATTGTTTTTTATGTACCTTTAAAGCTGGTGTGTTCTAAAAGTAAGTATGACTTCTGGTATTAAATCAAATGTCATGGATTCTATGACAGCTATGTCTTAAAAGTCTTGGGTCTCAACCCTCACTGTGCACCAGAATCACCTAGGGGAACATCTGGAAATAGCCAGATACCCACTGTCCCCTTAATATTCACATTTAATTGTTCTGGAATAGGACCATATCTTTTTAAAGTTTTTATATGATTCTAACGTGCATTCAAGGCTGAGGACTCCAAACTCATGGCATTCCTGCTACTATTATTTGCAAATGTTACTTGGTGCCATTTTTGGTAAAACAAAAAACAAAAAACAGAAAAACAACAAAAAAAAACCCTTGAAATTTCAGTTATCCCTTTACTGTAAAGGAGTCCTGGGCTGTGAATCTGAATTTTGTGAATCTATCTGAATATTGATGTGAAAGTTCCTTTCTCCCTCTAGGCCTCAGTTTCTCTCCCTGTCCACTGAGGATCTTGCCAACTGATGCTCTCTGGTTCTATGACCCAGTGAGTGGTCCCGAGGCTTCACAAAAGGGAGGCACACTAGAGGCTGGTGTTGGCAGTGCCCATGGACAGAGAGCCTCAGAGTAGACAGGGTTCAGTCCTTATCTGCTGCTGGCCCCAGCTGAGTTGAGCCTATATGACACCAAAGATGCAAGTGAAGAAGGAGTGACGTAAACATCCCAGTCTCCCTCTTCTACTCAGATGTTTGGCATTAAGAATGCCCTAATAAATGACACATCGTTTTCTGAGACCTGGGTAGTCCCCAGCCCCTATCCCAGCAGTGCAGATTGGGGTCCCTCAATCATTCGCACCCCCAATCAGTCTTCTGTTATTTAAGATGATCCTCCTCCCTAGATGTACCATACTGAGTCCACTCAACCAAAAGCTCCCTCTGAAAGCCCCCTGAGGGAGGGACTATGTCTTAAATTTTGTTGAAGCCTTTATGAGGTGGTGTTCAGTTCCTTGCCTGCAACAAAAATGTCTGACATATTTGTTGACTTGGAATTCAAGGCAATGTGTCAACATATGAATAACTGTTAAGTTCTGTTTTTAAAAAGAGAGTGAATGAAAATAGCTAATAAAGTTGACGACGGTGGTAAAGAAAGCTAATATTTGCTAAGAATAATGTGGTGCTATGTAGGTTTACACATTTAATCTTCACAGCAAACTCATGAGGTGGGCACCGTAATCCCACACATCAAACAGGTAAGGAGATTGGAGCTCCAGAGGTTAGGGAACTTGCCCATGTCACCAAATACTAGGTGGTAGTGGGGATTCCAACCCAGCCTTCTCTGACTTCGAACTCTTACCCAACTCTGTAGCATGACTTTCCACTTCTCTCTGTGCATTCCTATTTAACATTTTAATATAATTATAATCAACCAATATTTGTGTTTAGACTTTGTGCCAGCTCTTTGTTAAGCCCTAGAGTTATAGAGATGGGTAAGACGAGCTTCCATCATCAGAGATTTCATAATTGTACAGGGAAGACAGACGTGTAAGTCATCAATATATATTCACGGTTAGAAATACGTGCAAAAAGAAAGGAGTCCTTAATTCTTCTTGCATTATGTTATGTGCTCTTCAAAAAAGTTGGTCAAGGAAGGTAACAGTTATCCTGTACTACAGGGGAGAATTACTGTTACATAAAGGCAAGAATGCATACATGTATGTGCATATATGAATATCAACACATATATTTACATATGTAATATTGTATAGGTGGGCACATTTGCAATATTTCCTAAAATTTTCTGATTGTAAGAACTTGTTAAAAAAATCCCCAAATGCAACACCTTTTATCAAGTACCCTAGGAGATTATTTTGGCTCTGACAAGTTTGGAAAACATGCATATACATAAAATGGACTTTATGTCTCCTCCTTTTATAAGTGATTATAATTTTCTGGATATAATTCTTAAGTATAATAATTTTTTTTACTGAATTCATTATTACTTGGATTTCTCAATACCGCAAGTTAAATTGTGCTGCTTGAAACATAACTACTTGTAGGTAAAATTTCAATATAATAAACTGACAATAGAACTTTTAAAATATTCTCTCCCACAACATACACACACACACACACACACACACACACACACACACACAGAGGATTACTTTGTTCCTAAGCAAAGATGCTCAAAACTTGTTTGTTAAACAATTCAATGAATACAGTTAACCCTAAGCTGAACAGTAATTCTTTAAAATATCAGCATTACAAAAATAATTGCATCCAAATTACTATGTCTTACATAAGCCATCCATGCAAAATTACAGGGGACACTGTCAAATCTTATTTTTCTATCTCTCATCTTTCAGCAAAAGCATCTAAGTGCAAAGTGCCTTTCTACACTCCACAGTCCTGTTTATTGGTCATAATGTATTAATGGGCAATCCAGATCTCCAAATCCACCTTCCACTTTGTGTTCCCCTTGTTCCCCGTCTGTTTACAATTTCCAAACAATTTTACAGTGAAATTAAGGAAGGCCTGCATTAACATCAAATATTTATTCCTCTGTGATTCTGATTTAGAATTTAGCTTTGGAGTAAAACCCAGGGCCAAATTGCTTCTGTTAATCAGCTCTACAGGAGCTTCGTCCATCCTCCTAGGAGCTGACAATACACCAAGTCTGTGTTCCTCCTGCATGCCTGCAGCAAAAAACAAACAAACAAACAAAAAAAAAAACAGCAGTGGGATCTTATGATTTGACACCAGAGCCTTCCATGGTTGGGACTTTGATGGAGTAAGTAAGGTAGAATGTGAGTGAGCCGGCCCAGAAAGCACTTCTGAGTAAGTTTCAAAAGCACCATCCTATAGGTATGCCCTACTCAACACTCTACTGCAGCTACAAATGGTATCCAGTTGTTGCAAGCCAGGCAAGTCAGAGCCAGTAAGATTCAGTTCTGGAATTTTGATTTGAAAGAAAAATTTTCTTTCTGCTCTACTTACTGAAAGATTAATAATAATAATAGCTTTCTTGCTACAATATCAATTCAAAATAATAGCCCCTTTGGCTCTAAGTTGGCATACTTTTGATCCTATGGGTTAACTTTATGGAAATGGATTAATCAGCACTCTTGCAAATGACAGAAACCAGTTTATTGGCTCAAACAGAATTGTCACGACTTGGTTGCTTTTCTCATTTTCTTGATCCATTTTCCTCTATGTGGCCTCACTTCAGGCTGGGTTTTCCCATCCTGTGGCTAGAGGGTCACCAGTATTATCAGCTTATAGCTTGTTCTTTCATTAAGTCCAGCAGAAATAAATTTCTTTCTCTACCCAAAATCCAGAATTGAGTCTCACTGACTCTGGCTTGCCTGTGGTCAACTGGTCAACCCTTACAAAAATGCAGTGGACAGGCTGAATGTGACACTCAGATTAGCCAGGTCTTAGTATCATGCACACCCCTAGAAGTATGAGCTTTTACTGGGGCTGAAACCCACTGGAAACATGGAACTAAAACTTGGGAAGAAGTAGCTTTGCTTTTATCAGAAGACGAAAAATGGACCCTGGGCAGACAAGACCAGGAGAAAACAAATTTGTTCCTAAATAACCTTCATGGCAGAAATGTTTGCCAAGGTGTAGACATCAAACAATATGATTATAGCTTACTATCTATTGTTTAAATAATTTTCAAAAAAAAGGTGAACTCATGACTCTCATACAGATATACAAGGAACACATGTCAAAATTTGCATTTAAGTCATTAAGCAAAATGAGGATACAATGCAGATGTCACAAGTAGTTCAAAGGAGAATCTGAAGAACATCCATGGTATTAGCTTGGGAATATTGAAATGAACTTGAAGATGAATGCAAAACAGTCTTTCCATAGTGAGGGAGGGCTGTTCCTTCACAAGACATAATGTAGTTGCATGTCTGTAGAAAGAACCCTTCGCATTGCCATGAGTTCTCTAGTCCTTACAATTAACGGCTAGAACCAGAAAACTTGGAGGAGGGTGTCAAAATTGTACAAAATTTTCCACGAGAGATACCCGGTGATCTTTTTTGTTTATTTCAAATTTCTTTTACTCTTCCTCCCAAGGAGAGATTATTCTGATTACCAAATAAGGTTGATTTCATTAACACTGGCCTGATTATTTACATACGTGGAACAAGAGTATTCATTTGAGACAGGAGAATAGGATTTGGAGGCAGGGAACCTAAGGCCCCACCCTCACTTCCTAGAACTAATTGAAAGGAAAACTCTAACTTTCCACACCTAAGTAGCAAAAGGACCAGAAGCTACTCTCTTTGCGAACCCCCATGTTTTCTGCATGGCAGATGGGAAATTGAAAGTACCTCTGACTGGTTGTTTTTTGCAACCAATCAGACCTTTGCATAGCTGTAACTTTACTCCAGCATCGGATTGGTTGCTGTCCGCAACCAATTTCTATACAAATACATATGTATATTTCTAACAGTTATATAGAAATTAAACAATATGTTCCTGAATGACGAGTGGATCAATGAAGAAATTAAGAAAAAAATGAAAAATGTCTTGAAACACATGATAAGGAAAACACAACATACCAAAACATAGGGGAAAGAGAGAACAAAACCAGTACTAATAGGAAGTTTACAGCTATAAGTGCCTACATCAAAAAATAAAACAAAAAAACTTCAAATAAACAACCTAATGACACATCTTAAAGAACTAGAAAAGCAACAGCAAATCAAACCCAAAATTAGTAGAAGAAAAGAAATAATAAAGACCAAAGCAGAAATAAATGAAATTGAAATAAAGAAAACAATACAAAAGATAAATGAAACATAAGGGATTGTTTTTTGAAAAGTTAAACAAAATTGACAAACCATTAGCTACACCAACTAGGAAAAAATTAGAGAAGACCCAAATAAATAAAATCAGAGATGAAGAAAAAGATATTGCAACTGATACTTCAGAAATTCAGAAGATCATTAGTGGCTACTATGAGCAACTATGTGCCAATAAATTGGAAAACCTAGAAGAAATTGACAAATTCCTAGACACATACAACTTATCAAAGTTGAACTATTAAGAAATTCAAAATTCAAACAGACCAATAACAAGCAATGACATCAAAGCCATAATAAAACTTCCAGCAAAGAAAAGTCTGGGACCCAAAGTCTTCACTGATGAATTTCACCAAACATTTAAAGAACTAATACCATTCCTATTCAAGCTATTCTAAAAAACAGAGGAGGGGGAATACTTCCAAACTTATTCTGTAAGGCCAGTATTACCATGATAACAAAAGCAAAGACACATAAAAAAAAGAAAACTACAGGCCAGTGTCACTGAAGAATATTGATGCAAAAATCCTCAGAAAAATACTAGCAAACTGAATTCAACAACACATTAAAAAGATCATTCATCATGACCAAGTGAGATTTATTCCAGGGGTGCAAGGATGGTTCAACATATGCAAGTCAATCAATGTGATACATCATATCAACAAAATGAAAGATAAAAACCATGTGATCATTTCAATTGGTGTTGAAACAGCATTTAATAAAATTGAAAATACTTTCATCATGAAAACCCTCAAAAAACTGGGGATAGCAAGAACATACCTCAACATAATTAAAGCCATATATGACAGACCCACTGCTAATATCATACTGAATGGAGAAAAACTGAAAGCCTTTCCTCTAAGACCTGGAACATGACAAGGATGCCCATTGTCACAACTGCTATTCAACATAGTACTGGAAGTCCTAGCAGAGGAATCACACAAGAGAAAGAAATAAAGGGCATTCAGATTGGAAAGGAAAAAGTCAAATTATCCTTGTTTCCAGATGATATGATCTTATGTTTGGAAAAACCTAAGAACTCCACAAAAACACTATTAGAATTGATAAACAAATTCAGTAAAATCGCAGGATACAAAATCAATGCACAAAAATCAGTAGTATTTTTATATGTCAACAGAGAACAAGCTGAAAAAGAAATCAGTAAAGTAATCCCATTTATAATAGCTACAAATGAAATTAAAGATCTATGAATTAACCAAAGAAGTAAAAGATCTCCATAATAAAAACTATAAAACATTAAATGCATGAAATTGAAGAAGACACAAAAAAATGGAAAGAAATTCCATGTTCATGGATTGGAAGAATCAATATTGTTAAAATGTCCATACTACCCAATGCAATCTACAGATTTAATACAATTCCTATAAAAATACCAATGACATTCTTTACAGAAATATTTAAAAAAAAATTTATATGGAACTACAAAGAACCCAGAATAGCCAAAGCTATCCTAAGCAAAAATAACAAAACTAAGGAATTACATTGCCTGACTTCAAATTATACTACAGAGCTATAGTAACCAAAATGGCATGGTACTGGCATAAAAACGGACACATGGAACAATAGAACAAAATAGAGAACCCAGAAATAAATACATACATCTATGGTGAACTAATTTCTGACAAAGAGTCTAAGAACATACATTAGGGAAAGGACAGTCCCTTTAATGAACGGTGCTGGGAAAACTGGATATCCAAATGCAGAAGAATAAAACTAGGCCTCTCTCTCTCACCATGTACAAAAATCAAATAAAATGGGTTAAATACTTAAATCTAAGACCTCGAACTATGAAACTACTAAAATAAAACATTGGAGTAACTCTCTAGGACATTGGAGTGGGCAAAGAATTCTTGAGCAATACCTCACAGGCTCAGGCAACCAAAAATGGAAAAATTAGATCACATTAAGTTAAAAAGCTTCCATATAGTAAAGGAAGCAATCAACAAAGTGAAGAGACACCCACAGAATGAGGAAAAATATTTGCAAACTACCCATCTAACAAGGGATTAATAACCAGAATATGTAAGGAGCTCAAAAATCTCTATAGAAAAATATAATAATTCAATTAAAAGTAGACAAAAGATTCTGAATGAATGTTTCTCAAAAGAAGACATACAAATGGCAAACAGATATATGAAAAGGTGCTCAATATCACTGATTATCAGAGAAATGCAAATCAAAACTACAATGCAACATCTTGTCACCCAGTCAAAATGACTTTTATTCAAAAGACAGGCAATAACAAAGGCTAATGAGAATGTGGGGAAAAAAACCCTCATACACTGTTGGTGGGAATGTAAATTAGTACAACCACTATGGAATACAGTTTGGAGGTTTCTCAAAAAACTAAAAATAAAGCTACCATACTATCCAGTAATCCCACTCCTAGGTATATCCCCAAAAGCAAGGAAATCAGTATATCGAAGAGATATCTTAACTCCATGTTTATTGCAGCACTATTCACAACAGCCAACTTAGAAGCAACCTAAGTGTCCGTCGACAGACAAATGAATAAAGGAAATGTGGTACGTAGAGGCAGTGGAGTACTATTCAGCCAGAAAAAAAGGAATGAGATCCTGTCATTTGCAACAATATGAATGGAACTTGAGGTCATCATGTTAAGTGAAATGAGTTAGATACAAAAAGACAAATGTCCTATATATTCACTTATCTGTGGGAGCTAAAAATTATACAATTGAACTCATGGAGATAGAGGGTAGACGGATGGTTACCAGAGGCTGGGAAGGGTAGTCAGGGCAGTGGGATGTAGAAGGCATGGTTAGTAGGTACAAAAACATAGAAAGAATAAAGAAGTCCTAGTATTTGCTGGCACAACAGGGTGACTATAGTGAAAAAACAATTTTAATTGTGCATTTTAAAATAACAAAAAAAGTATAATTGGATTGTTTGAAATACGAAAGATAAATGCTTGAGGTGATGTATACCCTATTTACCCTGATGTCATTACTATGCATTGCATGCCTGTATCAAAGTATCTCATGTAATCCATAAATATATACACATACTATGTACCTGCAAACAATTTTTAAAGATATCATTAACATGAAATAAAATCATTGCTGCTTTCATATCAATCAGCAAAATTTTAAAATGTTATCAGTTTCAATTTCTAATATAGTAAGTATCAGTAGTTATAATCTATAAAAATCAAAGTTCTTTGAGGCCTAAATAAGTTTTAAGTGAGTAAAGTGGTCTGGAGATGGAAATAAACAGAAGGGAGATTCACGATATTAGGACAAAACAGAATATTTGAAAATTCTTGAAAAGCAGAAGCATGTACAGTTATATTTCTCTTTTACTCTTTCTCTTAATATAGTCTCAAATATTTATACTAATTAATACTTTAATCAAGGTAACTAACTTCCCTTTCAGGAAGAAAACTGAAGAATGAATAATTGAAAAACGTCTGTCACACACTGACATTCAACAGCCACTCATATTCTTTATACAGCTTCCCTAAGTGACAAATATAAACTTCTTCATTAACCTGGTCCAAATATATAGCATCTCTGTAGTGTATAAAAACAAAAAGGAAAGCAAAAACAGACAACCTTGAAAATATGTTTAGTAGTCAATGCTTTTTAGTGTAGTGTACCTTAGTTAGAAATAACCTACTATAGAATGGTTATCCGTTAATTAACTCCATTTAACATCATTCTCAGATTTTTAGTTACCTAAAGATGTGGGAATTTATCTTCAAGCTGACACACTACTGAATATAATTACTGTTGAAATAAGTAGTTTGTGAGAATAAAATGATTCAATTTAGTTAAACATAAAGTTATATTTACATTTTTCATAATTTAAACATAATAGAATGTATAAGTTTAGGAAAATATACCCAAGCATAATAAAAATATTTGCTTGTATTATAATTGACATGGAAGAAAAGAGAAGATACAGTGGTTTTTAATAAACAAAAATTATTAAACTAGTCTTGTTTGCCAAAGATTTGCCTTAATTATATGAAATTCAGTTACTAAAGTATTTCTGAGTTATTTCTGTAAGGATATTTTTCTTGTAAGTATACAATAGTATCAGAAATTTAAAGTATTAGAAATTTAATTTTCTTACATTTGGGAATTTTAGGAACATTTAATCTGCACATATACATATTTAGCTTTATAAACCAATTAGAACAGAATTCCTTTCATTTAAGACACCTTACAATATAATTTATTAATATTCTTGGGAAATATGGAAACATTACATATGCACTTAGAGTAAAGTCTTGTCTGAATTGCAGACATGACGTGTAGACAGGGAGACACGTAGAAAACTTGAAGCTTCTATTCTATAATTTCAGCCAAAGATCAAGAGAAAATCCAGAACACAAAAGCTCACCAGTCTGACTATCAAGGAGCTGTTCCCCTTCCTGGTAGGCAAAAAAGTCTTATTTGATTTGAACTAAAAATAAACAAACAGACAAAGGATAATGACTAGCAAGCCAGATTCTGTCATCTCTCACCTAATGGAGACTGGATCTCAACCGACCATTAATCTACATCCAGAGATCACCAAATGCTCTGACCACAAAACTAAATTCCCAAGTCATTATTTCCACCCATGGAAAATAACTTATTAGCCATAGACACAGTAAAAGCAAAAACAAAGAATAAAGCAAAGAAGAAAATTAAAATCAGAAAAGAGGAGAATCAGCAAAGTATTTGTGCCAATTCAGATTCATCTGATTCAGACTGAGAGCTAAGCAATGACATGCGTGGGCTTAAGCTGTCATGAAGTTCACCCTTTGACAGTGAACGTTAATCAGCTCTGACAGGTGAATCCACTGGACATCTGGAAGTATCTTGCAAACTGTCAAAATATAATTTTCAAACAAAGGTATAATTACAACACTCATACACATAAAAAATGAACATACGTCAACGATTTTATATAACATGCTATTAGATGAAGGAACAAGGTAGATGCTATAACAGGGTCAAAGGAGAATTCAAACAGTCACATTTATGGATCAGGAATATTGAAATGAATTTGCAAACAGATGCAAAACTGGCTTTTCCGTGGTAGTGATGATGCTAGTGTGATGGTGGGTGGGGAGTGTGGGTGAAGGAATGTTGTTTCTCCACTGGATAGAATTCGTTTGCATGCTCGTAGACAAAAATCAATTGCATTGCCATCAGTTCTCCACAACTTACGGAGCTGTAACACAGCTCAAAGTCAATGCAAGGCCAGGATCAGATTACCCAGACAGGTGTCTTCTAAACAGTGAATAATTTCCTATTGGAGACACTCAATGATGTTTTTTGCTTATTCCAAATTTCCTTATTATGAATGTGGCCAGAGTCTGACTGGCTTTGAGAAAATAGGATGTTCCTACCAAAAGCATCCCGGCAAGTATTCAGATTATCCATTGCAGTTAAAGGAAGAGATTGAATTTAACAGCTATGTACAGCTACTACGTCCAATGTAATGTGCTAGGCTATGTTTCAAGGATTGAAAAATGAATAAGACATTGGAACTAGTTCTTACTTGTGCTCAATGAGACCATGCTTAATTTGCCGCAGAAAGGCTTATTACCAGTCATCTATTGCTGTGTAACAAAGCACCCAATTGTGGCTGAAACAATAAACATTTACTTAGCTCATAAATGCATAGGATGATTGACAGTTTCTTTTGGTCTGGGATAGGCTCAGCAGATTTTAGCTGCCATTGCTCATGCGTCTGCTGTTACTTGATAGATCAGTTGGGAATTGCCTTGTCTAGGATGGCCTCCCCTGGGACAATTCTCCTCCACATGGTCTCTCATTCTTCAACAGGCAAATATGGGCTTCTTCCATGGTGTCCATGGTAGGGACCAAGAGAGTACCGAGAGCGGAATGTGAAGGCAAGGTCCTTTCTTCTGCCAAAGCAAGTGACAAAGCCATTCCAGATTCAAGGGCCGGAGAAAGAGTATCCACTTCTTGATGTGAAGAATACATTACCAGGACATGGTTACAGTAGGAGTTCTGCTGATGACTGCAATTAATCTACCACAGGCTCTTAACTCATGCAAGTTCACTCTCTAGGGCAGGAGGGAGCCGTGACATAAAAACCTGCCTCACAAAAGAGACTTTGATAGATGCTGCCCAAAGGCTCATACCACCACCATATAATAACGGAACAGGAAAAGGCTGACTTGAGAATATCTGGGAAAGTTTTATACATGTGTGATATGAGCTGAGTTTTGAAAGATGGGCAGAAAACTTCCTTTAAGGGGAGTGGGAAGAGGAGTTGGAGATAACTGAAGGGAGGCCAAGAAGCCCAGTAATTAAAACGGAAATTTATAACCACACTCACTTTTCAGGCACATATGTATAACTAAGGCCATGATAACATCCACAGAGAAATGGTATAGGGTTAAAAAAACACAACTCGGTTCAAATCTTTTCCCAATTAAAGGCAGAATAAATTTGAGCAAGTCACTTTTCCTTCCGAATTTCCTTTCTTCATCATAAAATCCATATTCTGATTTGACAACATTAAAACTTAAAAGATTAAAAAAAAAAACTTGTGTAGGACCTTGTAAACAAAATTAAAACTCAAACGAAAGACCAAGATATAATGTATTTAATCACTAAGGCGTTAGTATTAATGAAAGTTCTACAAATTAAAAAGAAAATGAGAAATGATTCGAAAATCGACATTTGCAAATTATGTGAACAGGAAATGCTATGAAAGTGAAATATGAGTGGCTAATAAACTTATACAAAGGTGATCTATTATTCATTACTAATTGAAAAAACACAAATAAAATAATACCATTTTTTCCTTAAAGTTGGCAAAAGTTAAAGATTGATATTATCCAGAGCTAGAAGAAGGGGAAAATGAGCCCTGTATATATTGTTGCAGGTTGTAAATTGGTACAATCTCCTTGTAGGATTTAGCAGCCTCTGTAAAAAACTTGAATTATATATATTCTGATCCAAAACACTCTATCTTGCCTAAATGCATATGTAAACTTTCTCTTTCTCTCTAACCGTGACTCTTTCTCATCCACACACAGGCACACATATGCACACATATGTTATGTATATGTGTATATGTATGTATAAATGTTTGCATGTATACACATACATTCACAAGAATATTAATTCAGCATTATTATATAAGAAAAATCTGAAGGCACCCTAAATGTCTCTAGTTAGACCGAATTTTCACATACTGACACAAAGGATATCCACAACATGTTATTGAAGGGAAAAAAGCAAGTTACAGAAATTAGACATAGCTTCAAATGTATATCATGGTATGATATGTATGCTATGTAAAAAGCTGTCATGTCATGCCCTGGCTCCTTCAAAGATTGTAATGTTAAAATGAGATAGTAGGTAGTTATGTGCTTTGTAAACTGTGAAGTGCTATAAATGTTATTAAGATAAGGCAAATCTAAACTACACTTTAAAAACTTTAAAAATATATTCATTTATTTAAAAGCTCTATGGCTTTCATTTAGGATCCATATTTGATTTTCCCAAGAAGATGAAGAAATTAGGTAGTAGGAGTCTTTGCAAACTGCTTTTCGGTGCATTGAAATGCAAAAAAAATAGCTCCAACTAGACCTATCTAATTTTTCCTCAGAGGAGAAGATCAATCAGCAAAGACAACATTTTGCTTTTCTCTCTCAGTCCTTCCCTCCCCTGAACAAATGCTTAATCTGAATAACAAACTAATAAAAAATAATTTGGAATCTGGGGCATGATTATGGCCACGAAAGACGCTGATGATCACTTCATGTGATCAGAGAAAAACCTAAAATAGAGCACTCTTCAATTACCATAATTTCTACTGTCATTGCAATTTCTGTACATAAAAGCATTTGGTCTGAAGCACAACAAATTTATCTGTAAATTACACAATAAAGGATGGGAAATGGACTTTCCTTTAAAAGAACAAACAGAATCAGTCATTTATGGGGACATCTTCATCTCAGTCGACATGTGAATACAACAAAATGCACACTCCATTATTGTATAAAGTTGTGAAGCTCGTCACCCAACCCCACACCCACCCTCTCCCAAGTTTAATTAAACCAGTATCACACTGAGACTGGAAGGGAAACACAATGATACAACAACAAACAAACATTAATCATGATCATTACATACATTTTATTACATGAAATAAATAATACTGTGGAGCTTTCACCAACCGATAAAGCTCTTCCTCTTGGATAACATCCGAAGGCAATTGAGGGGTAAAATAATACTAATAATGATAACAATAATTAGTATGAAAAGGAAAAAAAGGGTTTATCACCACACAAAGCAGAAACTATAGCCTCCTTCACTTATATTAATCTCATATTCGCTCATTTCTTCTGTTTAGGGTCTAATAAGGATTTCTTCTCATTGAGATAAATGAAAAATAGTTTCTTATTTATAGCCTGACTTTGGTGTACATAATTCAACTCTAATTGCCCTAGGGCAGGAAGAAACATGGAAGATTCTGTCAATATTCAATCCACACTTATGGGATTCTACCAGGAAATAGGAGAGGGGGTTTTGAATGCTCAGACTACACGGGAACCAAAATGAAAGGGAGAGGGAAGGGTGTTTGGTGAGACTGAAGACAATGGTTTTTGTCCTTGCTGGAGAAAAGGCCAAGCCCCCAGTCTCACTCTGTTCCAGGCATTTTCTGAACTAACTGAAGTTCTCCCTGGTTTGTCTCTGAATCAGGAATGAGCACCTTCTTTTGTTTTTCTTTCCAGAAAGAGGGCCTCCTGGCATTCTTTAGTATAAGGACCATGTTGAGAATTGCCACTAAGCATAGAACATGGCTGCCTAGCCCTATTGTCTCATCTCCATGTGAGGACAAGAAGAAATAGGTCCTCTCCTACAGAGAGGCCCAGTAAGGGCCACTTCACCAGCCAGACATGAATCCCACTCTACAGCCTCACTAATTGTCCAAACTTGATGTGTTTTTGTTATGTGCTGCCATGATAACATCTTAGGTAGTCTCTTTTAACCAACAAAGACACCCAATCTGCCCCAGCAGGCCTCATGATATAGAAATAGATATATATTTAGGAAATAGCTTGTGTTCCTTCTCAAAGACTCCTGGACATGTAATTGCTCAGAAGGGTAATAGAAGATTCCATTTCAGTCTTCTCTGGGAATTCCAGAGAACTGCCTCAGCCTATTTTGAAGAAAGAAGGGATGATTACATGAGGATCTACTTTTCACTTCTTTTGAAAAGTTTTCTCTGTTCCACAACCTAACTTCTGTTCTTGCTTGAATGAATCTGACTTTTTTAATGGCTTACAGTTCAGGAGGGGGCCCTGCCTCTAGGTTTAAAATGGTAGCTCTGGATCCATAGGCATGAATAGGTGGCCCTCTGGCCCCGGCACTGGGGCCTCTTGTGTGATCTTTTTGGAGCTTGTTGGTTTGGCTCCCAATCCAGTTAGGAAATAGAAGTAGATTCACATAGGGCATTGTCCTTCCTCAAGACAAGCTATCTCTCCCTCCTAGGCGGAGTCCTTGGTGGAAATGCTTGAGATCCGCTGTACACAGAGTGTGATCAGGGCTCCCTTCTTCTGGCATCTCACACATCTGGCCCTTTCTCCTGAAGATTAATCAGAATGGGGCCAGTTATGAGGAGGCCATTAGGGTTCTTGCCCCTCCCCACCCTGACACTTTTGGACAAATAACGAGAGAAGGAATAGGTGAGCTGACACCCTCCACAGCCTCCTCCCTACCTTAGTCCCTCAGGGAACATCTCCTGCCCTCTGCCAATGAATTTCTAGGGCTGCCTCCATCACAAATACTCTGATTAAAATGTAAATTTAGCCAACCTATCAGCTTCCCATTAAGGGGACTCTTTAAAAATGCCGTTAATCAGCTGAAAGATATGTAGTGAAATACCACTCATCAATTGTAACTGCTTATGACAGTTAACAAAGCTTTATATTTGCCCCAAACATGTGCTGATCTATCCATTATGCCAAGGTTCACTCTCACGCTAATTGTACATTTTCTTCTCTAATGCATTTTTTGCTGTTATCTCATAGGCTAATGAAAGCCAGGAAATCAATAAATATAAATTATACATGCAAAGAAGGACTGCTGCGAACATAAAGTTTCTAATTAATTGCACTTGATTAATTTATATCCTTTAATTATCTTGCTAAGCCACAAACAACATAAATATCTTTGCAATCTGGTTATTGCTATGTCAGTCATAAAAAAGCAGACACAGTAAATCTATGAAATCTAGCAAACTGCATTGCCAGAAAACATGGAATGGCATGGCCCATAAATATTACTGGACTTACTCAAGGCACCTATGAATAATTTCAGTGTGACAAATTAACACTAAATATGTTGTATGGTTATTTGACGAAGGTTATAGTGATGTGATAAGTTTAAATGGTGCATATGGAGTAAGCAAAAATATAGATTTTACCATTGGGCTTATAAAAATCTGCTCAAGCTGGGGAGGAGTAATGTAGGTAAGGACCCACATGCAACTAACCTGTGTAGTTTTGCAAATGGAAGTATTCTTTGCTGGCCAAGTTGAAAAACAAATTGTTAATTGTATTGTTTCTTAGTTTCCCTTAGATAAGTTCGATCAATAAAGAATCCATTTCTTCTGCAAAGGCAAAACTAAAATGCGTATTTGAAGAAGAAATTTAAATCCAGGAACTGAGTACCAGGTTGGGAAGAAAGCTAGACGTTGCATGCTGCTGTTGTCTTAGAAGATGCAACTTTTACATGGAAAGTGGTTTCTTTTCACCCACTACCCCCCTCTTTTAATTTTATCTGACTCTGCTAAGCCAGCCATCTGTCACTGATCTGAAATTTAATCCTCTCTGTCCACCAAGCTTTGCTCTTTGTCCTAGGCCACAGCATATTACCAGCATCTATATCTACAACTTTCATAAATGTGTAAAAAGAAACTGTATCTGTCCTCAGCTACATTCAGACAAAGACCATCTGTCAGCAACTGCAGCCATTCTTTAAAAAAGAAAGCATCCAAAGGGATTTGCCCTTTACCAAATAAACCCACTTAACCCTTCCAATAAGATTAACTGTTATTTGTTTCCATTAAATAAAAATGACCATACTAATATACATTTAATAGTTCTGTAACAGTTGCAGAAAGATCAGCTCTCATGTGGATATCTTTTGTAGATAAAACATACATGCATATAAATAAAGGAATTATGACAGCAACTAGATAACCTATGAGGCAGAGGGATGTTTTCACTTCCTTCCTCCAGTGTGGGGCTATGAAAGAGAAGCCAACATAAAATATAGAAGCCAGCGAGTATCATACTCTCCTGTTCTTCATTTTTACAGTAAATAGCACTCTAGATATAATAAATGGCTGAATACACACAATTATTAAGATTCAGAGTCTGTCCTGTGACTTCTGCCCTCTTATCACTGTACATTCTTGGAGACAGTTTTATAGCTTTTAGGCTACCCATTTCTAAAGTCTGTGTATGTATGGTATACAAATATACCCTCACTGAGTAGCACTGTAATTATGGGAAATCTGCTGGTGGATGGGGAAGAAATACTGTTTAGTGATGCTAATGTAGAACTACAGTTAACATTTTGGGAGTTTTGTCTCCTATTTTCATCTTAAAGATGGCCAAAGTTGTTTGGTTTAGCATTTCAAAAGCAAAATAAATAATGCATTTGCTTCAGTGGAAAAAAACCCAGGCAAATTTTCCAAACGCTTATCTATTCTCTAGATGTTTATGGACATATTACTCCAGTTTTTAATGCCACATACTCAAACTAGCAATACTCAAACTAGGAAGGCCAAGTTCTGCCCACAGGGTAGCTGAAGTGCACATTTCAACTCAGAGTTCATTTGCCACCAGATCCTGATAGCCATCGTGATACTTTCAAGTGCCCAGGATTTTCTGTTTTTTCACTTAGAAACGTGATTACTTGACCGGGGCAGGTATATTGTAGGTAACTGGGGTAGGGTGGGCACACGAACCAGTGGACAGGAAGCAGGACACAGAGAAGACGCTTCCTGCCCTGGTCTGGAACTCCTCAACTGCCAATCTTTGCTGAGGATCAAGACACATTTGTTTCTGGAAGGTGCTGGGGGATTAGAAGGGGTGAGTGGGAAACTACCAGGCAGATGAAATGACTTTGTTTCTTTCTCCCCCCTTGAGCTTCTAGGTTTTCTCCCTTAAAACATTTTATGAAGTTGTGACTATTCAGTTTCAAGGGAAAACCCAATCAAAAGATTCCCCAATCTAAACATATACATTTGGCATTTGGTGAGCCACGTCTGCTTTTCTCCTCTCCTTGAGAGTGACCGTAACTCCCTATGGCCGTTTTGCTTTTCTCAAATGCTCAGGTGGATGCTGCAGCCCCGCTCCCCCAGCCTACTCTTAGCTTGTCTGAGACCTCTGCAGTGAGAGGTGAGCGCCTCAGCCCCAGGGGTCCCCTTCTACTGGGGGCCTCGGCTCCAGGATCCAGACTTTCAGCTTCATACCCAGCAGGTAGCTAGGCTGCCTGCTGCGCCTCGTGTCTCAGGAGGGAAGTGTTCTGTGTTGTGTTTGATGTGGGTGTCGCAGTCACTAAGGAGACAGGTAAATTTCCCAGTGCTGGAATCAGATTGGTGAGGAAGACCTGCTCCTGAGGCAACTGGCCTGCCTCCCGGCTTCTTTCTCCAAGGTAATGAAAAAGCCAAGCTGGGAAGGCAGGCTGGTGACAAGTATGGTCCCTGCGCATTCCTCGGGCTGACGGTAGGAAAAATACCAATGCGTCCAGCAGGGAGGAAGTATGTATCTCCCACTGGAGTTCACTGGATTTGTCATTTTCGGTTTAATGCACCTAGGTAGCAAGCCGACTCACTAGGTTTGACTGCAATTACCTTATCTTTCCTATTTTTAGTGACAGGACCAGATTATTTTAAGTGCATTTTATAGAAAACCCTTCTTTACTGAAGTATAAAGACTGTAATAAAGACAATACAATGTTTTGAAACTGTTTTAAATCCTTCACTCAGCGTTGCTTCTACAGATTTAACATGTAGGGGTTCTAATCTTACCGCTACTAATTAGAGCTTTAGTGTAATTGTGCCAACAGGGTGCTTGGCATAATAATTACTATTGAGAGATTCTGGTGGCGCAGTAACATGCCTACATAATGCAGATATGTCTAGGATTACAGTGCAGTCACCTTTGTATGTTGACTCAAGTTGGATTTTAACCAAGTAAGGGGTTATTTTGCCTTTATAATAAAGCTTAAAAGGCATATACATATGTATGATTTAGGTATCCATTTTTCCTCTTTGAGTCTTTTGAATATTAATTAGCAGGAACCCCAGAAGGCAACAGGGACACATTTTGTTTCAAATATCTCACAATCTGGGGCAATTCACTCTGTAAGTGGGATTGTCCAGGCCTGTGTGGCAAAGAGTCTATTTTGATGCAACGGTGCACTGCTCCTAGATCACTCCCAGGGTGAGGGTGGAATCCTGCCTTGTGACAAGCAGGGTAAAGAAATGGGGACTCTGGGGCCAGCCAGGAGCTGGATTTGTTTAGGATGTGTTTCTTGTTTCCAAGAGGAATCTATAAAAACAGTTTCTCAGTAATTCTCTAGCACTTACATCTTAGAAAATGTCAGGCTAGTTTGGGGAAATCTAAATCTACCCCAGACTAGGTAGTTTCAATGATCATTATCCCTATTCTCTGTTGTTTGCTATAAAGCGGAGATCTAAAAAGACTTGTCCAGGTGGTACACGTAGGAGGTATGTGGAGTGTGGATGTGTGTTTGCCTATGGGGGACACGTGATCATATATACTAGTCCTTCTTCGCCAGGGACAGACCTCAAAATTGGGCAGGTGGCCTTGATGCTTCCTCCAGATTTATCAGGCCACTAGCAAGGGCCACGTTGGTTGGTTTCACTTTGAGTCATGTCAGCTCTAGGGAGGCTCCTTGCCCGCTGTGGGGGCTTCCTGCCGCTGATATGCTGGGCACAGAAGTGAGCAGATACTCCATGGACTGGTACCGATACATTGTAATGCACACACACAGGACTGCTGTTTTGTGTGCATGTGTATTTTTTGTGTGTGTGGTTTTTATTTTTGGCATATGTGAAAGAGTTTCTGCAAAACTGATTTCACAGAGCAATAAGTCACCTAAGAGGGTGTCACCAGCCATTTAAAGTGCACTACTGAGGTTTTTAACGTAATAAATATATTCGAAAGGTAGTGTGTCACGGCCCGGAGCCTGGACTCTAGCTCCATTTAGCTCCGACAGCCTTGTTTTTACTGCCCCTTAGCGCCTCACTTTTAAAGTGACAGGAAACTAATTTCTGATTACAAATCAATGGGTTAGGGTGTCACCTCCGGACAGTGAATTTAGCTGTAAATCCAAGGAGTCACTCATGAGCCTAGGAAATTGGGGGTCAACACAGAAAGGCAATTGCTTTATACAATGAAAATGGAAATACATTTGCGAATACAGCTCTTCAGAACTCGGTCTCTGGGGAAGGCCCAGGTAGCTCCAGCCTGCCACTCAGTCCCTCCTAACAGGCCCAGGGCCCAGCAGGATGGGTTTTCCAAGTGCCTCCAATGTGGCCGCAAAATTTCATTTTGCTGTAGAGGCAGCAGACTTTCCCCAGGCTGAGGCCTGAGTGAGGTCTCTTTCTCCCCGGACTACGCCGCGCCTTGGCCACATCATGTTAACCAAAACTATCTATGCTCCTGTCATGTAAGATACCTTTTGATGAGGCCCCTTTTTTCTTTAAGCTTTTAAGATAATCTTAGAGAAATCATCAAGCTATAAAAAGAAATCAATGAAAACAGAAAAGGTTCCCATCACCCCGAAAAAAATCCATAACTTTTGCATTTTAATAGAGACGCTACAGGACCAGACCCGTCATTTTCTTTCTGATGTGTTCCTTTGATTTCCCGCGCATCTCACAGGGCTCTTGACTTTCTTGAGAAAGGGATTATTGAATTGTGTGTCTCCCTCAGATGTACTTGATCACTCAAGTATCTGTACTTAAGAATGTTAGAGTCTGTTCAGCTGTTGCCTCTTTGGGAGCTCATCGGGGCTTGTCATCTTAATATTAATTGGGTTTTGTGCAGGAATCTCAAGTCCCACATTGAGTGGCTTTCAAGAGAGAAGATTATGCCTAAAGCCAGATACAAAGACAAACATATTTAGCACAACAATTATGATAATTGCAGAAACATTCTGTCATGAAATAAGCAAATCTGATTAAGAGCCCTTCTACATTAACAAATATTAATCTGATGTCTTCGGTCTAACCTGGTTTGAACATAAGAGGCTTCTTATGGTTTTATGTATTAACAGATTTGTAGAAGCTGAACATATAGAGCCTAATAGTATGAGACAGCCAAGCCAGGATAGTAAAAGGATCTTTGCTGAATGTAATCCACTTAAATTTAAAATAGACACAGATAGGATCATAAACCTCAAATCAAAATTAAAATGCACCCTGCCAATGAGACTTTTCCTATCATTCCAACCACATGGTAATTCAGAAACATATCATGGAAAGCATTATTAGTGGTCTTTTTTGTTAGAAAAAAAAATGAGGTCAATATCTTTATGGTAAGTCATCACAATAAAACGGACAGTCACTTGAAACTTTCCAGACATTCAACCTGGTTGGATATTGGAAGCAGTGATATTCTTGCCAAGCCAGAGAGTTAATTTTATTTGTAATTTTCAGCTGCTTTCAGTTTAATTGCACAATTTCCTTAATTATTAAAGTTCATTCTGCATACTTAAGTTCATTAGCTATTGTCAAATGGGCAAATTACTTTGCAATTTTAATATTTGTTGGACAAAGCTGTGTTAATAGATTCACCTCTCCAAACACAGTTTTCTGTTTTTGTTACAGTATCCATCAATAATTGTAACCCTCCAAATCAGGAGGCAGAAACTGTATCATTTTTTCCTCTTTTTATGAATATCTCTTAAATGTTAGTGATTTTAAGCACACAGGTAGGCTTTTTTGTTTGTTTACTTGGGAAGGAGGGAAACTGGGGAAAGCAGCAGCTCTAATGACAGGCTTTGAGTCTTGCATAAATACATATGAAAACGTATATATGATAGTGAAACTTCTCAATATGTGTATGCAATTTGCATATGTCTGATACAGTCATATGCACATAATATAAACCTATAAAAACACAACATGGACTTGTGAATAATCAATAAATCAAATTTTCAATCAGGTTTTTGAGTCATTAGGCTATGTATGGTATGATACTATATGTTATACGATGTATATATACCTATGTGTGTACTTCTGTAAGTACATATTTATGTATATTTTAATTTTTCCGGTGATACATTCCATGGTATATGTGACTGCTGGCATCAGAAAGGCAATCTCTCTCTCTTCCTCTCTCTCTCTCTCTCTCGCACACACACACACACACACACACTCACACACATTCAACATGGAGCTATTTAATGCTTGTGTCTGTAGACTATATTTAAATACACATCCATGCTCTTGTAACAAAAATGTCACTTTCTATTTGGCCCCTTGCAGTTATGACACACCTTTGCCCCCATTATCTCATTTGACTCATGGATATACACTTGTTTCCTCCTGTAGATGCAGTTTACCACCCCATCTTCCAGGTAAAGTGATTCCTGAAATGTATCAGCACCTCTAACGTGAAAACAAATGCAGCCCAATCTGCTGCTGTCTGTGTCTGCCCTTGTGCTCACAGACCCACTCCAAAATGTCTGGGTGCAGATAGGTCCAGACCTGGAGGACAGAATCCCTGCCAGCATGGCTTATCTCCCCAGTAATTAGGCTTGTGTTTCTGCTTTATTAACTCCAATACAACAGCACCCTGCCCTCTGTCACCAGGGGGACTAATAGATGATAGTCGGCTCTGATTTGGAAACCATACAAATTAAATGACGAAGTGAGAGGAAGTGAAGTTGAGGCAAATTGTGTCAAGATAAGGCGGTCAGTCATTTACATAGGAGTTTTTCAAATGTTAAGCAGGGAGCTTTTGATTTTACATCTGCAGATGCAAAACTGCTAAAATAAATAAGCCCAGTTTCCTTGCTGTGTTTGTTAAACCTCAACAATATGTGAATTCTTAAATGATGTTAGGAATAATTGATTGTGGATGTTTATAACCAGGGTAACTTTTCTTCTCCTGAAGTCCCCACATTTTATTGCTTTTCCTGAGAAAGATTTTCTTCTATTAAACATAGATGTGAATCCATGTGTTTATTTTCCCAGGAGCATTGCAACAGGTCTCCATCTTCATCACCTATAGGGCAGATTTGCTTTTACATTTTTAAAACTCATGTCCTACCTCTCTAGGAGAAACAATCAAACATCTTCTGGAAGATTAAAATTACCCACGGAAAGAAAATAAAATTGAATGATGGAAAGAAAAGAAAAAGAGGCTGTCCAGCAAAGCTGATTTCCATCAGTCAGCTGCGGGAGCTGTAACAATTTGTTTAGCAATATGATTTAACAAGAAGCATTAGCTCCGGGTATGTAGCTGCCGGGTTTTGAGAAGGCTGATGAGATGTGATTATCTCCAAGCAGAAATATCAGGGTGGTTAAAAGATAATTTGAAATGAGGTTAAAAATGAAGCGACACTAAGCTTCTCTCACTTGTGTCAAAACAATCCCATCTTTTCTTTTCTTTTCTTTTTTTCCCCTTTCACTTTGATGACATTTGCTCATATTGGAGGTGGAGACATTTCTCATAGCAAACTGTAATCCTTGACTAATTTTAAATTTAATGTGGCTCTGTTTGAAAGACAGCTCTAAATTTTGATCCAAAATCAACTTCTGGATATTACAGAAAGAATTTGCAGTGTTTGTAATATTTGGTGAGCCTTAAAAGTTGCTATTTTTCACACAACTAAAGTTTCATTTCACTACGTTAACTATATTCACGGTATAAACAGCATATGTTGATATGATAAATGACATTTGGTTAGAAAATGTCTTTGAACTTTAGCTTAAAAAATGAAAACAGGTAAAAAGAAAAAACAGAATCAAATGTTAAAAACCATATGTTAGTAAATGAATATTCTCTTTCAGATTATTTAATGACCTTAAATATAATTACTGCTCCAAATGAGAAAGTTTCAAAGCCTGAGAATATTGCTTACTTTGAAAAAATGTATTTTAGTATTAGATATATGTATTCATCATCTAAGAAAAAGAAATCCACATAGCGATATTTACAAAATAAAGCAGTAACATAGGTGAGGAAAGTTAAATATTATCTCTATGTACATTAAGAGAAACAGGAATTGAGTCGCTTGCTGAAAACTTCTAAAAAGTCCATGACAAGACTTCAGATCTTGTTCTTTTGTGTAAAAGATGCTCGGGCCATTCTGCCAGTTTTAAAAGATTAATGAACATTTAAGAAAAAGAAGCCCAAAGTTACCGTGTACACACACAACAGAACAGCTGTGTACTCACTCTTTAGGGCTGTGACTCACAGTTCAATCTGAGCAAGAAATGCTTGGAAATTCTAAAACGCGACATTCACCTCCATGTGGAAGGAAAGGCCTCAATGTTCCCCTCCATCCCTGCTTAATCAATCAGTTGTGAATCAATTCTGCAGTGACTAATCGCCCCCAAACCCCCTTGCTCCACCATCTCTCCCTAGTATGCGGTGCTAGAGATGTTTACGCTGATACGAGGAGATGACAATTAGTCATATTTATCCGTGCTGGGTCCATTTAATCCCCAGTGTTTTTACTCATGTCAAATCCATTATCCCAAACAAAGCTTCATACATCTTGTCGGAGATGCTCACAGACTTGCCTTGTTTACTTTGAGAAGACAGATTTTATGGCAACATTAAATACATACTGAACCCTAACTAATGGAGCCACTTGGCATGGTGAAGCAATTGCACTGGCAATTCCTATCACCCTTAACCCATTGTTGTTTAACTGGGTTCTGAAAACCCAGGGACTTCTGGCTGTGCCTTGGGTGTTCCGAGCATATCCTAAATTTTCTCCACGATTCTACATTTATGATCATTGCACCTCAGTGTTTCCAGCAATCACATAATGCAACCCCCTTCCCCCCAGTAGCCAGAGACACTTTTTCCCGAATGCCTTGAATCTCCTCCTGGCCGCTCTCATGAGTAATTTTTGAGCCTAATAAAGGAACACCTCCCTCCCCGTTTGTTTATTTAGAAAGACAAAATGTTAGGTGCTCTGTTTACTTACATTTCTCAGCACTTCTTTGTCTTCCAAACCATTTTAGCTCTTAATATGGAAGTTTTATAAGTTATTTTATCAGAAAATGCAGACCTTTGCTAGTTGACATGAACACTTAGGATGAGGCTGAGTGCTTGGAAACCCCTGACTTCACCAGGAAAAAAAAAAAAAAAAAAGTAATATGTGGCATATGTTAACATCTAGGCCTGAAAACACAGCCAGTAAGAGTGGCGCACACTAAAGGAAATCACTACTTAATTCCACAAACATTTGTTTCAGTCCAGGAATGGCACTAGAAACTTTGAGCCGTCTGTCTCCTTCCCTGAGCCGGTCGGGCACACGAGGGTCCATAACGTGCGGCGCAGCGCCATCTGCTGGCAGGCCACTCCTGGCCGCCCCAACAGCCGGCAGCCGCGGATGGCTCTGAAATCCACACGGCTTGGTGCCTCCACCTTCGTCCCCCGGGGCTTCTCGCTGCTGGGGAGTCCTGACTGTACTAAAAAAAGAAAGAGAGAAGGAGATTGTGCCGGAGAGAAAAAACAGTGCTGGAGAAACCGTTTCCAAAGATCTATTTAACATGTAAACGGAGGAAGATTAATATCTCTGGAACAGTCCCCAAACGTCTTGCCAAGGGCACAGGTTTTCAGCTTTAAAGGTGAAGTTGAGTTTATTTGCATCTAAAGCAAACAGTTGTTTCTCCTCCTTTCTTTCTCTCTGTTAAACATCGTATCCTAACCATATCCTCTTTACACTCCGGCTCTGCGTGCTTCTTTATGGAGGGGAGGTCGAGTTAATGGCAGCTGTCTGGGTGTCCAGGTTAATTCATTTCCTGGCGGCGTGGCGGTGGTGGTGAGGGGGATTCTGAAGTGCTTTTGGAGACACTGGGGCTCTGTTTGCCCATCCATTCCAGGAATCAGTGGAGGGACAGCCCCTCTCAAGGGCAGAATCTGAGGATTGTGGAAATGCAATCAACACACTTATGCGTGCGCCCACACTGCTTTGAATGGGATCCCAGACTCCAGGGAACTCATCTCTGATAAATTGCAAAAGACCCAAACTAAATGGACCAAAGAAGCAGTCATTATGCTTAAGGGAGGGACCTCACTGTAACACAGAATAAAGTGTTACCTGCAATTATTTTTTAAGGTTGTGGGGGAAATCTCGGTATCCCAATTCTAACTACCCGGCCTTTTGCTAACTGACTGCAACACTGACTTCCAGCATCTCACATCCTCTTCCTCTCTCTATCTTGCTCTATCTTCCCACTCTTACCCAGTCCCATAACAAACAGGTTGGGGTGGATGCCCTCTATGTCCACATTACTTAGGGAGAAAGGGGAGGCTGGATCCATTCCTGGTTTCCACCTAAGGATGATTTGTTTAGGCCCCTGTTGTGAGGATTCTGTGATCCTTGGTGCCTGGTGGCTCACAACAGGGATTAATTGCAATTGTCTTTGTGTATGGAAGGGACTAGGCTTTTTCTTAGGGCGCTCAGCACAGCACTGCCTGCCACTGAGACGGTTCAGGGCACAGAGCTCTCTAGGCCCACAAAGAGGTCTGGCTCTCAGGACAGCCATGGGAGGGGCCTATGTCATCAGGAAAGGGCGTTGTTTTCTCCAGGGCTGCCTCTCAGCCTAAAGAGACTTTTACTCTAATGCCATGAGCTGTCCTTTTGCAGACTAGCAACCGGCTGGTGAGTGCTTTCAGGGGATTGCTTCTCTCTCTCTCTCTCTCCTTCATACACTTTTAGAAACAAATACAGTCAGAATCATTAATTATAGAATTGGAGGCCTAGGGTTGCCAGATAAATTACAGAATACCCAGTTACATTTGAATTTCAGAAAAAGAATGAATAGTGGTTTGATTTTAGTGTAAGTATGTCCCAGATATTACGTGGGGCATACTTACACTAAAAGATATTCTTTGTTTATCTGACATTCAGATTTAAGTGGATGCCTGTGTGTTGTTTTTGTTTTTTTTTTTTCCTCCCTTCCTTCTCCCTTCCTTCTTTCCTTTCTTCCTTACTTTTTTTTTTCCTTCTCAACCTGGCAACCTATTAGAGACCCTCTAGTAAAAATCTTTAGCCAGGAAACCAAAATTGGCAGAGGCAAAGTAATTTGCCCAGTTACACAGCTGGTTCGAGGCACAGCTAGGGTCAGAAATCAGGTCTAGAAATTTAGTTTTGATTCTCTCGATTAACCACACTGTCTTTGCTTCCCCAGGATAGCCAACTGGGAGCTAACGTACCACATAAGCTCACGTCATAAAACCAGTTCTTCATATAATCATTTCAGAATGATTCACGCGTGCTTCAAAGAACCATAAAGTAAAATACCATTCATCTGGAAATGCCACTAGTTTATAATTTGTGAGGTTTCCTGGCAAAGTGAATCTTTACCTAGAGACCCTTTTCTGGCTGAGGAGTCCCACAGCTTCCTTTTCTATCACCATTGTTCATGATTGTTTTAAGGACTTTGTTCTACCAAGTGATTTCACACTCTTAAGCACACAGTTAGATACAAGCAAAGAGTGTGCCAATTAGCCTCCTCTTCCTATTAAAGCAAAAGTTCTAAAGCCATTTCATCTTATCTGGATAAAAAGATTAATCTTAAAATACTCTAATATGCATTATTTCAAAGACTTACATTGGTTACCTATCTTGAGACTTCAAGATTGGTGGCAAAACTGTTATTCCATATTGTGGCCAACCTCAGGGCAAAAATGTGACCTTATATTTTGGCTATGCTGTGACCAAGTGTCCTTGTTCATGTCTCTTATGACATCTGAGCCTCACTTACATTATTTTTAAAAGGAGGGGTTAGTTCCTTATTAAGTCCTCGAGTCCATTTTGGTTCTAAAACACTAGGTTTCTAAAAATCAGACATGCACTCTGTTAACCTCATCTGTTTTTGAAGTTCCAACTGGAATTCAGCAGCAAAAATTGCATCTAAGTCTTTTGTAAGTATCCACTGTGCCCAGGATGGTGCCACAAGCTGCCTGTGCTCCCCAAAGCAATCTGGCCATCAAAACCAAAGTATAAAACCTCACACCGAGGAAGAAAAGAAAAAGGTGTTAATGAAACTAGCTGTAATGCAAAGAAAGGTCAGCTTCAGCTGCAAGCACTGAAATGAAACCATATAATTGCAAGTGGCAAAAAGGGCTCCAGGTGAGACAGGGACTTTGTTTACACCATGCCCTTCTTTTCTGCCAGTCTTATCATCTGAGTGGCTCTTTCTGGACCAGTGAAATAAGAAGCAACAGGCTGAAGATCTGAACCTTCTAGAATTAGATCCAAGTGCCCCAGCCTAACAACAGATCTCCATGAGCATTTCACAGGCTCATTATTACTGGCGAGGGAAGGTTGCAGTCAGGGGCAACAGAAAGAAGGACTGTTCTTGCAAATGATAGCAAAATCTTGTTTTGCCTGGGAACTCCCTCTTTCCCACTTGGACTTTGTGTTTTTCTAATGAATGTCAAAGAGCAGTACATGAGGCCAGGTGGAGATAGAAGAGTGATGTTTCCCTATTTTCCTTTCTTTTTTTCCTTTCTCTTTTGACTTTATTTTTAGCCTTAAAATTGCTCCTGCAGAGAAACCATTCAACACAGGTGAGACTCAACCCAGAGCCAAGGTGCTGGAGAAGCCGAGGCTGCCTTTGCTGGTGGCTTCAAGCCAGGAGAAGCTTTTGTGTCTGCTGGGTGTGGTGCCCACCAAGGAGACCAGGCTCTGACAGGACTATGCCTCCCAAAGACAAATGGATGAATTTTTTTGAAAATATAAAATCCTCATGTACTCTATTTCATGAATGGAACCAATTCAAGGACCTTGCTCTGAAAAATGCTATTCAAATTGTTTTCATTGAAATATTTTCTTGCGCCTCCACTTCATCTTTGGAGCATCCCAGGGGCTTTCCCTCTCAAGTACATGCTACAGTTTTGCAAGCTCCTTTTCTAGAATGGAGATGTGCTCTCAGGACTCTATTGGCCAAATCTAGACATAACCAAAAACCCAGGGACAGCGTGCTGGGGAGGGTGTTGACTATTCAGTGACTGAAGAATTAAGTACTGTCCTGAGAAGAAGGTAGTGACCTCACAACCTGATCAGGCAAATGCTTAGGGCTTTGTCCCTTTCTTACAGATTAGAAAGTTCCCACATTTGCCACTAATAATAACTAGTACTTATGAAGGTTTACTATGTGCAAAGTACTTTGCATCCAATTCTCATTTATAGGTACTGTTATTGCCATTTTATGGATGAGTAAACTGAGGCTTAGAAAGGTTTAGAAACTTGAGTAACATCACATTGCTATTAACTAGTAGAGGCAGAACTAGAAACTAAGTCTCATTGACTCTAACAGTCCGTCTTCTCAATGACTTTTGACAGTAATAGGTAAATTTTCAAGGCTGTGGTCAGCTATGATTGCATCCCTGCACTGCAGCCTGGTGTTGAAACAAGACCTCATCTCTAAAAAGTAATAGTAATAATAATCATAGGTAACTGTAATTGACTACCTACTATGAGCCAGGCACAATTGTGAGCACTTTATGCATTTTATTGCAATAAAACTTCATGACAACCTTGTGAGACAAGTACTACTATTAAGCCCATTTTATGTATGAGGAAAGTGAAGGACAGAGATTAAGGAAAGAGCTGGTGACTTTAGCTACTCACCCATATTGGCCACCTGGGTCAGTGGAGGTTGTTGGCCTCTCTTCAAATCCAAAGAACAATAAAGCCTCATTCAAAATGCAAAAGAAAAATGAATTTGAAAAACAACAAACACACAGCAAAACCTACCCCTCCTCTGCCCACATCCCAACTGGACAGCTGTGTGTATCTTCTTTAGCCTTTCTTTAATTCCCAACAGAGTTTCTCTTCTACTCTTCCTCTTCATATAAATGTAAGACTTGGGGTGGGAGGCAATGTATGCCTCTAAGGTATGTGTGATTCTCTCGTTCTTCGTGGCCACAGAGAATGAAGTCAGTTCTCTAACAATTGCACAATCTCTCTATCTCTTATCTTCTCTCCCTCTGTCCTCTGTCTCTCTCCACACACACACACACACACATACATACACACACACTTTCCTCCTTTGATCTCAAAATTCTGAAATGCAGTTTCTATTAATAGAACTTTCTGTTGATTCATTAGCTAAGCACCAGCACACCAGTTTAGGATAGAGATGCTCTGAGCCTACCTACTGCTGTGAGGCTGGGGTCTGGGCTCCTAGCCCAGGCACTAACCCACAGGCTGGCCAGCCCAGTAGCTGCCTGATGAGAGTGCAACTCTAAGGAAGCCAGCAGGTTTATTTCCCTCAGTAAATCTATTCTGATTAATGTAAACACTGTATAATACTCCACCTGTAGGTGTTGTAATTAAGGTGCATCGGGACCACAATCAGCACAGTGACAGGCAGAGGGAAAATTATTGACCTCCCACGGATTTTTTAAGTCAGCACATTTAGTACTGTGAAAATCACCAAGTCATTAGCAGAGGGATATTTTTTAAAAAATTCAAATGAAAGAAGTCTGCTCATATTACAGCTATTTGTTTGCTAGCCTCTTTGTTCCCTTTTTTTAAGGACTTAAGTTGAAAATTCTCCCCCATTCCATCAGAGCCTCTGCAGACTAAGGGGCACCAATCTTGGTAGGAGGTAAAAGTTTTCCATCCCAGATTTGGAGGAGCAAATGGTTTCTCTAAGGGAGACTGCCGCCCAAGCCCAACGCAGAGGGTCCTAGCACAAGAGGCCACCAAGCAAGCATCCTTTTCTTGTGTTTATAGAGCCAGGATGACCATGAGTGTGACTTGCTGGGCTCCCACGTTGCCTAAGAGCTCACACCTTGGTGCCAAACTAAGCTCCGTGGACGCGCGCGCGTGTGGGAGGGAGGTTGATAGCTGTAGCCTGCAGCTCTGCTTTCTGTCTTGGCATGGCAGGTGTCAGCATGCAGCCCTGGGAGGCAGACAGGCCCCTTGCCTCTCCCTGTCCTTCCGGAGATAGTACCTTCTGGCCTTCATTCCCAGCTACCCCTCCCCGACCAGAGGACTGGAGATGCTGCTTGTGATGAGTTTGAGAAGCAGAGGTGCACCGCACCACCCATCTCCAGTCAGACTCAAGAATTCCTGGACTCTGGAGTCGTGCCTAACTGGGTTCTGCTTCCTGCTCTCCTAATCCCTTGCAAATCCTCCTTGTGGCCCAGTTTCCTCATCCATAAAATGGGGATAACAACAGTACATACCATGTAGTAGTACATACTGTTGTGAAAGTTGAAAGGGATGATCCATGACAAGCCTGCACAATGCCTAGCACATTGCAAATCAGGGGTCTGCAAACATTTTTGGAAAATGCTAGATAGAAAATAATTTAGGCTTTGTGGACCATATGGTCTGTGTCACAACTAGTTAGAGTTAACTCCGCCACTGCATGCTAGAAGCAGCCGTAGACCATATGTAAAGGAACAAATGTGGCTGTGTTCCAATCAAACTTTATTTACAAGAACAGGTAGAGGGCCTGATTTGGCTGTTGGGTCATAGTTTGCAGAACCTTCTTAATTTAAATAATGAATAAATGTCAGTAGCAGTTAAAACATGTAACATTAGCAAGCTGACCAGCTATTGTATACAAAGAATTGTGAGTAAATTAAGAAGATGTAATCTCAGCCCTCTTGTAACTTTTTTTTTTTTTTTGAGATGGAGTCTTGCTCTGTTGCCCAGGCTGAAGTGCAGTGGTGCGATCTCAGCTCACTGCAAACTCTGCCTCCCAGGTTCACGCAATTCTCCTGCCTCAGCCTCCCAAGTAGCTGGTACTACAGGCGTCCGCCACCACTCCCGGCTAATTTTTTGTATTTTTAGTGGAGACGGGGTTTCACCATGTTAGCCAGGATGGTCTTGATCTCCTGACCTTGTGATCCACCCGCCTCAGCCTCCCAAAGTGCTGGGATTACAGCTGTGAGCCACTGCACCCGGCCTGCCCTCCTGTAACTTATAGTGAGTATTAGGGGAGGGGAGGTATTAATTCACAAATATTAAATGAGAGTCTACTGTATCAAAGAAGGTGACACACAGATTAAAAGCTCTTACATAAAGACTAAAGCAATACATACCTTCGAAATGTTTAATTTTCGTTTTATAAAATGCAACTGCCACCCCATGAAAACAAATCAGGAAGATTTTTCATTAAAATCTTAATTTTAATTCAGTTGCACTGCATTAAAATTACATTACCTTTACAGATTTTTTTCAAGAAAAATAATAAAAATGAAATGTGCATGAACATCATCGCATCACACTCTAAACATGGCATGCATTGCTTTAAGTACATTCAGCAGAAAGGAAAGCCATCGGATAGGTTTTGTTTCAGCTCACAGCCCGTTTGCCGAAGTCAATACTCAAGCAGTCAGAACAGCCAGCTTGATATTTTTTGATTGAACAGTCTCCTTAATTTAACCAGGGATCTAAATTGTGGAGAAGTCTGAGATCTGAGCTGCTAAAATGGTTAGGAAATAAATGGACAGAATATCCTACCTTTAAGATGCAATTCCAAAGATATCATTTAAACACATCTTGGGTTTATCAGATATGTCAAAGAATGTGTATCTATCTAGCACTCTATCTATCTATCTAATCTATCTGTCATCTATCTATCTATCTATCTATCTATCATCTATCTATCTATCTGCAATTTAATCTTTAAAGTCAATAAGATCAATTATACACAGATAGAGAGGCAGTTGCTTAACTTAGCTACTTGTCATCTGAAAAGAAATGAATCCTGTTTGAGAGATAAGCCAAACTGACATTTTCTACATTATAGACCATGTACTTTTCATTCATTCATTCACTCATTTTACAAATATTATTGAGAGTATACTACATGCATTGCTTATAGCTAGGGGCTAAGAAATACAAACATGAATGAACTTGAGCTCCTGTTACAAAATGCTTAGACAGAGCATATGGAGAAGACCATATTGCTGATCAGGAGGCTCTCTGGGAAAAATCCGCACACCCCATTCATTACTCTGAAGAACCTTAGTCAACATCTAGTTTTTACAGAAGCAAGGTCCCTCTTCTAACAAAGGACACAATTTTAATGCAAAGAAAGAGCCTGTATCACCTAGTTGTGTGGTAATGGCACCCCCAGACTGATGATATCGACCAACTGGCTTTTAGATCCTGCAACAACAGGAGATTCACCTGTTCCTGTGCTCTCTTTCTTCTGTATGAGTCAGGCCGCTTCTCTGACAACCAATGGACTATTCCTTTCACAAAAATTGTTGAAATGGGTGCTACCTTCCTGCCACATCTATTTACTTTTACTTCCTGCTTTTTCATCTCTAAGTGATTTACTTTTCTTTCACTTTCCTTTCCTAGCACAATCTTTTCTTTTCTCTCTTTTTTTTGAGAGAAGGTCTTGCTCTGTCACCTAGGCTGGAGTGCAGTGGTGTGATTATGGCTCACTGAAGCCTTGACCTTCCTAGGCTCAGGTGATCCTCTCACTTCAGCTTCCCAAGTAGCTGGGATCACAGGTGCCTGCCATCATGCTGGGCTAATTTTTGTATATTTTTTGTAGAAATGGGGTCTCATTATGTTGCCAGGCTTGTCTTGAACTCCTGGGTTCAAACAATCCTCCTACCTTGGCCTCCCAAAGTGCTGGGATGATAGGTTTGAGCCACCTTGCCCAGTCCACTAGCACAATCTTTAGGTTCAGACATTTCCCACTTCTCTTGGTCCCCTCCTCTAAGTCCCCCAGAGCAGTAACCTGGTTCACAAACATATTTTAGGTTTTATGCACTCTCAAACTTCCTTCCTCTTCTGATGTTTGACTGTGTCTCAGATGTGAGGATTGCATAGTAATACAGTAAAATTCTATGAATATGCTGGCTTCTGGGATGCAAGGGGCTTGGAGCTCCTGAGTTCTAAGCCCTAGACCAAAGTTGGCCACGGTGCTCATTTTCAAAGGCAATCACAAGATGAATATCAAAGAATGTGCACAATGCACATTGGGAAACCTGTCAGAACATTGTTGGGAAAATAAAGTGAATCAATAGAATGTCAAGAGACTCAAATGGAAAAAATATTGAATATTCATTTTCTCAGTTTCACAGGGGTAGGGATTTACTAGGACCAAGGCAGCTGGTGGGATTTTCGGCTTTCCTTGGAATGGTTCAAATAATTTTTGTGCTGTGCATTGGATTAGTATTCAATTAACTCCTTTAAAATTATAATGTGCAACTTCAACAAACTTGTTAACGAGCCTACAGCACAATTAGAGCAGTTAATAGCCACCAGGTACAACAAATGAATGCTGTATGTCCATAAACAGGGGACATCTGAAACAAATTCAGTGATGGTGTTTCCTATTTGCATATCTATTCTACTTTCAAAACCAGCGATACCTGTAAACATCAGAGAAAAATTACAGAAGGGTCCTTTTCTCCCATATATTTGTCAAAGAAAATCTGATGTCAAAACCTTGTAGAGATTGTTTCTTTCTAATGTGGCCAGTCCCACTCCAGGAAATCCGATATGCTAACACAACCAGCTCTTAGTGGAGAAACCTAATCGGTACAGTGTTACTTGTATTGCAAACCCATCACTATGGTTGCCAAAATGTTTTAAACATAATCTCTCTCTTTCTCTTACATAGGCCATTTCAATTTAAGAAAACAAAAGATGATCCTGTGAACACTGTATCAGGCATCATTACTGGACTGAAAAAAGGATCACTTGATGGACATGCCTGGCGTTTTGTTTAGGTACATTTCACCATCAGACACTCACCCTCACTCAGAGAAACAGAGCAAACAGAAACATCCATAGTAGGGCTAGAAATTCCAGGGGAGGACCAAGAAGGCATCTGTCTTCCTGTTGATATGTAAAAAATGATTTGAAAAAGAATGCATCAGACTTCCATTATGATGATAGGATCAAGAATGCAACCTTCTGGACATTTCTGAGTTTTCTTAAACTGGATAAATAAAATGCATTGTAAGAGCTTTTAGCATTTGGTTTAATGCTAAACCATCTCTCTTGGCTGAAGAATTTTGCATTTTAATTGGATCTATTCTAAAATAACAGTGGAAAATTGATTTTAAACCTAAAGGTTGTATTCTCAATCATTTTATTCCCAGAAGTACTATTTGTAATTTTTTTCATAATAGATTTTTACCACAGGATATAACGTTATCACATGTGATACATCTTTATCTATGCCTTAGAAGGTTTCCACTCCTTTTACAAATTCAAAACGGCCTTACCCACTCTCCTTTCCACACACATCCACACAATTATGAAAGTATCATGTTATGATTTAAATAGATTCACTACTTTTGATAGTTTGTGGAAGAAATGCTACATCTCTTTTCCATGAGGCTGTAAAACTTTCTCACCATTCTTAAATAACAGCCTAAATAATAAAATCTAAAAAAAGTACAATTTAATTTGTTTGTTTTTTTTCAGAAGTATTTCTTCTCTGGCCTTAGAAGATTAGTTTTCAAAGCGATGGTAAAATCATTGATGTATGTCTTTTCAAGAAAAAGAAAAAAAAAAGACTCCTAAATGCCAAACATTTGCTCTTTGGAGCATAGCAAGAAGAAAGGGAGAGGACCAGACGGCCACATCCTAAGAACAGAGTATTGTCCAGGTAGCTGTCGCCCCAAATGGGATCTCTTTCCAGGTCTTTTTGTTAAAGCTTTTCTTTCCTAAATAAAACTTAATTTTCTCTCGCTAATCTTTCCAGTGGGTGTCTGCCGCTTCCTCATGCCTTGCTATAAGAAAGCTCGTAAAAAGGAAGAAATCTAAAACTAGAACAATTCTATATTCACAGTTTCTCTGACATTAAAAAGTACTCAAGAGAAGAGTTTTTTTTTTAATTTAAAGAAACATCTGTCCAACATGGATGATTTTGAAGAAGAGCACTCCCCTTTGTCCAGAGCCATAGAAAGATAATTTAATTACACTTATCATTACACCCTCCCCAAATTAGACTACAAATGGATCTTGATTTCTCATGATTTTTTCACTTTACAAAATAATCTTAAAGTTTAGGAGGAAGAAAAGATGCTTAAGAATAATCAAGAATGCTTGGAAAAGAGGAAGAAAAAGGGAAATTTCTCCTACTGAACCGGTAGTGCTGGGAAGGGAAGAGCGTGGTCCCTTTAAATGACAGGGAAGTGGGGCAGGGAAGTGCTGGGTAGAGAAAGGCGAGGTCTCTGTCTAGGGCTCCACCCCCAGGGACCTAGGTGAGGACAGGCACTTCTGCCTTCAAGCCCAAATGTTGCATTTTCCAAGACCACCCTGGCCTGCCACACCCCCATTCTGGGCCTATAAAAACCCAAGACCCTAGCAGGCAGACACAAAAGCGGCTGGACGTCATGAAGAACACATGGACAGAAGACACAAGCAGCTGGTAGTGGAGAGCACACGGCGGAATGACGCAGAGTTTTACTGGAGCAGGCCGCCAAAGGACCCGACTCCAGGGGAAAACCATCTCCCTTCTTGCTCCCCCGTCTGCTGAGAGCTACTTCTGCTCAATAAAACCTTGCACTCATTCTCCAAGCCCATGTGTGATCCATTCCCGGGATACAGAAAGCCCTCTGTCCTTGTGATAAAGAAGGGGGTCTAATTGAACTGGTTAACACAAGCTGCCTATAGACAGCAAACCAAAAGAGCACCCTGTAACACACGCCCACTTGGGTTTCGGCTGTAAACATTCATCCCTAGGCACTGCCATTGGATCGGAGGCCCACAGTCTGCCCATGTCTACGTTCCCCTAGGAGGTTTGAGGAGCGGGTGGCTGAAAAAGCTAGCCACACCCCCAGCGCATGCCCTGCAGGGGGGACAAAGGAAACTTTCCAGTTTCACTACCACCATTAGAATATCTTACAAAGTCGGCTAGGCGTGGTGGCTCACGCCTGTAATCCCAGCACTTCTGGAGGCTGAGGCCGGCGGATCGCCTGAGGCCAGGAGTTCAAGGTCAGCCTGCTCAACATGGCGAAAACCCATCTCTACTAAAAATATAAAAATGAGCTAGACATGGTGGTGCATGCCTGCAATCCCAGCTACTCTGGAGGCTGAGGCAGGAGAATTGTTTGAACCTAGGAGGCAGAGGCTGGACTAATAATCATGCCCGTATCTAAGCTATTATCTGTAAAAAGTTGTACCTATTTGCATTGCACTCTAGCCTGGGCGACAGAGCAAGACTATCTTATGGTAATGGTGGCATAGGATTAATGAAACGGAATAGAAGTCCTAGAAATATTCCCAAGTAAATATAAGAAGTTTGTGTATGATAAAAGTGGCATTTAAAAATAAAAGGAAGATGTAGTATATTATTCAATATTTTGGTATTGTGGCAACTGCCTATTCGTTTAGGGGAGGAGACAAAAGGTAGTCTCTGAGTCATACAAGTGAAAGTATAAATTTGAGGTTTAATAATAAGTATTAAAAGGAAACAATTATATAGATGTAATATATTTATAAGTATGAAAAACCAAGAATAAATTTTAGATGTAATATATTTATACATATAAAAAACGAAATGATTATTTTCTAAGAATATGCTGGTGGATATTTATACAATATTGAATTGGGAAAGCATCAGTCCTGAGGCAATAATCATAAAATAAATGAATTAAGTTTACTACGGAAATACTAAAATTGTCTGCCCATCAAAACATACCAAAAATTATGACTAAGAAGAAAGGACAAATTGGGTAACATATTTAAATATACATATACATACATATATATACACACACACACACACATATATATATACACACATACATACAATATGCTCAACATATAAAAAGTTTTAACAACTTTGTAAGAAAAAGATTAACACGGATAATTTACAAAAGAAAAATAATGCAATGAAAAATAATTTACCTACCTGCATTAGGGTTCTCTTCGAGGGAAAAAATAGGAGATATATATGTAAAGGGGAGCTTATTAAGTATTAACTTACGTGATTACAAGGTCCCAAAATAGGCTGTCTGCAAGCTGAGGAGCAAGGAGAGGCAATCCAAGTTACAAAACTAAAGAACTTGGAGTCCGATGTTTGAGGGCAGGAAGCACCCAGCATGGGAGAAAAATGTAGGCTGGGAAGCTAGGCCTGTCTCTCCTTTTCTGCCTGCTTTATATTCGCTGGCAGCTGATTAAATTGTGCCCACCAGATTAAGGGTGGATCTGCCTTCCCTGGCCCACTGGCTCAAATGTTAATCTCTTTTGCAACACCCTCACAGACACACCCAAGATCAATACTTTGTATCCTTCAATCCAATCAAGTTGACATTCAGTATTAACCATCATACTAACCAAACAGCATTTAAAAATGTTTAATACTCAGTAATAGTTAGGATGTGGAAGAATGGGAATTCTCACACACTGCTGATTACAATGCAAATAGGTACAACTTTTTACAGATAATAGCTTAGATACGGGCATGATTATTAGTCCAGCAATGCCACTTCTAGAAGTTTTTGCTAAGGAAATAACCCTGGATATAAATAAGATTTAGCTATAAAGATGTCTGCAAACTGTTGTTTGCAATATTCAAAACATTAAAAAATAATCCTGTATGTATACAAGAAGATTAAGCAATTATTTAAAATGTTTCTGTAGTAAATAATATTTAATAAGTATTGTCATAATATTTTGCCAAATGAAAAAAAAGAAAGCAAAATAAAAATCTTACTAAAGATAATAATTGTAATTTATTCTATTTATTCTTTTTGCTTCTCTCTATCCAACATTTTCTATATTAAAAAAAATTCGTGTGTGTGTGTGTGTGTGTGTGTGTGTGTGTGTGTGTGTGTGTCCCCTACCCTGGCAAGGCCTGGATTCTCTTTATTCCATTCAAGATTTGTAGAGGATTGATTTTTCTAGTGGTATCCCTCCTCCCACCTCCTCCTTCTCTTCCAAGTACCTGGTGACCGTCATCTGAGTTATAATTTCACAGAAGCAGATTCTTCTTTTGTTTTTCTTTGTTGTTGTTCTTGGTTGATTTCAGAGATGACACAGTGTCTGGATACTTCTCTTTTGCCCTCTTTTAACTTTTTTTCATTAACATTTTAAGAAATTGCTAAAGTTCTTTGATCATGGCTCACTGCAGCCATGAACTCCTGGGCTCAAGTGATCCTCCCACCTCAGCCTCCCAAAAAACACCATGCATGGCTAATTTTTAATTTTTTAAGTTGATTTATTTTAATTTTTTTGGAGACAGGATCTTGCTATCTTACCCAGGCTGGTCTTGAACTCTTGGCTTCAAGTGATCCTCCCAACTCAGGTGATACAGAGTTGCCTAAAGCAGAAACTTGTCCTCAGCCCTGCAGCATCTTTTAGGAATGACCTAACTTAAAGCAAAAGTGGGATGTGTGTCTATTTTCTCATCTTTTTTCTATGACTTTATACATATTTTAATGATTCAATCCATTACAATGTATTAGGTATATTTTGTAAGGCAAAATATAATTGCTTACATTTAACTTTATGAATACTAGGAGCAGCCTTCTTTACTTTCTTCTGGGCTAAACAAGAGAGAAAATCAGGGATGGATAAGTATAAAATAACTGTTTTTTTTTTTTCCTGCGTATAACTGAAATTTCCAAATGTCTCTTTTTACTGATCAAGTAACTTGAATATTTATTTTTTAAAAAGATCAGGCTGATAATCAAGAATTGTGACCCTCAAACTGTAAGGATTCAAATTCTTGTAATTTCCAGCAGACAATATGAATGAGAGATGTGAACTACATCTAAGAGGTAGTAGGGAGTGATGGCACTAGCTCTGGGTCATGTATTTGTTGAGGGAATGAAGTCTGGGTTAGTTCTAGAATTCTAAGTTTTAGACAGAAACCTGAAATTTGACTATGTTCTATAAAATACTCAATTTTATATGTTGGCAGCTAATTTAAAAATTGAACAAATATAACTTTTATAATAAGGGGAAATTATGTTTAAAATACGTGTTAAATAAATTAAGTTATAGCTCTTTAAAATATAGAAAATCTCCAAACGTATTCTGAGCGGTTGTGGATAATGTTACTACCAATTAGCTGGAAATACCTTTTATGTTTTGTTTTGTTTTGAGAGAAGGTCTTGCTCTGTTGCCCAGGCTAACTTGCAGCGGCACAATCATAGCTCAAACTCCTGGGCTCAAGCGTTCCTCCCACCCCAACCTCCGGAGTAGCTAGGACTACAGGCACATGCCACCATGCCTGGCTAATTTTTTTTTTTTTTTTTTTTAGAGACAGGGTTTTGCTATGTTGCCCAGGCTGGTCTTGAACTCCTGGCTTCAAGTAATCCTCCGCCTTGGCCTCCCAAAGTGCTGAGATTACAGGTGTAAGCCACCACACCCCATCTGGGGAGAACTTTAGAGTTTAATCCACATGGCCAGGGGACCTCAATTGCTGCCCATGGCAGAACTCAGCAAGACAAAGATCACCCTTCTCTATATCTCTCTCACCTCAAGACTTCAGTGTATCCTAATGAGACGGCTTTGGCAGAGGAAGCTTCTATACGAAACAAAAACATGAATCAATATTTGAATCCTTATCATGAGCCAAGCATGGTGCTGGGCACCTTATTTTCTGTAATACATTATTTTCCGTAAACCTTATAAAAATCCTATACCTAGGTACTATTATAATTGCTACTTTATAGTTACAGAAACTGAGGCTTATAGATGGTAAATAATGCATATGGTAGTAAGAACTTCTTTTTGTTGGACTACAAATCTTATGTTCTACCCAATGCCTTTCCACTCATTCTTTATCTTCGTGTCTGCAACTTTTTCCAGAAGGGGTCTAAAGAAGCCTGCCTTCCCCTATGAAAGCACCTTCCATGCTGATATTATACCTCATTTTCCGAAGGGAGTGTGGTGTGATGGCACCTCAGAATGGCACCCAGGAACACCTCCGTTCAAATACCACTCCTCGCTCTTATCAGTCAAGTGAGTTGGAATGAGTTACTTCACTTTTCAGAAGTCCAGTTTCTTAATCTATAAAATGGGAAAAATGCAACGTAATTCTGAGGCTGAGGATGAGATAGGTGCCTCCTGCAAAGTGGAGGCTTAATAAATACTAGTCATTTCTCTTCCCCTGAGGAAACGTTATTACACATTGTTTATGTCACTCTAACATTGTCCTAAGAGATCTATGAAAATACGCAACTCAATTAAGCAAAGTTTGTCTCTGTAATGTACCTTAAGGAGAAAAAGATACATTGTGGGGAGTAGAGGAAAGATTAGGGAATTTTGTGGTTACAGCTCCTGGAGTTCATCTCTACCAGGCTGAGATCATCTACAGCCCAACCGTATACACCTACATCATCTACTGTCATTTGGAACCTTAGTAAAAATACTCCCACTAATGTTCCTACTAAGTGCATTTAGAGTCTGAACTCGTTACCACCACCATCACCCAAGAAAAATAACTAATGTGTTTATTAAGGTAGGAAAGTTGTTTCAGAACAAGGTGAAAGCCATTCACCAGAAAATACAATTATCTCCCATCCCACATCAGTCTAACATCTGTAAATCTACACAATTTATTTCCTTTAAGACACTGATTTTCAACTTGGAGTCACTGAATCGATTTCAGGAGGCCCATGAACCCCATGAGATCGACTTCTATATGCATGTGCCCATGTGCATTTTTTGAGGAGATGGCTGATTTTCTGAAATTCTCAAGGGAGTCTATTTGCCTCAAATATCTAAGACCCATTAGGCTAGAAGCTTACTATCCAAATCATACATGCTGACATCAAGAAAGACACAATTAGATAGTGGTGTGCTGATATGAAATTCAGGAGGGCATGGTCATGGATAAGGTTGTGTGTATGATTTGTGGGCATAAGTGAGTTTTATGCATTCAAATAGATGTATGAATCTTTCATGAGGAAGGTTTATTTTGAAGGGTTAGTCGTCTTTTTTTTTTTTTTTTCCTCTTCAGACAAGGTCTTGCTCTGTTGCCCAGGCTGGAGTGCTGCGGTGCAATCATGGCTCACTCCAGCCTCGATCTCCTGGGCCCAAGTGAACCTCCTGTCTCAACTTCTTGAGTAGCTGGGACTACAGGTGCACATCACCATGCCCAGCTAATTTCTGTAGAGATGGGGTTTTGCCATGTTGCCCAGGCTGTTCTCGAACTCCTGGGCTCAAGCAATCTGCCCTCCTCAGCCTCCCAAGGTGCTGGGATTACAGGCATGAGCCAGCATACCCAGCTGAGACCTTAGCCTTAAAAAAAATAAGACCTCCTTTCTTGAATTGTGAGCATTTCCTGCACTTTCTCTGCAACATCAAACAACCAAACATTCCCATCCAAGAGAAGGAATTAACCTACTACCTAATTGAAACTGTTTCAGTGATGCATCCATTTTTCTATTTAACACTCCTTTCTCTCACTTTCGCTTTTCATTTCTTGCCTGGGTTCACATGGCCCATACCTTGTCTTTTTTAATAACTGACCAAATTATTACTATTAGTAATTTGGGGAGGGGGAAGAGAAACACAAATAAGGGAAATGGGTTTCCATGGCAACCACAGCCCGGTGAGATCATTTTGAACATCCTTTCTATGACTATTTAATTAGCACTCTCCTGAGAACCTGAATCATCATTAACCCATTTATGGACCAAGTGTTCTTTTGCAGAAGGCTCTTGGGCTGATTATTTATCATTTGGGATGTCGGTTTACTGTTTTTAGAGGGCACTTGGATTTTGTGACCAGAATCAACTGACATCTATATATCTGTCTCCTGCTGAGAGTGTGTCCTGTGATTCTCCAGCATCCTTCCAGAGTTCCTTGGGTGAGGACAAATGAAAACTCATACTTTTAAGGAAGAACTAAATTAATACTTTAAAAAGCAGAATCCTCATAATGACAGTTCTACTGAGGCTAAACTCCATTCTCTTTGGAGGGGAGGAGGCAAAGGAGCAAGTATTAGTCAAAAGTGACAGGCTAGTGCCATGGTAGCAAACAGTCCCTCTGACGGTTAATTTTATGGGTAGACTATGGTTCTGGTCAAACTCAAGGTCTATATGTGGATGGGCTTCAGCCAAACAATTGAAGGCCTTAAGAAAAAAGACAGAGGTCTCATGATAAGGAAAGAGTTTTGCATCTAGATTGCCTTTAGACTTAAGACTGAAGCATTGACTTCTGCTGGAATTTCTAGCCTGCTGGCCTGTCCTACAATTTCAGACTTGTCAACTCCCATATTTGCATGGGTCAAGTCCTCAAAATAAATCTGTTTCTCTCTCTCTCTCTCTCTCTCTCTCTCTCTCTCTCTCTCTCTCTCTCTCTATATATATATATATATATATATATATATATATATATTCCAGTCATATTAATTAATTAATCACTCAGGGGTCAGAGCTAAAGGAAGCTTCACCTCAACCTGTGCTCCCGTGATCACAGTAGCAGGGGGAGAGAGTCATGGTAAATCACACAGTGGCTCCTAAAGCTTCCATCCAGAAGTGATGCCTGCTACTTTCACTTGCATTTCATTGGTCAGAGCAAATCTCATGGCTATCCTAACTTCAAAGGAGGCAAGAAGGTGCAGTCTTGCCAAGTGCTTGGAAGAAGGAAATAGAGAAATATTTGGTGAACAGCCTAATGTCTACCAATCATGGGTAGACATGAGTGACGCCTTTTGTTCCACTGATGTGTTCCACTGGTTAGGAAATGTGAACCAAGAAGTCAAAGCGATCTCTTTGATCCTATTGATTTTGTGATTTTTAGAAAGTGACTTAGCATACCTGGGCATCAGTTTCCCCATCTGTTTAACAGTGGGAGCAGAAGATAACATCCCTTCTCCTTCTTCTCTCCTGTTGCTGCGGAGGAAATGGCCACCCTACTCTCAAAGGCTGTTCTCTTCCTGTGTGCTTTTATTCACACCAGATGCCCATGTGCCATACTTCATTCTATTTTCTCCCACAACCCAACTTCCAAGTCTTTAAAGAATCCTGTTGTTTCTCATTTCACATTTATTTCAACAAAGTCACATCTCTCCCTATCCTGTGCCACCACCTCATTCCAGTCTCCCATATTCTCTACCTGAGCTTCTGCAATAATCTGTAGCTAATTTCTCTGCTGCAATAGCCAATCAGCTCCTATATACTTTCCTGTAAATCCTTCATGAATAATATTAAAATGATGGAAGGAATATAGCTTATGGGTTAAGAAAAGAACAGGATCTGAATATGTACAGCCTGGGATTGCGTTTCTGCTCTGCCACTTGCTAGCTTCATGACCTTGCAGAATTACCTAACATTTCTGCACCTTAGTTATCTTCATCTGTAAATTGGGATAATAATAGTATTTACTTAATAGGACTCATACAAGGATTGATCTGATACATACAAACCGCTTATAATGTTCCCTGGCACATACTAGGCACTGTATGTGTCTGTTATTTCTATTATTAATGGAAGTTTTTGTAATAGTATTATTGTTTTCTTGCCAGTATATCTCTAGTTCCAAATATAAAATGTGACACATAGTAAGGAATCAATAATTAGTTGTTGATATAATAAATAAACCTAGATAATGAAGAAATGAATTCATGGTTGTGATGGGCAGCTTCTAATCTGGCTGCCAGTGATCTCTGCCTTTTAGTTTTTATATTCTTGAGTTGGGCTGAACCTAATGACTTTCTCTGAAGAATAGAATATAGCAAAAGTGATGGGATGTCACTTCTGAGATTAGGTTACGAAGGACTGTGACTTTCTCCTTGAATCTCTTGCATCTTGCTCTCTCTCTTTCTTGCTTGCTTATTCTGATGAAGTGAGCTGTCATGTTATGAGCTGCCTATAAAGAAGCTCATTTGATAAGGAACGGAGGGCAACCCTCAGTCCAACAGCCCCCAAGGAACTGAATCTTGTCAACAATCACAAAGTGAATTTGGTAGTGGTCCTTCACCAGTCTGGCCTGGAAACAACAGCAGCCCTGGCTGACACCTTGATTGCAGCCTTGTGAGAATCCTTGAGCCAGAGGACCCAGCTAAGCTGCATCTAGACTCCTGACCTATGGAAATTGAGATAGTAAATATTGTTTTAAGCTACTAAATTTTGGAGCTATTTGTTACACAGCAATTAGCAATTGATAACTAATAAAATGATAAAGATGACAAGATATGATAGCATGCTTTGAGTACTCAGGAAGAGATTTTTTTTTTAAACCCAAGCTTCAGACAGAGGAGCCACTTCCTTGGGCTCATGGAAAATCACTGGCACCTCCAGAATCTTCCTCTTCCCTTTTTGCCTGTCTCCCCACTTCCTACTTGAGTTTTGGAGGCAAATAGAAAATAATTGAAAACCTGAATCTCTTATTTTACTAACCATGTGAAGTTGGTTAAGTTACTATATTCTGGTCAAGTCGCTCTAAGCAACTTTCATCATTAATAAAATGGAGATGATGAGACTACGGTGAGGGTGATGGTGGTGAGAACCTACACATGAATAAAATACCCCACAGAGTATCTGGAACACAGCTGGTATTCAATTAATGTTGGATCTTGTCCCTAATAACTACTAGTGACTGCTTTACATTTTTTCTTTTTTTAAAAAAAGCTTTAGATTCAGGGAGTACATGTGCAGGTGTGTTGCATGGGTATATTGCATGATCCTGAAGTATGGGCTTCTATTGAGCCCATCACTCGAATAGTGAACATACTACCCAACAGTTTACTAGTTTTTCAACTCTGGAATCCCCAGTGTCTATTGTTTCCCTCTTCATGTCCATGTCTACCAATGTTTAGCTCCTGCTTATAAGTAAAAACATGTGGTACTTGATTTTCTGTTTCTGACTTAATTCATTTAGGATAATGGCCTCCAGCTGCATCCATGTTGCTGCAAAGGACATAATTTCATTCTTCTTTATGGCTGCATAGCATTCCATGGTGTATATGTACCACATTTTCTTTATCAAATCCATTGTTGATGGGCACCTAGGTTGATTCCATGATACTGTGAATAGCGCTGTGATAAACATATAAGAACAGGTGTTTCTTTGGTAGAATGATTTCTTTTCCTTTGAGTATACACCTGGTAATTGGATTGCTGGGTCAAATAATTCTATTTTTAGTTCTTTGAGAAATCTCTAAACTGCTTTCCATAGGGGCTGAACTGATCTGCACTCCCACCAAAAGTGTACTAAGTATTCCACCATTTTTAACCTCATTTATAACCAACACCGTCCTCAGCGTTAACATTCTTCAGAATTCAACAGAATGCAAGTGTCTTTCCTATGGAAAGAGTTCAAATGTGGTGTCTTATCAGATAGAACAAAATTATTCATTTTTGAACTCTTAGTTGGACAAATAATTTATAGTGTTCAAAGGGCAGCAAACTTCTTTAATGCATATGAGGAATTAAAAAACAGAAAAAAAGGTTTAGTCTACCTACCAGTTCATCAGAAAACAAGTTTACTCTATGGATGGATGCGAAACTGCCTCACCCTTCCTATTCCCAATTCCCCACCTCACAAATACACACACGTTCCTGGCCACTGTGGACATGGAGAATGAAAACATTGCTCTGGAGACAAATCCTATGTGTGTGTCTAATGGGGGCTGGAGAAAAGATCACAAAACAGGTGCCATTGCTCTGAGACGGCATTGTCAGGGAACTCAGTTCCAATCCTGAAACTTAGGTCATTAGGAAAAGCAAGAAAAGGCAGAAAGTTTTCATTTACAACCTAAAAGCTAGCCTTTCCTGAACATCAAATGCCGCAATTAAAAACTTGCTTTTTAATAAACACAGTCATGAGTTGGTAAAAGCCAAAGCATCATTCACATATCATTTCCTGCACCACTCAGCTCATATTAGCAGACTTAGGAAAGCATCAACCACAAACATGTTGCTGATAGAAATTTCCTAATGCAAGCAGTCTTTATAGATTTCTGCTATTTCAATGTAGGTCTCCGAGGACCATTTGAATCCATATTAATTTCCTTTCTGGCAGTTATGCGGCTGAGTATGAACTGCACTATTTCACTTTTAATCTGTCAGTAATTTAGTAATGTGTAAACTAATTATGAACAGATATTAATGTAATCGGTTTGGGGAGCTATAAAATCAATGTGTTTTTACAGACTGCATTAAAGAGAATTGCGGTGTTATAATCACATGTCAGTTACAGATAAGGTTATGGAATTAAAAAATGGATGTCACCCCCCCTTCAAGGGGCACCCACTAACTCCATCAAATAATAAGAACATGATCTTCCCACTTTCTGGAACTATAGGAAAAATACTAATATCACAGCCAAACCATCCTGCTTCACTCTGACTTTGATAACATCATTTCCATGACTTCCCTTCTCCACTTCTTCCCCTTCCTCTGTTAAATAAAAACTTGCCATTCATGATTTCAAAGATGGTGTCACAGATCAGCCTTCTAGGGGTTATGTCAGTGCCTCATGGTAATGGCTTCCTTGGGCGAAGTCTGCCCTAATACAATTTACCAGATCATTCAGCAGAGGAAAATCAGTTAACATGAACCCAGTGGTTAAGAGGGGTTACCATAGCTTTTGCAGAGTGGTTCTCCCTAGGTCTGTGACCCTGCAAGTAGTCCAAGATATGGTCATGGGGGTGGAGGCATCTCACCACCTTGGCAGGTGTGTATGCATACAGGTTTTCTACCTCCCATAGAAGAAATCTCACTATTCTATGATAGGTCTTGAAATTCTTAGACAGTTCTTGTCCAGTCAGGTGTTTGCATAAGTTATAGAAATGTATGTTCCCATAACTGTATTGAAGGGACTCCCCTCACCCACTCAGAGTTTATCTCTATTTGTCTCCTTCTAAAGACTTAGGCCTTTCTCTTTTGTAGCCCTAAATATAAAGTTTATAGTAGAATGCGTCATCCTCTGGCAAACTGAAGAGTTCCAGCGTCAGCCTTGCACTTTAGCAAGCCTGTGGCTATGGAAAGGAAAGAAGACTAAGATGGCAGATAGAATTTCAGCTCTAGATGTACAACTTGGAGCCATGCTGAAAGATAGGTCTAAGATAATCATGATTCTCACATTCCCTAGAGGTGTAGTTGCCTTAACACTTGGAACCTCACTTTCCTAATTTGTAAAACAGGATGGTAATAAAATTCTGTACTTCACGGAGAATAAAATGAAGATTGCGCCACGTTTGGGTCATAGTAAATGTTCAATAAAGTAGCTAGTAGCAGGCGGAGGAGTAATAATGCTCATTTGACTCCATGGGTCTACTTGCTTTTCTCTTGTTATTTTACAAGAGTTAAATAGGTAATCTCTAAAGTCCCTTCCCAGCAGTAAATCTGAGGTGTTGCAACTAGCTGCATCAACAGTCCACTTGCAAAGAGGATTCCATGTGGAAGAAGGTTGGTTAAGGACCTTCCCACATAACTTCTCCCATCCACACATCTATCCATCCTCATCACTAATCCCTGCCTGTGATGCTACATTGCCTCATGGTTTGGCTTCCATTTATATCCATCCTTCCTCTAACCATCTAAAATCTCTTGAGTAACTCACACTCATTTAATGGGCTTACTATTTACTCCCCAAATACTTATTACACCTACTAAGGCAGGAAATGTTCATATCGATCAAGTATGGCTCCAGCTTTATTAGAGATAATTGCCTATTAGCAAGATAAGAAGAGTCTACAATAACTATAATTTATTATCAACACCTTCCAAATCCCTCTTTGCATTGACTGAAGTCTGAAATTCCTCATACAATGCCATTTTCTCTAATACCTTCTCCAAAGGAGTCTGTGTCTCCCTTCACTTGCCCATGTGCTGTGTGGCCACTTATATAACACTCTTTGCCACTTACATATAATATTTCCCATTTTAACTTTACACACTCCACCTTTCCCCATTCCCAAATTTCCACAGTCCCCAAATGGATTGTGTGACAATCTCCAAAAACCATACCCACAGTGATATTTTTAGAACCTGCTGCAAAGTTTTTTCTGCCACTCCATCCTCTCATCATTGCTCACAATTCCAATATACACCTACTTAGCTGACTTTCTTCTCTATCTGGCCTCATTATGCCTTGATTCCAATGAATGTCAACCACAAGCCACAAGGCCAACTACTGGCCAACTACCCTGGTCATCATTAAATGAGATAATGTATATAAGCTACAAAGAATGTGCCTGATGCATAGCAAGCACTCAATACTGTCAGCTGCACACCCTTCCCCCCAGCTTTTTGTTATTTAGTCTAATAGCTGTCATGTCCACTAGAAACTTGTTGACACACAGCTTCCAGAGGAGGTTCTTGGGGACAACATTTGTCTACTGTCCTGGAAGCTGAGGGCGTATTTTCTTTTCTTTTTTTTTGAGATGGAGTCTCACTTTGTCCCCCAGGTGCAATCTCCGCTCACCGCAAGCTCTGCCTCCCGGGTTCACACCATTCTCCTGCCTCAGCCTTCTGAGCAGCTGGGACTACAGGCGTCTGCCACCATACCCAGCTAATTTTTTTTTCTTTTTTTTGTATTTTTGGTAGAGAAGGGGTTTCACCATGTTAGCCATGATGGTCTCAATCTCCTGACCTTGTAATCTGTCCGCCTCGGCCTCCCAAAGTGCTGGGATTACAGGCGTGAGCCACCGTTCCTGGCTGAGGACATATTTTCAGAAGGAGAGCATTGGTGGTCACTGTCCAGAATCATTAACATCCCATTATAAAAATCAAATACCACTCAGAGTCCAGAAAACAGATTAGCATTTCTTTACAAATATGTTTAACTTTTATGAAATCAACTTGAGGTCCTTGACCAAAAATGAAAAAACAGAAAGAGAAGAACACAGAAACACAGTAATTTAAAATATTGTAAACATAGATTTTGCATGGGCAATCTTTTTTATATGAATATATATGGTAATTATTTGTACACATACAATATTGTACAGGGTTACAAATTCAACATTATAAAACTGTTCCCTAGGGGTCATTTAGGAGATCTGCAAGTGTAATTTTGGTCATATCTAACTGCTGTCTTTAGACTCTAGTCCACATCAAACATACTGTCTCATCATAATTCATTTTGGGGTACCTTTTTTTTAGCATGTTGGTGGAAGTCAAGAAAAGATTTCAGACCAGGTTGCAGTCAACCAGAAGCTGGCATTATCCTAAATCCCTCTCACTACATGGATCTCAGTAAACCATGGTCGTTAATTGGCTTCATTGCTTTTTCTCAGACACTATGTGTAATGAGACCCCATGCTTCACCAGGAAGGTGCTGAGAGAGGTCACTACCCTGAGATGATTTGTCTCCTCTCTCTTTCCTTACTCACGTTTCTTCAGGTGAAATGGAGGGTCTGGTCTGTTTATGCCTACTTACACCTGACAACATGATTATCCTCTCCAACCATCCTCTTGGCTGTTGAAAGTCAGCTGTTATCAGGATTCATATGTGATTTCTCTTCTTTGCAACAATCACTTGAAGCTGGTCCTGAAATAATTGCCAATAATAAATGTATCCAGGCAGAAGCCTTCACATCTTGGACTAAGGGAAGTTAAGGCAATGGCGTTTTCATTCTCTCATCAAGAATGTCTCCGAGGACAGCTTTTCCTGTGCCAAGTTAGTAAGAAATAAGCCCCAGAGAGTTCTATGTTATGATTGTCAGGACGCGGATTATTGAGAAAGGAATTAGAATCAACTCTGGCAGAGGAAATTTGAGAGGCTGAGGGGATTCTTGGGCAATGAGGACTTTTATGGTGAATGGTTTGGGTTGCAGCTTTAGCTCTTTTGCTCTGCTTCACTGTTGGAGTTATGGACTTTAGATTTTTATCAAGAGTAATTCATGCACTACTAAAAAACTGCACAGCTGAGTTCTTCATCTATGAGAAAACATTGGCAATTAAAAAATTTGAAGCACCTAGATTCAGTTTATCTTGAGCAATCTAGGAATACCCCCAAAGCACTGAATTTGAAGTCAACAGACCTTGGTTCAAATCCATCACTGTTGCCTTGTACATATTGACCAGTGCTGTCCAATATGGCAGTCACTAGTCACAGGGTCCTTTTAAAATTTAAATTTAAGTTAGTTATAATTAAATACAATTACAAATTCAATTTTGAGGTACACCACCCATATTTCAAGTGCTCAGTGGCCCCCGTGTCTTGGTGCTACCATGTGGACACCCAAGCTCTAAACTGAAGACAAATAAGTTTTCCAAGCCCCAGTTTCCTCTTCTGTTAAACAAAGAAAGAAAATGAAAACTGTCCTATTTACTAAGTGCTGTATAAGATAATGAATACCAAAGCACCTAAAAATTATTAAATATTTTATAAAAGATGAACTGTAAGTCATAAAGCACTTAATTTGATATCTTGAGCTTCACTAAGTAGAACAAACCCTCACATTCTTATTTAAATTACTTTGAGGGTTTTTTTTCTTAAAAAATTCATGTGTCATTCTAGTTATTTCCTGTTGCTAGGATTAGAAAAATGGGAATGGATCAAGCTCTATTTAGATTATCTTCAGTCTTGATGTTGTGGCCTTTAGAAAATTAGTGTCTTAGTATTTTCAGTGGGTTTAAAATTACAAGCAATTAATAATTTTACAACTCGTATGAGACCCAGGCAGCATCTACAGAGAATTATATGAAGAGGCTAAGTTGGTGGTGACTTATACAGAGGAAACACTGGTGGCTGGCTTGTCCTTGGGAGCATCAACAGAGAAGTGGCATTTCTTGACCTCTCTCCTATTATTACGAAAACAATAGAGACTCTGCTATATTGGGGATTTACATTCCTTTACCTTACACATTTTCTTGAAAATACATGCCTTATTTCTCCATCTTATCCATATTTGAAAAGGTCCATCTGAAAGGCAAGAAAGAGGTCTTCAGTTTTTTTCTTCATGAGTATCATTGTCTAGAAGAGGGTAATTGAGCTTACTAAGTGGATGTAGGGAGAGATATAGTGAAGGGAAGATTTCTGGGGGAGGATTTGGGAAATGAAGCTAAGAGCTGGGAGGCACCATGGAAGAATGACTGAAAATTTCCTTTAATTTTAAATTCCTTTAATTTTTTAATTAAACCTCCTCTTTTGGAAATTTTTTAATTTTTTAATTAAACCTTAAATTTTTAAATTAAACCTCCTCTTTTGGAAAGGAAAAATTAATTTCCTTTAATTTTTTAAGAGTCAAGCGATAAGGATTCTATATAGCCAGGCAAAGCAGGTATGATTTTCTTGACTGTATACGAATGGGTCTTCATCACCTTCATCATCATCATCGCCATCAAACCTTTCATTGATATTGGACTTGCAGGTCTGAGAGCACTTTCACATACACACACACATTTGATCACTGTGATAACCCACACGGAAGGCACAGTGGACTGCTATGACATCCACTTTCTCTGCTCAGGTTTACTCACCCTTACTCTCAATTTACTGTAAAAAACTGCCTTTCTCTTAATGGTAGTCTATATGTTTTAAGGGTGTTGACCGTATCCCGGATCCAAGTTTGAGTACACTCCTGAGGCCCTGACTCATCAGTAGATGACATCCCCCGACCACAGTGCCTGCTGAAGGACAAAAACATGATCCAAGTCTGTCCAGCAAAACCCAATCCTGGGTCTCTAATTGAGCCTATGAGGAAAAATAAACCTTTTCCCAGTGAGATCCCTAAGCTTAGAGGATGAAGCCTGGAGCTCCTCAGGCCTTGGCTTGGGGATAGGTGGTCTGAGAATAAAACTGACCCTGAGGACGGAGCCAAAAGCTGGAGAGCAAGAAGCCTGGGTCCTCAGGGTGTGGTTCTAACCCCTCCTATTTGGATCTGCCTAAGGCAGGGCTCGGTCTGGAGGTTTTAGATAGAGCCAGGTTGAGTTGAGTTCTGTTACTGGCAAAAAGATCTGGCTATTGAAGCTAGCAGAGAGAGACTAATAACTCCTTTTTCAGACTAGAAAACTGACAATCAGCACAGCAATCATTAAAAACACAATTTGGGCCATTCCAGTGTCTCTGAATATGGAATTTCTAAGGTCTTTTTGAAGCCCGTTGTCAGGGAGGGTGGGAAGGAAAGGGATGGCAGGCCGTAACTACAAATAATGTTTAAGGGTCTCATTAAAAGGAAAGTGAAACGAGAAAGAACAGAGCCATGCTTATGGCATTACGGGACCTTTGGGAGAGCAGAAATGCTGAAGTTTACAAATGTGTAAGAGGTGGGCAGATAACTACAGTTGGGTTTTACTAAAGAAACAGTGTTCAAAATTAGAATGGAGTTTAGCAATAGTGGAATACACATTGTCTGGAAGAAAAATCACTGCAAGTATTTCTTGTAATTATCTTATAATTACATACAATATGGCAAAATGTGAAAAAGTATTCCTTAATATTCAAATACAGTGTGTGTGCATCAAATCTCTGACTAGAGCATTCATGGAGTGATGATCCAGATGGGGAGAATTTGTGTATTAAGGGGGTGGTTCTCAACGTGCGGTCTCTGGACCAGCAGCATCAGCATCACCTGGGACATTCTTAGGGCCCACCCCAGATCTACTGAATCAGACCCTCTCGGGTGGGAGAACCAGCAGTCTGGGTTCTAACAAGCCTTCCAGGTGATTCCAATGCCTGCTAGAGTGTGAGGACCACTGCAGTAAAATATACACGAATATGTCGATGGACATCTGTGTGTTTGTGCAACATTTAAGAGAATGTTTATCCACCTCCTCTTTTGGAAGTCTTGACAAAAAGACTGTCACTGGTATGAACCTATCCTGGAGATGGAGGCACAGATTTGCAGCCCTCTAGGCCTTTCTGGTCTTTCTGTGTGTGTGGTGTTTTTTTGTTGTTGTTGTTTTGTTTTGTTTTTTTTGTTCTTTTTGTTTTTTGTTTTTTGTTTTTGGCTTGTTTGTTTTTGTTTTTGAGATGGGGGTCTCACTCTGTCACCTAGGCTGGAGTGCAGTGATCTCGGCTCACTGAAAACTTCTGCCTCCTGGGATCCAGCGATTCTCTCACCTCAGCCTCCTGAGTAGCTGGGACTACAGGTGTGAACCATCACCCCCAGTTAATTTTTTTGTGTTTCTATTAGAGACGGGATTTTGCCATGTTGGTCAGACCAGACTCCAACTCCTGACCTCAAATGATCTGCCCACCTCGGCCTCCCAAAATGCTGGGATTATAGGCATGAGCCACTGGGCCCGGCTGCCTTTCTGTTTTGAAGAGTCCTCTGTAGTCATAGAACCAATGGCGCGCAGAGTGATGCAGGACTATTCCATTTTCAGCTTCTTATTCTTGTTTTTTAGAGATGGGGTCTCACTCTGCTGCCTAGGCTGGAGTGCAGTGGTATGATCATGGCTCACTGCAGCCTCAAACTCCTGGAGTCAAGCAATCTTCTTGCCTTACCCTCCCCAGTAGTTGGAACCACAGGCACATGGCACCACACAAGACTAGTTTTTAAATTTTTTTGCAGAGACAGGGTCTCACTATGTTGCCCAGGTTGGTCTTGAACTACTGTTCTCAAGCAATTCTCCCACCTCAGCCTTCCAAAGTGCTGAGATTGCAGGTGTAAGCCAACGCACCTGGCCACAGCTTCTATCTTACTTATAACTTGTGTGGTGAGCAAAATTCTAAAGATACTCCCTCCACCCAAATCCCAATTTCATGACTATTTAATCTGACACCAATCTAGAAACTGCTGTGAAGGAATCTTGCACATGTCATTAAAGTTCCAAGTCAGCTGACCTTGAGGTGGGGAAAGTTATCCAGGTGGGCTGTGTCCAGTCAGGTGAGCCCTTTAAAGGCAGAAATTTTTCTCCAGTTGGTGGAAGAAGGACTAGGGGAAAGATCTGAAGCCTAAAAAAGACTCAGTGTATCAATGTTGACTTTGAAGATGGAGGGGCCACATGAGAAAGATCGTAGGCAGCCTCTAGAAGCCAGAAAAGTGGGACCTCAGTTCTACAACCAAAAGAAATGAATTTTTGCAACAACGTCAATAAGTTTGTAACTGGATTTCTCTCTGGAGCCAGTGGATGAGGACTTAACTTGGCCAATATCTTGATTTTAGTCTTCTCTTACTTTGAGCAGAGAACTCAGCCATGCCATGCCAGACTTCTGACCTCCAGAACTGTGAACTAATAAATGAGTATTGTTTCAAGCTGTTAAATTTGTAGCCATTTATATGCAGCAATAGGAAACTAATATAACTTGAAAGAATATGGCAGCTGGAATATGGAATTTGAGTATTTGGAGTTACATGAGATCTAATCATTTGGAATGAACAAAATAGTTGATGTAGGAGAGAGAGGAGAGAGCCTTTGGAGGAAGATTCAGCTCAGTGAAGAAGAAAAAGTTCATTGAAAGAAAGAAGAAACCTGACTAATAGATAATTAGTAGAGACCAGGGAAGACATTAAAAATGAAAGGGAAGATGGATAGACAATTCCATGGAGGATGATGGAAAGCCACAGAAGAGGTTCATGCTGCTAAGTGACAGGGGGTTACATGGCAAGATTATTACTTAGAAGCATGTTTGCACATTTTATTATTTGAAGGCATTGTTGAGACAATATAATTTAATCCTTCAATTATTTTGTAAGATACATATTTAGAGATGAAGGAAGAATATGTGGATTGATCATGGTTACAGGCAAATTAATTTCTGAGTCAAGACCGCAATTCACATCTCCTGATGGCTCCTTTTATTTTGCCAAACTCCTTTGGTACTAGGGCCAGTTCCCTAAGGAAGAGGAATAGCTTACATTGTCACTGGGAAGAGGGCAGAGGCCTGCACAAAACAACTGGACGGTTGATACCGTAGCTTTGCGAGATTAAGCCAAGCCAAGATATGATGACTTTTGCTCCCTAGCCATCTACAAAGTCCTTCACATTGTCACAAAGCCAAATGCAATTAGCACGCAGGGCACGATCTTCCAGGGAGCCTCAAACCTGATTAACGGGTTAGAAAATAGGGCCTGTGGAGCGAGATGATATTGGGAAGCTTGTGCCTGGCAACAAGGTTAAAGGATGACCGGATGGGGAGGGCAGAGCGAGGCTTGCAAGGTGCACAAACTGAACTGCCCTTCCTAGGGCGCGCGCGCGCGCGCACACACACACACACACACACACACACACACACACACACACTAGGTCTGGCCCTGTTAAGCAGTTCCTCTTCTATGTGGTTTTGTTTATTAAATAAATTACGGTTTATTAACCTCAAAGCCACTGCCTTCCCCTCAAGAAACTAAATAGAATATTAGTTCATGCAAAAGATCCTGTTGTTCAGATTGGAAGAGAAGTTACCCATGGGCTGGTATCTGTTTCCATGGGAACCAAAAATAAATATTGATACTGCGTTAATGGTCTGTGTCTCACTTAAGCTCCATTAAATTTCGAGCACTTGCAAGAAAACAGCCCATTGATGGCCCAGCTGAGGGAGAAGGAAGAGGCTTTATAAAAAGCAACAGTGTGGAAGGCACACGGGGTGCAGGCAGGACTTCTGAGTGCTTCTCAACCAGGAAGCTCTTTATGGAATTCTTCCAACCGAGGAGACCTACTTAGGTGCACTCAAAATTGCTGCTTAAGATGCTAGTTGCAGACTGAATAGATTTTTGTGAACCTGTCCTTTTAATAAAGAATAGTTGTATGTTTTACAAAGCTGATCTGTAGACAACAATATTTTCCAGGAACCCACATGCCCAAAACACAATCAACAAATGGACTGAGAGTCCAAATTAGAATATTTCTTTCTATACCAGTTTTCCCAAAGCAATTCAAGTGCAGACACTGAGGTCAGTATTGTTGCCTTTTATATTTATAATCCTGCTTTTAGGAGCAAAGTATTGGATTTATTGCATGAAAGTAGTTTACAGCTTTAAGTACTGCTACTCCTTGGAATAAGGAACATCACAGCCTGCTTAATTTACACAAAGGATGTTAGGACTATTTAATGGCATGTAAACATTTTATAAGGCAAGTTCAAATTGCAGGTGATATTTAATATACTTTAGCAAAATGGACCACAAATGGATTCTAGTTCTTATTTATTGGCCCAATCTTTCTTATGGCATCAAAAGTGAATCGAGTTTTAAAAGGTGTTAAGAGTTTTCAGTACAGTTCGTGACACTGGGCACAATAGGTAAGGCTGCATAAAACAAGCAACATGTGAATTAATTCCAGAACCAGAGAAGCTATGAACCTCTGAATCAGACTTTATCGTGTGGCTTCTGGGGCTCTGTCAATAGGAGTTCTTGTGCCCTTGGTCCCTAGAAGAGCTCAAAGCCCCAAAAGGAGCTGCCAAGATGAGCACTGGGGAAGAATATCGTCCAGAGAGTGTGGTTTCTTGTCATGAAAAACCACCAAGGAGAAAAGCCCTCCCTAGCAAAATGGAGATTTAGGAAGTATCATTAAGCTAGCGATGAGAGTCCTAAGTTATCATAAGAATGCAAAATAATCTGTGTTATAAACTTCCAAAGCCTCTGAATGGTAGACGTATGATTCTTGCCTAGAATTTCTTTAGGAAACACCCCTCACCTTGTACATTTTATCAAAGCCCATGTGCTAAGGCCAGGCCAGTGCCACCCCTAACCCCTGATCTGAGGCTGTGCTGGGACCTGAGCACACCGGCTAACAGTTCAGGAAAGACTTGCAATCCACGCTGGTTTAGGAAAAGCACTCAAAGACTGTGGTTGTGGTTCTGTAACTGAACCAAAATTTGTTCAGTTGCCTGCGAGCAACAGAAAGCCAGACACCAAAGAACCAGGTCTTTGCAGGGAGAAAAGTCTATTGTCAGGTGACCAAAACAAGGAGACAGGAATTGAACTCAAATCTGTCTCCTGGAGTTGGGGTTTGAAACAGGTTTTACAGTCAGAGGTGTGATCTGATTGGACCCTGCTGTGGGGTGTTGACAAGGCTCAATCTGATTGGTTCTTGGATCCTGCCATGTGGAGTCCACTTCTAAATTCAGTTCCCTCTCCTCAATCTACACGCTTAGGTTCTGCCTGTGGTTGCATGCTTGATTCCTGTGGGCGTGCTCTGGTTATGTGATCTTCAACCTGGAGGTCCACAGCACCTGAAAAACTCACCACTTTGTGGCATAAAGATTGAACCAGATTGACCTGATGTGGTTACAGTTCTGGGAAGGAGGCCTGAAGCTGTAGCTTGTGTCAGGAGACCACCTGAGAATGAAGGAGAACATTGCTGAGAGATGTACCACCAAGGACCCTGTTAAGTATCAGGATTGTGTTGTGCTGAACCTGACCTTAACTCCTGGTCTTGGCATTCTGGGAGCCAATAAATCCCATTTTTTACTTTAAAAAAATTGTGTTTAATCAACATGTGTCAGCTATCATGCAAGGTGTTAGAACAAACTCACTGCTCGCCAGTGGGAAAAAGGAAGGGAAAACTGGTTTCCACTTCCCTTGGGTTTAATCAAATGAGAAGAGCCTCATTCCATATGCCTCCCTCTGCACCCTCACCCCAGATTCCTGGATCATTTTCCAGTTATGCTCCCTGAAAAATAAGTCAATGTTGATTTCTCTCTCCCAGCAGATAGCTCAGGTTCCACTTCTAGCTATCTTCTTCCTGTCTCTGTCTAGACTCTTCCTGGCTCAGAGACTGATTATGAGTAAATCAGTTAGTCTTTCAGAGCTGTTATCTCAACTATAATGAACTTTATACAAACAAATATCCACTTGTATATTCCCCCCAAACCCTTTTGTCAAAGGTGTTTGAACCAGAGCAACTCCATCTTGAATAGGGACTGGGTAAAATAAGGTTGAGGCCTCCTGAGCTGCATTCCCAGGAGGTTAGGCATTCTTGGTCATAGGATGAGATAGGAGGTTGGCAGGGCTGATTTCCCAAGATACACAAGGTCACAAAGACCCTGCTGATAAAAAAAAGATGCAGTAAAGAAGCTGCACAAAGCCACCTAAATCAAGATGGCAACAAAAGTGACCTCTGGTTATCCTCACTGCTCATTATATGCTAATTATAATGCAATAGCATGTTAAAAGACACTCCCACCAATGCCATGACAGTTACAAATGCCATAGCAATGTCTAGAAGTTACCCTATATGGTCTAAAAGGAAGAGAAACCCTCAATTCTGGGAACTTCCTGCCCCCTTACCCAGAAAACTCATGAGTAACCCACTCCTTGTTTAGCATATAATCAAGACACAACCATAAGTATACTCAGTCAAGCAGCCCACGTTGCTCCTCTGTCTATGGAGTAGCCATCCTTTCTTTCTTATTTCTCTATTAAACTTGTTTTCACTTTACTCTGTAGACTCGCCCTAAGTTCTCTCTTGCATGAGATCCAAGAACCTTCTCTTGGGGTCTCGATCAGAACCCCTTTTCTGTAGCGCTTTTACACCCACATTTCGTATTAACCCTGTGAAGGAGGTAATCACATCACCATTTTATAGACACAGAGAGATCAAGCTAGCCTCCTAAGTCACTTCTCTAGGAGGTGGTAAAGTTGGTTCCAGAGCCCCTCTCCTCCATCCTTTCCAGCCCTGTACAAGGATGTGCTTCTAAAGAGTCTTTGGGCCCCGATTTCCCAGTCGTCTTGGTCTCCCCATTCCTTTTATGCCCCTCATGACAATGTCATGGGTTAGATAACACAGGGGCCGAGGGAAAACCTTTTCCTTCACCCTCTAAAGGTTCACTAAAAAAATCAACTCACAACAGGTGGATTAATTGGAGAAAAGGCATACAAATGTATTAACGTGTACATGGAGGAAGAACCACACGGTGATTACTCACTTCCCAACAGGGTGCAGAAGCTTACACACCATTTTGAGGTTACAGAAAGAATGGGGGCATGGATCCTGGCAAACCAGTTATGGGGGTGAGAAGGAGAAGAGGAATTCTGTTGAGGGGCAGAGTAAATAATTACTAGGGAGAATGAATGGATCAGGAAGAGATTAACTGTAGAAAGTTCTCTTTGGAATTTTAATGAGCCTGAGAGACAGACATTATCTTGTGAAACGGTCTGTTCAGTTGCCATTATACTCTTGGTCTTTTTTGTAATAGATGGACAGTAGGGGTGTGGGGTCATTGAGTTCTTGGGGCTTCCTCAGTGCCATACTTTGGGGTATCAGGGTTTCTGAGACACAACAGTAACATCTGCCCTCTTTTACAAGTGGGGAAATCGAAGCAGAGAAACTAAAATGAATTGCCCAGGTTCTCAGGGTCAGGATTCGTATGTAGGTCTTTTTGGACAACAAAAGCCAATGGGAGATAGATGGGCCAGCATGTCAAAGTCCACTTACCTTACAAGTTTGCCTTAGCTGGCCACGCAGCCAACAGTCAACAAAATGTACCACATACATGAAAGCAAGGCAGATATGGGGAAGACAAATCCTAAATAATAATGGCACAGCATGCTCATTTACAATGGAAAGCAATGAGATACTTCAGGAGCATATAGAAGAGTGAAGAAGGTGTATATGGGGGAAAGGGCATGGGAGAATAGGTAGGAAAAGCTGACTAGGGGAAGTGATATTTAAGATAAGACCTAAGGGATTGTGCTGAATCTAATCCAATAAAACAGCTCTAAAGGCCCTCAATATGTACGTTTTCTTTCCTGACTTAATTTTAAAAGCCAAAATAGCATTGCACACATAGCCCTTCCCCCATTTGGGGTTTCTTCTTATATTTGCTCCTTATTTTGGCTTCAGGAAACCCTTTGATGTGTGGCTGCCAAGGGCCCTGCCTATGGGGGCCTGCTTAAGGCCGAACCATATTTCATCCAAAACGGGGATTCAAAATGGGAGACCATTACCAGTCACGTAATTAACGCTGCTGAAGACATACTGCTTTATGAAAAGGAAAATGCTAGTGCTGATTATGAAATTTATGAGGTGCTTACATCTAGTGGATTGGAGTGAATTATCTAGTTCCACCGATGCTCTGACCCATTTAAAATGAGAACAGAGAAGGGCAATCTGTTTCCCTCTCAACACCCTCCACCAGGAAGGTAAAGTGGGTAATTTATATCTTTGTATCTGGCCACTTATTCAGTCTAGAATTAGATAACGGGTTTGTATTTACATCTGTAAACCACTCTCAGTCAGGAGATGACATACCGCAGAAGAAAGCAGAATGATTTCACACATACCCTCTCTCTGGGCACCTCTGCCTGTGAAGAAAATTCATTTTGCTGGAGAAGAGCCTGTCTGATGTGGGAAGTGCATGGATTAGGATGAGGAGCCTGCACTTCTTCATGTGTCACCCTCCTTTCTCTTCTCAGCGCATTCTCATTCAGGGTGAGAAGACATTGGAATGGAAGGACATAAGCTCTAAGGCTCCCACTACCAAGTCTCCAAAAACAGCCTTTTTTTTAACAGTCATGGGGTTTACGGCACACATACTTCTATTGTTTCCAGCCATGCGTAAGATTCCCTCCAGAACCACCTTCAATACATGGTATGGAGCCTAGTTACCATTTCATTACCAAAATCCTCTGCATTCCAAATTTAAAATGAGGCCTCAAACCCTTGACACCCAATTCGTTTATTACAAAATAAAACAAAATTTTAGAAAACACTAGAAGACCAAATTCTACATAAAGAAACTGGAAAGAAAATTCCCTAAAGTGCTGTTAGCTCACTGAAAAGTTTTTATTCTGTCTGAGCAAAGAGCTTTGCTGGAAGGAAGGAGTTTGGCTAGAGCAGTGGCTCTCAACAGCAGATGATTTCAGCATATGGAGGACATTTGAAAATGTCAGGAGTTGATTGTCACAAAGGAGGGATGCTACCAGCATCTCGTGGTTAGAGGTCAGAGATGTTATTAAACATCGTACGATACACAGGACAGTCACTGCCACACAGAGAAAGAGCTGATCTAAAATATAGATAGTGCTGAGGTTGAGAAACACAGCATTAGAAAAAGATGCAAAATAATAAATAATGATCCGATATTTTATTTTATTTTATTTTGAGATACAGTCTTGCTCTGTGGCCCAGGCTAGAGTGTAGTGACACGATTACAACTCACTGCAGCCTCACCCTCCTGGGCTTAAGAAATCCTCCTGCCTCAGCATCCCGAGTAGCCAGAACTTAAGGCACATGTCACCACACTCATCTAAGTTTTTGTTTGTTTGTTTGTTTTTAATTTTTTGTCAAGATGGGGTTTTGCTTTGTAGCCCAGTCTGGTGTCAAATGTCTGGCTTCAAGCAATCCTTACACCTCAGCCTCCCAAAGGGCTGGGATTATAGCCATGAGCCATTTTGCCCAGCCTGCTTTCATCTTTCAGATTCTTGGATTTTAGTGGAGCTGGTGTAAGCCAAAAGGTACTGGCAATCATAACTTCAGAAGGGAGTGCAATACACAGGCTATAGGACATAGGAGCAGAAGAAATATCACAGGGAGCCTGGGGTGATTTTATCAGCGCTGATGAGACTGAGAGGTGGCCCCTGGTATCATGTTTGGAAAAGTTCTGGGGAGCTCTAAGTGACCATTTTCAGAGGGCACAGGGAGCAGACAACAGAGTGCAGTGGCCTGAATGTAGAATTGGAGAGGAAGATTAGTATTTTCTCAGGACTTGGCCAGCAAAAAAAGAAAAAAAAAGTTTTAAAAAAATTTTTTGTTTGTGCATGTTGTTCATCTCGTCAATAAATATAATATTAATAACACAGCAGCTAATATATAGGAAGCACTGATATGTATTGAGTCAGAAATTGTGGTGAGTACTTTACACTGAGTCCTCACCACAGTCATATTTATTGCTCCATTTTACAGATGAGGAACCTGAGACACAAGGATTGCTGTGAGAGCCCCAAATCATACGGCTGCTAAGTTTTGGCTCCAAATCAGTTTTATCGGCAGGAAAGTCCATTTTGCTGCTGACTGTCATATATTGCCTTCCTAGTAATAAAATAACTTTGTCTAGTACAAAAAAGAGTGGAACAAAGGCTCCATATTTATGTATATGAATAGGTGTCTACATAAGCTGGGTTTTTACAGTCACAGGCATTAAGTGCCTCAATAAAGAAAAAAGAAAGAAAATGATGCAACCCCAATAAATTGTTTCTCATGCCCAAAAGAAGCTCAGCCAGAGGCTGCAGAGGGAGTTAACCCTTCACCCATTCCTTGAGTCTCACAAAGCGTCTCCCAATAAATCACTGGAATTTAGGTATTTGGGTTTCTACTCTGGGTGTCCATCTAAGGATGAATTTTTGGTAAAATTTGTTATCTGGTGCCAGTTATGCAGATATGAAGACTGAATCATCCTGAGGATGATTCCAGGGCAAATCTAAAAAAATGATATAACAAGAACACCAGCAATATGTAAAAGTTGAACAAGATCAAAAATTCAAGATCAAAATTCAAAGTAATCTGTAATGACCAATAGTTGAACAGGATCAAAATTCAGTATAATTTGAAGTAGACCTGCAGCTTTACCCACAGCATTGATTGTAGACTGAACATCTGCTTTTCTATTTAATCCATTCAACAGCACTGGTGGGCTCTCATTTTTCAGATGAAGAAATGGGGACAAGGGTAGGTTACGAGAATTGCTCCCACACACAGGCAGAGCCAGAGAGGAGTCAGAATGCAAGACTTCTGCCCCCAAATTAATTGAGCTTTCTACTATAGCACTCTTGCTCCTCAGTTAGGTGAATATCTCTTCATTTAATGCATCAAATAATAACTGGGCCACTGGGCCTAAGCTTATGGGATCCAACTTAGAAACAAATAAACTCAAACTGAACGGAAGCATGACCCATGGTCAGGAGTATGGATCCTGGAGTTTGCTGGGATCCTGGATCCTGGAGTTTGCTGGGCTTAGCAGAAGGTTTGAACTCTGATTTCATCTTCTAGTTATACCAAGGAGTCAACACTCAGCAAGTCATAGTGGCTCTCTGAGCATTTGATTCCTCTTCGGTAAATTAAGATAAATAGTAGTATCACTCCTTAAGGTTGTGGCAAGTAAGAAATTACCTTCAACTGCAAGGTGAAGGTGATGTGTGCAACATTGTTAATATTATGCCTGATGCAGAGTGAGAATTCATTAAATAGCAACTACGGTATTATTATTATTACAAATTATTTAGCATAACCATCTTTTCTAGAGGTTGAATACACAGATAAACCACAAGAGCTGGGTATAAAACATAGTGATTAAAGCAAGTCCATGTGGTGCAACAGGGATTGTTGGTGACTGGTAAAATGTAAAGTGCATGTTCTGTCAAAAATTACTAAAATAATAATGATAATAATAATAATAGCTCTGGCACATACAATATACCTGTGGGTTTTGGGGTTCATAAGCCACCACTTTATAACTGCTATTTGAATCCAATTTTCACTGTAATTGTTAGAAATAAAGGCCCAGTGAAGGAGAGAAATAATGGCAAAATTCAGATTAGAAGTAGCAGAGTACCCTTCCACTTCACATTCTTTTACTGTCAGCTCACAAAATTGTGAAATCTCAGTTATTTACTTACATTTTCTTTTAAAACCAAAGAGGGAAATACCCATATCATCAACCCAGGGAAATAAGTAAAGTAGATGGGAACAACTAAGAAAGAATCATAAGAAATTAAGTTTCATGAAACGTTTTGTTTTCCCTTTTGGGGAACAGATTCATGCTCCTGGTGAGTGGAACTGTCACAGAAGGTTAGAGGACAGAAGCCCCATTAGCAGTCTTGCTGACACTAAAGATAAAAAGGGAATAAAATATATAATTTAAAAATCACAAAATACATCATTTCATTAGTGCCATATTCAGGGGTTCTCACCTACATCTCAGAAGAACAAGGTATTGATCTGACTATTAAGCTGCAACAATAAAACAATGCTCTATTGACTGGCCCTGCAGGGTTGCCTAATATTATTTATTGAAGTAAGCTGAATAGCAGAAGGAAAAGCACTGCCTCAGTAATAAGTGGTAATTGCTGGGAAGTGAGGCATTGCAGTTCTCATTGACCCCTGCATCCTGATATTTTGATGGATTCTATGTAACTCCATTAGGATTGGCATTGTAATATTACACCAGCTCAGCTGTAGAACAACAGACCTCAGTTTGGATCATTGATTTTTGATTATACAGCTCCTCAGCATATCCCATGCCTTAGTCTATTTCATACTGCTGTAACATAATACCACAGATTGGGTAATTAAAAATAAACAAAAATTTATTTGGCTCATAGTTCTGGAGCCTGAGAAGTCCAAGAGCATGGCACCAGCATCTGGCAGGGGCCTTCATGCTGCATTGTCTCCTGGTGAAAGGCAGAAGGCCAAGAGAGGGTGAGAGTGAGAGAGCAAATGGGGCCCAAACTGGCTTTGATGACAAGCTCAGTCTGGTAATAACTAACCCCCTTCTATAATAATGACATTAATCCATTCATGAGAGAAGAGTCCTCATGACCTAACCACTTTTTGTTAAGCCCCACCTCCCAACACTGTTGCACTGGGGATTGAGTTCCAACACATGAACTTTTGGGGACCATATTCAAACCATAGTACCCATGGGGAACTCCCATTGCTAGGGCTGGGAAAGTGGAGTTGTTGGGGGTAAAGGATGAAATATTTCATAACCTCCAGTTAACTCCATGGTGCTGTAAGAGAGCTGCCTTATCTAGGAGCCTAAACAAGGGGACAATTGCAACACCCACTTTTTAGTGAGCAGAGTTAGCTAGGCTTTAAAATTGTGTCCACAATGAATATGATACAATTTAGGGCATGTTTTTGGAAAATTAACTTCTTTTTTTTTTTTGAAACAGAGTCTTGCTCTGCCACCCAGGCTGGAGTGCAGTGGCATGATCTCAGCTCACCACAACCTCTACCTCCCAGGTTCAAGCAATTCTCTGCCTCAGCCTCCCAAGTAACTGGGATTACAGGCACCTGCCACCACTAATTTTTCTGTATTTTTAGTAGAGATGGCGAATTTTTTTGTATTTTTAGTACAGACGGGGTTTCACCATCTTGGCCAAGCTGGCCTTGAACTCCTGACCTTGTGATCCACCTGCCTCAGCCGGGATTACAGGCATGAGCCACCCACCATGTCCAGCCTGGAAAATTAACTTCTTAAGGTTTGGGTTGAAATTGGCTGAATGTGCAGCCGGTGCTTAGAATACACTGGTTAGATTTTTGACATTTTCATAATTGTTTCACTCATGTTCTTTCAAGAATCATGTCTGAAGGAGATGTTTTCATGTCTCTCTGTTCATGCATTCATTCCTTAACTCATTCAAACAGTGGTATTTATAGTAGTCCATGAATCAGTGCTTCTCCCGGTCTGACTCTCCTGGGAGAGGGGGTACTCAGATGAATTCTTGAAGCTCATCTCCATGACTGTGGAACTCTAGATTTGGTTGTGAAAAAAACTGTAGGTAAGAACTTAATTGATGTGATAAAACCTGCTAGGGAAAAGTTTCAGAATAAAAGCAATGAGTATTTTCACTGTGAGTGAAATACTTTATCCTTCAGTAGAAAAAAGCACCATATATGCTTCATTAACTCATATCTAAGCAGGAGTTGGGCTATCTCCTGAGCTACAGTAGTATGATCTTCCATAGCACGTCATAACTGTCTGTTTAGGACTCTTTGTTATTTTCAACATTTTCCGTGATGCATTTCTATTTGTTTTCCATGATGCATTTCTATTTGTTTTCTTAGAATCAATGGTATAGTGGACAAAGAGTAGGTCTAAGAGCCAGAAGTTTTTCTTTGGCAAATAGCCTGGGACTAAGAGATTTTGAGACCTGTCATCAAACCTTGGCAAACTCTACAATCTTCAAAGAATGACATAGCAATACCCAGAGAAGGCTGAATATATTCCTCTGAATAAGGTCTCACTGGGTATCTGAGGCCAAGGCGAAAATGTCAAAACAAAAAGGTAGGAGACCTCCCTGAAACAGAGAACTCCTCTCTTGTCCCATTTACTATTTTTATGCTTCCTTGACTTTGCGTCTGTGGTTCTCTTTTCTTACAATGCCTTTTTTTCTCTTTCTAGAAAAATACTTACCTGTCAATGCCTGGAAGTTCCTCACTGCTTAACCCAGGGCAACACATTTGGGTTATTCAATCTTATTCATGGAACTTTTTGCAAACAGATTCATCTAACTCGTATGACTTGTGCCTTAAAGGACATTCAATGAAGGCACATCTAATTTTGCTTTTTTTTTTTTTTGAGATGGAGTTTATCTCTTGTCACCTAGGCTGGAGTGCAATGGCACAATCTTGGCTCACTGCAACCTCCACCTCCTGGATTCAAGAGATTCTCCTGCCTGAGTCTCCCAAGTAGCTGGGATTAGAGGCATGCGACACCATGCCTGGCTAAGTTTTATATTTTTATTAGAGATGGGGTTTCTCCACATTGGCCAGGCTGGTCTCAAACTCCTGACCTCAGGTGATCCACCCGCCTCGGCCTCTCAAAGTGTTGAGATTACAGGCATAAACCACTGTGCCCAGCCTGATTTTGCTTTTAATGAATATTTTTCTGCAGAGAGGGGACATGCTGAGAAGCACCTTTACGGGTGTTTAGCTTGCTCAATAGTTACTTTTCTCACTACGAATTAATAAACATCAGTCAGGCATCTATTCATCAGTCTCTGGGAGTCTGGTTAATAGGAGTCCTACCCCTAAAACAATAATCAATTTAAGGTATACTTGGGCTTCCTTAGGTGACATTCTGCTTCAAAGAAGATCCTTCTATCCCAATTACAAGTGCAATGACATTATCTTGTGCAAAGAAGTTTGTTTAAGGGGTTCCGTGATTTATGGAATTCCACCAAGCTCATGTGTGACCACTGAGCAGAATACCCTCTCCAAACCAATGCCAAGGCACTGACTATGGTTCCTGAAAACAATCGGTGAGGGTGGGGTGCAACTGAAGAATGAACTCTGCTGTGATTCTTGGCAATATTTACAGAGGGGAAACCAAGATAAGATTGGACTTTCTGATAAACAGCATAGATGGGGACTTGGAATCATGGTAATTCATTCCCCACTCAGGTAAGGCAGGATATATCATCTTCGTCTCACTGCAGGAGGGATCAGCTGTGTGGCTGGTCACTCAGGCACTTGAGCCAGGCCACCAGTCCAATGCCCCATAGTTGGAAGGGCATAGCTGATAAAAAGATTTTCACATTTCTTTTGCTGTTTTCTTAGTTTTAATTGACAAAATCTTTCTTTAGTTATGTTCATGTTGCCCAAAGTTTTGCTTTGTTCAGTTGTTGATTGTCTTTTAAAAATATTACTTCTACACGAAATTCACAACAAAAATGACCAATACACAAACTAAATGTGGGAAATGTGGCATACTATTGCTCCCTTTTGGAAATCTTAAATTAATGTATCATAAGTTCTATGAAGTCCTATTTGGAAGAAACCTTCTTATAATTACTTAAAATTATTTTTAATGTGCTATCTCCAATCTATTTGGTTGCAATTTTTTTTCCTAGCTAAACAAAGACTCTTGTCACAGAATTAGTGATCTACAGAAATCACTTCGGGAAACATTTAATCAGGAACTATAGTCAAATCTTGCCCCAGGCGGCATGCCATCTCTTTAAGGTGATTTTCATCCTTTCTCATCATATTCAAATGTTTATTATTATTTTATTTAACTTGGCCTCCTAGAAAGCAATCCCATTTCCTTATTTCCAGGCGTTTCCTGGGGTTCCTCACTGCTGCCCCTTGTGCCACCTGAACAACTGGGTTTTCTAATGTTATCCTAAATTACTGTCAAAAGTAAATACATGTTACCACATGTCAGGCCCTTTAATGTGACTAAGGAAGCCTTGTTTCTATATACTTCCTCCTAAATGCATTTTGATAAAGGGCATTTAAAAAAACACATTAAATTTTATGACGACTTTAACAAACAAGTCAGTGATCATGATTTTAATATGAGCAGCAAGCAGTTAAGGAAAAAGGTCAGCTAAGCCATGGCATACAGAGTTTCTGCTGGGAGAGGGAGGACTGACGCTCTCTCTGTAGCAAATGGAAGTCAGTGGACTCCCTAATGCTATAGTTAAAACATAGAGTCTAAATAGTCAGGCAAATGACTCCAAAATTAAAATAGTCCTGGCCCCTGGATGCAGCTAGTAATTAACTTTTAATTTTATACAGAAGCATGTCATGCTTTTGACCCTTGACTTTATTTAGTTCTCTCCTGGCATTTCAAAAGCACGATCTGCTAAATAAGGTTGTTAAAATCAGTATTACAGAGAGGGGCAATTGTGGCAAATGTGCATATGGAAATTATAGCTAGAGGGGCATTTCATAGAGAAGCTGCCTCCATGAACTTAAATTTGTGCTAATTGCTATTGCTGTATTATTCAAAATTATAAATTAGGCTATTAGCAAATGGAATTATGTAAGACCTATGGAGCAAAACAATTATTGTCTTAAAGCCATGGAATATTATAGCTGAAAAAGAATTTATGGAATATCTATTAATCCTACTATCTTACTTTACAATTGGGGAAACTGAGGCTGAGTGAGGGACTCTGAATCATCCAGAGTTATACTATTAGTAAGGGGGAGTCTCTGTTTTAGTACACTGGAAAGGGGTGCAATTTGATTATTGTTATTTTGTAGTTTTTAAAAAAGCGCTCTCAAGTTTAACTTTAACCTGCTCTTCACTCTTGAAATTGGGAGGGAGAATTGTGGTTCAAAGGTTAAATTCTAAAAGTATGTACATATGGCAGACTGAGACATGATTGCCCTGTCAGCAGCTAAGAATTTTGTACGTGAACCGATTTTTATTTAATATGGTCTTAGTCTGCTGGGGCTGCCATAACAAAATACCACAGCAGACTGGGTGGCTTGAACAACCAAAATTAATTTTTTCACATTTCTAGGGGCTAGAAGCCAAGATCAAGGTGTTGTCAGGATTGGTTTCTGGTGAGACCTCTCTTCCTGGCTTATAAATGACCATCTTCTCACTATATCCTCATGTGGCCTTTTCTCTGTGCCATTTTACAAGATGTGGGGCAGGGCAGGGGGTGTGAGGGAGAGAAAGAAGAGAGGGACAGGGAGACAGAGAGCTGCTGTATTTTTCCTCTTTTTATAACAGCACTAATTCTAACAGATAAGAGTCCCACCCTTATGACCTCATTTAACCTTAATTAACTTTCAAAAGACCGTATTTCTAAATATAATATTGAAGTTAGGGCTTCAACATATGAATTTTGAGGGACACAATATAGTTCACCTACTTGTTCCTCAAAATGTATGCCCTTCTTGCATGCAAAATACTGCTACTCCTTTCCAACAGCCCCCTCCAATTTTTAACCCATTCCAGTATCAACTCTAAGTTCCAAGTCTCACTTAAATACCTAAATCAGGTATGGCTGAAACTCAAGGTATGATTCACCCTGAGGCAAAATTTATCTCCAGCTATGAACCTGTGAACTCAGAGAAGTTATATGCTTCCAAAATACAATGATGAGACAGGCATAGCATAGACATTCCCATTCCAAAGGGGAGAATTCAGAGAAAAGAAAGAGGTGATGAGTCTCTAGCAAGGCAAATGCCACCAGATCTTAAACCTCAAGAACAATCCTTTTTGGCTCAATACTCTGTCTTCCATCCTTACTGGAAGGCAGTGTCACCTCTATGGCCCTAGGCCACCACTCCACCCCCTTGGCTTTGCCGTCTTGTTCCTGAAGCCCTCAGTGGGGGCAGTTTGTCCCCCTGAAACAGAGGAGGTGGCCCCATCCTCTGAAACTGAAGAGAAAAGAGCCTTGCCCATTGGGACTGTGGTGAGAGTGGCACCCTTGATGATCTCTGAATCACCTTTGAGGTTTTCTTTCTTTTTCTTGAAGGATAACGCATGTTTGAAGCCAGATAGCTCTATTGCCCCATCCTGTAAAATCCCAGTCCACTGCCATACTTTGTTCCATCCCACTTCCTCTGCCTTCATTCATTTAAACTGGCAGTGTCTCTGCTGGTATAATCCCTTTTCTATTTCTGGCTTCTGCTGAGATGGCTGATTAAACTCATGAGTAATCTCTTTATGGAGTAGTTATCCAGCTACGTCTTTGGTGTTCTCCAGAACATGCTTTCTCTCTCTTTTTTTTTTTTTTTTTTGCAATAGGGATAATCTGAGAAATTTCCACATCTTCAAGTTTGGGTTCCTTTTGCTTAATGATTCCTTAATTTGATATCTCTCCTCTCACATTTTGCTATAAATAGTAAGGTGAAGCCATGTTGCACCTTCAACACTTAGCTTAGAAATTTCCTCAGCTAAATATCCAATTTCATTGCTCACAAGTTCTGCTTTCCACAAAACTTTAGAACACAATTCAGTCAAGTTATTTGTCACTTTATAATGATTGCCTTTTCTCCAGTTTCCAATAACATGTTCCTCATTTCTCTTTTCTTTTTTTTGAGATGGAGTCTCGCTCTGTCACCCAGGCTGGAGTGCAGTGGCGTGATCTCGGCTCACTGCAAGTTCCGCCTCCTGGGTTCACACCATTCTCAGCCTCCCAAGTAGCTGGGACTACAGGTGCCCGTCACCACTCCTGGCTAATTTTTTGTATTTTTAGTAGAGGTGGGGTTTCACCGTGTTAGCCAGGATGGTCTCAATCTCCTGACCTCGTGATCTGCTGACCTTGGCCTCCCAAAGTGCTGGGATTACAGGCGTGAGCCACCACACCCAGCCATGTTCCTCATTTCTATCTGCAACTTCACCAGAATTACCTTTACTGTTCATATTTCTATCAACAGTCTCCTCAGAACAATCTAGTTTTTTTCTAGTAGGCACCTCAAAACTCTTGCAGCCTCTACTCATGACTCCATTCCAAAGCCATTTCCGTATTTTTGTGTATTGGCTATAGTAGCACCCCACTTATCAGTACCAACATCTGTTTTAGTGCCCTCAGGCAGCCACAGCAAAATACCACAGACTGGGTGTCTTAAACAACAGAAATTAATTTTTCTCACAGTTCTGTAATCTACAAGTCCAAGGTCAAGGCACTGTCTAGGTTTGTTTCTGGTGAGACCTCTCTTTGTTGCTTCTCGGAAAGATGACATCTTCCTGTTGTATTCTCATGTGGGCTTTCCTCTGTGCACATGAAGAGGGAGGGAGGGTGAGATAGTAGATAGATAGATAGATAGATAGATAGATAGATAGATAGACACTTCTATAGAGATGCTTCTATACTCTATCTATATAGATAGATAGATATGTAGATAGAGAGATGATAGATAAACAATAGATGAATAGAGAGATAGGTAGGTATGTAAATAGACAGATAGATGATAGATAATAGATGACAGATGATATATAGAGAGATGATAGATAGATGATAGATGATGATAGCTAGACAGATAGCTACATAGATAGATAGATAATAGATATAGACAGATAAATCGATGATTGATTGATAGCTAGCTAGCTGGATGGATGGATGGATGGATGGATGGATGGATGGATGCATAGATAGATAGATAGATAGATATCTGGTGTCTCTTCCTCTTCCTATAAGAATACCAGTCCTATCAAATTAGGGCCCACCTTTATGACCTCATTCAAGTTTAATTACCTACTTCAAGGCTCTGTCTCTGAATACAATGACATTAGGGGTTAAGGCCTCACCAGATGAATTTTGGAGGGAAACAATTTAGTCCATAACAATATGTTCAATATTTATTTTGAGGAGAAGCTCAGGACTCACTGAAGAGGTTGTGACAACAAGAACTTTGTTGTTATGATCAGTTCCTCCAGTTGTTCTAAGCTTTGGCATTAACTTGTATATCCTGTTATATTGTGAGACTTAATATTTTAACATCTGCCTTGACGTCTTTGAGTCACATAAGGCCTCAAAGATATAATCATGAGTTTCCCCCCACTTTTGCTAGATATACTTCGCATCCAATGAGAAAGCATCCCTACCCAGCTAGTTCTCCATCAGTGGGACTTGCTTTACTCTACTGGGTCTCCCTAATGGGTTTAGCTTCCCGGATAAACCACAGAATTATTCAAACAAGCCAATCACATTCTGCTGAAGGAACCACAAGGCACTCCACCCTTTTGTTACTACAAAGCTTGTCTCCCACAGCTCCTGATGCTTCACTTCACTCTTCCAGGGTGCAACCGCCATATGGCCTTGCATCACATGTGGTGACCTCTTCCCCAAGCTGTGAGTATATATAACTACTAATATGTTTTCAAGCTTACCTGTCCAGTGCTGGATGTCATTAGGGTGAGCGAACCCTCTTTTGCCAATGATGTGAATAAGAGGTCATCAGAATACTTGCCCGAGAACACAAAACCTCTTCAATTTAACAAGATCTTGCCTCTTTGGAAGGCACTAGTTGCTCCACCCTGTGGGGGGGTCCAGATCCTACTCAGTTCCTTGCAAGAAGCTTTCCAATGCTCTTCTTTTGACTGTTTACAGTTTTCTCCATGAAAGCTGGATAAACACAATTTTCTCCATCTACTGACATTTTCAGTGATATTTTATCTGCATTTATTGATTGGCACTCTGGGATACTTCCCTTAATTGTGTGTGTGTGTGTGTGTGTGTGTGTGTGTGTGTGTGTGTGTTGTATGTGTTAAAAAGAAAAGAAGCTGGATACCAAGAAAAACCCATTTCAGCAGGCAGGCTGTCATAATCCACCAAAGAACACATTGAAGATAAGGGATGCATTCTGGTATCAAAAAGACGAAAACCTTAAACCATAAAGTTGACATTATATAAGCTGTGCTTTTGAATAGAACTGAATTTTATATTTCTATCTCAAAAAAATGTACTATTTTAAAATTACATTACCTGCTTTTAACTTGTCTTCTCCTCTACAAATAATCTCAGTTTTAAAAAAACAAGTTATATTTCAAAGATTCATGCATAAATTAATTAAGGAATGATGTGAGAAAGCATTTGGCCCACAAGTCAGTGTTAGAAGTAGTGTGTAAGTTCACATATTAGCCCTCAGAGATCTCTTTCACTCAATTATTTCCCAAGGAGAAAAGGGTATTTGTCTGAGCCATAGTGGAAAATGATACTTTTAAAATAAAAATATTTGAAATCAAACAAAACATTAAATAATGTGTCACCCTCATAGCATCATTTTCACCTAAGCCTCAGTTTTTCTATCTAAAAAAAAAACAAAAAAACAAAAAAAACGCTATTCCCAGCCAGGTGCTGTGGCTCACACCTGTAATCCCAGCACTTTGGGAGGCCAAGGTGGGAGGACTGCTTGAGTCCAGGAGTTTGAGACCAGCCTAGGCAACAAAGCAAGACCTTATCTCTACAAAAAATAAAAAAAATAAAAAATTAGCTGAATGTGGTGGTGTGGGCCTGTAGTCTCAGCTACTCAGGAGGCTGCAGTGGAAGGACTGCTTGAGTCCAGGAGTTCAAGGCTGCAGTGAGTCATGATTGTACCACTGCACCACTCCAGGCTGGGTGACAGAGCACGACCCTGCCTCAAAATAAATAAATAAGTGAAAAACACAATTTCTAATGATTAATTGTGGGGAAAATGCTTTTAAAATCTACCACCTAAAATAAATGTAACTCAAAATTCAAGTAATAAAGTAACAAACAATGACAACAAAACCATACCAGAAAGCAGATATATGGAACTTCAAATGTGGAATGATATTGTGCAATTAATAAAATAAAAAACAACAACAAAAATCCACTTGCCTTTGATGGCTAAGACTATTCACTTTTAAGTGACAAAAAGAGTCATAACACTAAACCCTCAAAAATATATATAATTCTTGTTCTGTAGGAAGCAAATACAGTTATTTTAATATCACTGAATATCATGTTTCTGGCTTTAAAATCAAATCATAGCCAAATCTTGGAAAACTTAACTATGATTAACAAAATATCATATATATATATGATAACATAATATTATCATTCAGATATTTGAAAGATTTTGTCTAAAGCTGCTGGAACAAGAAATAGAAATTTAATTATATGGTTTGATATTGCATGGGAACTAAGAGTAGTAATAGAACTTTCATCTTTGCTGTGGTCAATGAATAGAACTTTTATTGACCGTACCAAAAAAAAAAATCAGCCAGTGGATAATATCCAGCATTGACTCACCAAGAAAGACTGATTACAACACAGTCTTCAGAGCTGTAGGGGTAAAAAGTGTACTAAAAACAAAAATATTAAAATTGCTGTCTTTGAGAAGTACAAATGAGGGAGCGTCACGGAACTGGATTTTTTCTGTGTGTCTTATAAGATTTTTTCTATTGTCTGTTGGTGGTGGCACTACCATTATTCCATGTGTATATATACATACATGCATATTACATACATATATATATATTATTTGAAGGCTAAGGTATAGCACATAGAATCTTTTGTGACTATTATACAGAGCTTTCTTCATATTCTTAACATCTCTTGCCATATAACTTTCCTCTTCTTTAGGCAGATATGTCACTTCAACTCTGGCCTAGAAGAATCTATGTAATTTGTCCCTTTTCTTTTGCCTAACTCTTTTCTCCCTCTCTCTAATTTTCTCTCAGGCCTTACAGACCTTCTCCCTGGTTTAGAAACCACCAAACTCATTTGCCCCCTCAGGTTCTTCACATTTGCTATATCCCATTCCTTGGGAAACCCTCTGCTCAGACCTTCCTTACACATATCTCTCCGTATCATTCAGGCCTCTGCTCAGTGAAACTTCCACAGGAGACCTTTTCTGACATCCCTAGCTAAACTGTACTCTGATAATTTTCTACAAAACCTTTTTTCTGCTAAGTACATCATACTCATATAAAAGAATATATCCATAATTAATATATGCATTTTAAATAATAATACATTAAAATGGATGAATTAAGTGCATCCCAAATCCAGCTGATGGACAGAACATTGCTGTACCTTGGAATTTCTGAAGGGCCTGTAACCAACCTTCTCCCTCTTTCCCTCTCAGATTAACTACACTGCTGAGTTTCATGTTAGTAGTGACCTTGCTCTTCACCACAGGTGTATGCATCCTTCAACATTTCATTGTTTAGTTTTGCTTATATTGAACTTCACATAAATGGAATCATACTATATTTGCTTATTAATTTAATGTAACATGTTTGAGAACCATCCATATTGATGGGTGTAGCTGCGGTTTATTCATTTTCACTGCATGTATTATTCTGTGATAGGACAATATCACACTTTATCCATTCTGCTATAGGTAAGCATTTGGATTTTTCCAGATCTTTGTTATGAATAACAATCCTATGAATATTCTGGACATGTTATTGGCATGGCAAGTTTTTCTCTAGGATTAGAATAGCAGCATCATAGGCCATGTGCATGTTCCATTTTGGTCCATAATATCAAGCTGTTTACTGAAGTGCTTGTACCAGTTCACACTCCCGTTGGCAGTGGGTAAGAAGTTCTGCTCCATATTCTTGTCAACACATAGTGTAACATATCATACCATTATCAGACATTTTCTGCAACCCGAAGGGTGAATGGTATCTCATTGGGGCTTCTCATCACTTTACATCCCCTGAGCCTGTCTTATTTTTTCCACAGCATTTGTCACTCACTAAAATTATATTAATTATATTTATATAAGTTGTTTGTTTCTCCCACCAGAACATAAGCTCCATGAAGAAAAAAGACTCTCTTCTCCCTTGCTGTTCTAAACATCAGTTACATAAGTTGTGCAATCATTCTTGCCATTATAAGCCCTGAAGAGAATCACTGTTTGACTCAAAAATGAGAAGAGTGGTAGAAAAAGGAAGAGTGTGATTTGATCATGGATAAACACTGAAAGGAAGCAGGAATGAAGACATGGAGTAAAACAAAACTAAAGTGTGTATGTGTTATGAAAAAAATATACTGTGAGGTTGGCATTAACTGAGAAATGAAGGCAAAAGAAAAGTAACATGAGAACATGAACATGATATCCCTGGTTGGAAGTGTTGGGGACTGGGGTAGGGAAATAAAAAGGAACTAGAATGAAAAGCAATGCACAAAGCAGTGCTTTGTCTCAGTCACCAGGTGGCAGGATGGGCCCAGGACAGCGTAGTTGCTAGTCTGCTTTTGGGAGGGTGGGGAGGTATGAAGAAAAGTGCGAGCCGTTTTCCAGTGATCCATGGGTGTAGAGTATGGCCAGAAATTAACACATTGGTGCCTTTGTAAATCAAGTGCTCATAACTTGGAGACTATGTCTTGTCTATAGCATCTCTGTTATGGTGACCTATACATCGAAATATTATTAGTTGGTAAAGCTTCAGATGTGGGTGGGTCAGAATTTTATTTGAATTCTTCTCTTAAGTTTAGTTCCTAAAACAACCAAAGTTCAATAATTTAATTGATACAAATACATATGTCTAATATAAAACATGTCATTTATTCTTTTCTAGCCATAAGATTTCATCTCCACAGATATTGAACAAAATCTTTTTCAAATCTGGTTTTAAAATAGAGTCAGTAGATTTAACATCTCAGTTACTTTTAGCTGAATTTGAATGAAGAGTAGATTCCTATTTGCTTAAGCTGTGATCAAATAAGTCAGCTACCCACAGGCTTCACAAGCAACATGTAGGTAATTAATTTTCCAAAAGTTGAGACCAGTGGCGTGACTTGGCTGACAGGGTGAATGAAGGACTCTCTGTGCCAAGTTTAGTACCTAATCAAACTTATGGGCTTTGAGTGGTGAACAGAACTTCAACCCATCAGCGTTCAAGTCTATTTACCTTTGATAAAACACCATTTCCTCTTTCTAATGAAGAAAAAACAAATGATGTTTCAAGATATTTTTGAAGAAAAAGAAAGAAATGAAATGGGCTTTAGATGTTAAATGCTTCTTCCTGAACAACTTAACACATAGATGCGTCAAACAAGTGAATAAGAGTTTTGGAAGAAATGGGGAGCAGCCATTGTGAGGGTTGAGACCTAAACAGTTTAGGAAATTGTCTTGGAGAATTCAGACTTTACAGCACAGAGGGGAAAAAAATAGTAATGCTGAGTTTGACTTTCACTGGATTGAGTTGGAGGCAGCTTAGAGAGTGCCAAAGGAATTTCCACTCACCTTATCTCAGAATCCAGACGTTTTGAATTGGCTGGGAGAAAGCAAACTTCTCCAGTCCACAGAAGATGCGATTCACCTCATCTCAAGCTCACAATCAATTGTTTGAGATCTGTCCACACAGGGATGAAATGGGCACTTGAAGCAGCTTCATGTTTTTTTTTGGGGGGGGGCAGGGTTTCACTCTGTCACCCAGGCTGGAGTGCAGTGGTGCGATATCGGCTCATTGCAACTTCTGCCTCCCGGGTTGAGGCGGTTCTCCTGTCTCAGTCTCCCAGGTAGCTGGGATTACAGGCATGTGCCACTACACCCTGCAAATTTTTGTATTTTATTAGAGATGGGATTTCACCATGTTGGCTAGGCTGGTCTTGAACTCCTGGCCTTAAGTGATCCACCTGCCTCGGCCTCCCAAAGTGCTGGGACTACAGGTGTGAGCCACTGCACCTGGCCCATGCTTTTAAATTCTGTATTCACTTCTTTCTCCGAACTGCTTAGGCTGGGAGGAAGTTTTGAAGGATCCTCAAAATCCTCCCCTTTCCCTTTCTCTAGTGTGGTTCTGTGAGAACCATGAATGATTTCAGATTCAATTTAAATCTTGTTCACCCTAATCACAGATCTGAACTGAGATTTACTGGCAGGAGCAAATCTTAAGACTATAAGGGCTTTTCTAATTTACACATAGTACCCCTCTGATCCCAAGGGGCTCAAAAATAGAGTCATTACCCAGAAATGCTATGCTTGGAGTGTTTTACTGCAGTTACAAAATGAAATATATACATAAAAATTAGAATTGTTAGATGCAATATATTAACTAGGCATTACGGCATCCTGGCCGTGGCCATGATATCACCCAAAGCTAAACAGAGGTCTCGCAGTTGCCTGCTTCTAACCTCAATTCATAACCAGGTCATATTTCAGAGGCTTTTACAGAAAGTGCTCATAAACCAAGATAAAGACCTATGATGTCCATGAAGCTTATCTGATCTGACTGTTTATATTTCATCTTACTCTATAGGGCTTATCTTTCTTCTCAAAACATAAAATTCTTTTTGAAAAAGAAGAGAAGATATTACTCAAAATAGAAAATCTTTTAAAATTGTATCCTGGGATAATACTAAAATCTGAGAGTTTGAGGAGCTGAAGAGAGAGATATCACTTCTCAGAGAAAATTAACATTACTGAAGAATAATATGCAATATAATGATAATATGTGGTATGATATTATTATGTGCATTATGAAAATTGCTGGCTATTCATATGTCTCTGCAAAATAAAATAACATAAATATCTGAATTATTTGTTTTTGACCACAAAATAAATTAACACATGTGATATTCATAAAGTTAACATTATGCTTTATATATATAATATATATTATATGGTATGTGTTAAATATGTGATAACATATTCTTTATCTAGTCTATCATTGGCGGGCGTTTAGGTTGGTTCCATGTCTTTGCTATTGTTAATAGTGCTGCAATAAACAAACGCATGCATGTGTCTTTATGATAGAAGGTTTTATATTCCTTTGGGTATATACCCAGTAATGGGATTGCTAGGTCAAATGGTAGTTCTATTTTTAGGTTTTTGAGGAATCACAACACTGTTTTCCACAATGGTTGAACTAATTTACACTCCAATCAATACTGTATAAGCATTCCTTTTTCTCAGCATCCTCACCAGCACCTGTTATTTTTTGACATTTTTAATAATAGGCATTCTGACTGGTGTGAGCTGGTGTCTTATTGTGGTTTTGGTTTGCATTTCTCTAATGCAAACTTGATTTTAAATGATGCTTAGGGTAAGGTGCCTATATTCTTTATCCTTTAGAAGCTTTTGCAGGGTATTTCCAGGAAGATGTCATAATCTCTGAGATAGATAAGAATTAAATCGTTACTTTGAGATCACATACTGCCTGTCATTTAAGAGGCACTTTCCACACATTATCCCATTCAGTCCTCCTGAGATAGGTATTATTGCATCTATTTTACAGAAGAGGAAACTAAAAGTATTAGAAGGGAAAGAATAACTTTTCAAACACACAATACATATGTAGCCTGACCTGGTTCAATCTCAGATCTGTGTGTGAACTTAATTTCTACACTATGCAGACCCTCATCCTAAGGCTCATTTTAAAAAGAGATAAGATCCCATTGAGCTCTGAAATCTTGCTGAGGACAATCAGCAGGAAAAGATGGTCCTTGAGGACTTTTTGTGTGGTGTGTAGGACATTGTTTATAACAACAGTGAAGATTAGTCATGTAGGGACAGAGGCCTTGGCTGGCCCTGGAAGCTGACAGACTTAGGGCAGAGTGAATCAGTAAGGAGGAGCATGGTAGCTACAAGAGTACTTATCACAGCCTCTTCTCTCCTTGGAAGAGAATTAGGAAACATCTTGCTCAACATTCAAGCAGACTGCCTTTTAAAAAACTTTTATTTTAGGTTCAGGGCCACAAATGGACAGATTATTTCACTACCCAGGTAATAAGCATAGTACCTAATGGGTGGTTTTTTGATCCTTGCCATCCTCCTTCCCTCCATCCTCAAGTAGTCCCCAGCGTCTGTTGTTCCCTTCTTTGTGTCCATATGGACTCACTGTTTTGCTTCCAATTATAAATGAGAACATACAGTACTTGGTTTTCTTTTCCTGTGTTTGTTCACTTAGGAGAATGACCTCCAGCTCCATCCATGTTCCTGCAAAGGACATGATCTCATTCTTTTTTAATGGCTGCATAGTATTCCATGGTGTATATGTACCACATTTTCTTTATCCAGCCTACCATTGATGGGTATTTAGGTGGATTCCATGTCTTTGTTATTGTGAAAAGTGCGGCAATGAACATACACATATATGTATCTTTATGGTAGCATGATTTATATTTTATTGTGTATATACCCAGTAGTGGGACTGCTGGGCTGAATGGTAATTCTGTTTTGAGTTCTTTCGTTTCTTCAATGTCTTTTATTAACTTTGTCTAATGAGATTACGCCAATATAGATAAAGACAGATGTGTTATTATCTTGCCCTATACAATAGGAAATAATAAGTCTGCTTTTTAACTCTATATAATACTTGATTTTTTCAATAGGAAAACAGCAAATGATTAGCGCCATGTTTGGAAGTCAGTGCACATAAATGCTGTTTCTCGTAAGTGAGGTTGAAGGATGCGCAGTAACATGAGAGACTCTGTCAGGAAGAATATTTTGGGGAAAATAAAATATTTCTTATTATCCATCTGTACCAAACCCAGCTATTAGGATTGTATTAGTTTGTATCATGCTCTGCCTTCATGAATTCTTGGCTGAACCAGATCCCTCTAGCTTGTGATTTTTCCTTTTTCTGCCAGCATCCTATGGTCTTTGAAAATACCCAAGAAGCGGGAGAAGGGAAAGCCCTAATTCCCAGTGCCTAGCATGGTGTTGATGGGGAGTAGGCACCTGCTGATTGATTGACCAATAAATTATAAAAGGAGAAAGATGGAGTGTTTAAGCACACATTAGACCCAGTTAGGCTGGGTCTGTCTCCTGACTCCAGGTGCATGTAAGATGTATGGCCTTGTTTAGGTCACTGCACCTGAATGAACCTCATCTGTAAAATGAAGATGATACCAATCTTTCCCCGAAGACTTGATGAGAGGATTCAGTGATGCATGTAATGTACCGGTAAACAGAAGCTCCTGCTTCCGTAGACTTTTCACTGGTTGTTGCTCCATGGCAACCTACCAGAAGGGGGCACTGTGGAACCAGACAGTCTCTCTAGGAAACATTGAACTCTGGTTATTGCAAATACTTGACCTACTACTGCATTTTCTCCTTTCTCTTCTCCTCCTTCTTCTATAAGACACGATAAAGAAAACTTTCAAAGCATTTGGGGATGAAAAATTCAAAACAACCCTACCCTTGTCAGTACTGGTCAGTTGGTTAGTGTCCTGGCAGACCAGTGCAGTGGCTGGAAGCCATCAGCCAGGCCAGGGATATTTAAAGCTTTGCCTTCCATTCAACTGTGCCCTGATTTCTCCTTTTATAGGTCTGTCTTTCTCTGGCTCTGGGAGCAAGGACTGACTAATCCATATGTGTATCTCTAACATCTAGCTGGATCCTTAGGACCTAGTGGTTGCTCAATAAATATTTGTTGAATAAATGAATGAGAGAAATGAGTTAAGCTAACCACCAATTTGTCCATTAATTCACTTTACTCCTTTCAATTCTGCTGTTTCCCATAATCAGCAGAAACTTCTTAAGGAAATAGGGATGTTCTCACTAAAAACAAAAAACAAATACAACCTGTTTCCCTCTGAGGTAGGCACAAAAAGGTTCCAGCTCCTAGGTTAGATTATTATGAAACCTAGCCTGGTGCGGTGGCTCATGCCTGTAATCTCAGCAATTTGGGATGCTGAGGCAGGAGGATCACTTGAGGTCAGGAGTTCGAGACCAGCCTGGCCAATATGGTGAAACCCTGCCTCTACTAAAAATACAAAAAACAAACAAACAAACAAACAGCGATTGTGGCATTGTGCGCCTATAATCCTAGCTACTATGGAGGCTGAGGTAGAATTGCTTAAACCTGGGAGGCAGAGGTTGCAGTGAGCCGAGATCGTGCCATTGCACTCCAGCCTGGGTGACAGAGCAAGACTCTGTCTCAAAAAAAAAAAAAAAAAAATATATATATATATATATATATATATATATACATATATATATATATATATATATATATACATATATATATATATATAAAATGATGAAACTTTCCTTGGGAAATGGAGAAAGAAAATTAAAGTGGCAAGTAAGAAGAAAGGAATATGCCTGGCCTGCTGGGCAAGGTTAAGAAATTGGGCAGAGCTGACTAAGAAGCCTCACTTGGACAAAGAAAAGGCCTCCTAGCTTGTAAGGGTGATGCTGTCACAGCTTGGAACTCCTGATCTTGTGCATCCTGATGCAGCAGAAATTTCAGCTAATTTGTCCTATTCAAATGCCTAAATCTCCATCATCCTAAAATTCCGCTATGCATCACTATGGTTTCAGGGGTGATGTTCTGCATGGCTTGGTCCTTAAGGGCAGGGTGGAGAAAAATGCAACTGTAACTCTCCAGTTTTCCTGAAATTGCACTGTGATCTTCTTCAGTCTACTTTGCTTGGTGCATAATAAAAGACAATGCCCTTTGGAAGTGGATTTAAAGAAGAAGGCCAGGGCTTCTTGAGGCCATGGGTCTCTAACTCCTCTCTAACTTCCGAATGGTCTTTACTTCTGTGTGTCCTTCCAGCCTGGACCACCATGGCATGGGTTTCCATTAATATGTTATTTCCCTTTCCTGTTATCACAATATAAAAGACCTTTGTATTGACCTTTCTATCAAAACATCCTTTGTTTAGAATGAAAAGCTATTCACTGTTAAAGCCTTATCTATAGGGTTTAACCAGAGGATCAAATCCAAAGAGCAGAATTCGTTTACTTTGTATTAAATGAGCTCAGTTAAGAAGTCTCAATTTTGGCAGAAAGGTGCATTAATCACAAGGAAAAGAACAGATCTCGCTTTTCACAGCTTCTGGTTTACTTTCAATACAGTTACACAGTGAGGCTTTTGTTCGTGAAAAGTAGCACTGTATTTAAATACAGTAAATATAACAAAATTGCCTTCTTAAAATTACACAAGAGTTCCTCCAGCTCAGGATGCCCATAATGACCTCAGTGTTGCAGGACTAACTTTACGGCTTCAAAAAGGCTCTAAATTAGTTTGGACAGATGGGTTTTATCCTGAGGAAATCAATGAGTTTTTGTGAGTCTGACTTAATTTTTATGCAGCTAGCACTTTGAGATGAAATTAAAATATGTATGAAAAACATATTAAAGTTTCCCTTGGGTCCATCGTTGTTTGTACATTTACAAGGTGTTAAAGAGATGATTTAAAAACTAACTCTATAAGGGATCAATGCAAGCAGACCATGATTTATGGTCTTTCATGACATTTTTGACACTTTGAGCCTAATGTCTTGTGTGTGTTGAACCACTAATTATCTTTTAATTCATAAGGGCTTCATGGTATTTTATAAGTGTAATATAATATATAGGGTTGGATCACATAGAAGAGCTCAGAGAACAACATGCTTTACACGTTTGGTTGAGTGGGTAACATGTGTAAGCAAATTTGGGTCGAACCTGGCTGAAAAGGCTTCTTCAAGATGCTGTAAAACTGAACCATTGCTTTTACCTGCCCAATTCTAGAAAAGTCAAACATTTTACTTTTCTAAGGCATATGCAGGGTTAAGACCTTAGTAGATTAGAAATTATATTTCTAATACAAACCAAGAAGTTAAACAGTGCCTGGATTATAGTAGATACCCAGTAAATATTGATTGACTGAATCAGTAATTGAATGCAAACTGAACCAGAAATGAATTCAATTCCAGTTTTCCTCTGTCCTTTCAAATCAGATTTTTCAACAGATTGTTCATTTAGTGATACAATGAATATTTACCAAGCATCCCCTCTGCGCCAGGCAGTGTTCTTGGCTCTAGAGGGAACACAATACATGGTCCAGATGCCATCAGGGAGCTCACAGCCTATCCATTCCTCAATAACACTGCCCTGTAAAGGGCAGTCAACGAAGGTGAAGTCAAGTTTTAGCTGAAACTTGAAGCCAGAGAGACAGCTTGGGGAGTACTGTCTTTATTCCCATTTTACTGAGGCACAATGACGTAAGATTGCTTATTTAAATTAGGCAACTAGATGGTAAAAATACAGTGTTAGCTCTGAACTTTAGAGAGCTGGGTAGTGAATTAAAAATTTTGGGGAAAAAAAATCCTAACTGGGAAGACCATGAGCACCAAATGCTTAGGGATTAACCTGCCTTGTGTACAAAGATGAGTCTCTAAAATTATCACCCGGCCATTGGTCCATACCTCTGAAATGATTAGGAAATTCATGTGTACTTTGGAAATGTAAAACAGTAGTCTGCCAAGGAATTTTTGAATTAGGTTTCCCAGCTGAGGCAGAAGCCATTTAAGGCATAGACACCATGAAGAGGAGAGAAGCCCCTCCTAGATGCATTTTATGGTCATCATCCACCCTTCCCACCTTATTGGCCTTGTTGCATGTCAGGGGAAAAGATTAAGAGGCATCTGAACTACTTTTACTGAAACTTTTCTGAATGTGGACTGTGCAGATGTGAGTGGATTGGAGAAGGGGAAGGAGGGGAGGCGATCATTTGGTTATTATCACCATCAACAGTTACTGAGCAGTTACTATGAGATTGATATGTTTCACGGATTATCCTAATTAACAGCAAAACAATCCTCAGAGGTAAGGACTAATATCATATCCATGTATCAGATGATGAAACTTAGTCCCTGAGTTATGTGGCTGCTGTGGGTTACAAAGCTGGCAAGAGGTTGGGGCAGGCAGGCATACACCCAAATACTTTCCACCACACTGGGCAGCTTTTGAGACCCTTTTGGAGCTCAGCCTGTGGAGGCTGGGTTGGGCATTGGGCACATGTCTCAGAGACCCAGGGTCTCATTGGGAAAGTAAATACAGCATGTGCCTAAGTAGGCACATCATAGGATGGATTGTGCCAGGTAACATGAAGCAGGGCAGGTAAGGTGCTACTCAAGTCACAAAGAGCAGTGTGTCCAAACTGGGGGAAGTGAAAGATTCTTAGAGCAGATGGATAGATAGTGCCTTGTAGCTGGGGAAACCACCACAGCTCAGCAGCACCAGCAGCAACCCAGGCTTCTTTGACCTCCCTCATCCACTTTCCTTGACATGTAGCTCTTATGCTCATGGTGGTGGAATGGCTGTGGCACCTCTGGGCATCAGTTACATTTCAGACACAACAAAGGATGAAGCAAGAACTGAGAAGAGGCAGCAGCTGTCTCAGGAAAGCCAGATCTCCACTGATGCATATCTCACTGGCCAAAAGTGTGTCAAATGGCCATGCTCAAAAGCACAGAGGGAAGAAATTCCCAAACTGAAAGTCGGTGGATTAATTTAAATACCCACCAGCTATGTAGGAGCGTTTTAGTTGCTTCACATTTTTAGCTGGATATACTGAACACAACTGAAGTTCTGTTGATAAGAAAGAAGAGAGAAAGGATATTGGATAGGCAGTGAGCAATCTGCCACAGGCCACAAAGGTGAAAGAGAATTAGGACAAGCAGACAGAGAAGGAAGTGTATTTTAGGCAGAAAGAGCTACACATGGAAGAAAAGCAGATGTGTGTGGACAAGATCTAGAAATCTAGAGTGTCTGGAACAACTGGGTGGCAATTAAGACTGGGAAGGCCTACTGGAGTAAAATTACAGACAGCCTGGCCTAAATACCTTCTTGAAAGTTTGATTTTAATTCTGTAGGCAGTGAGAGAACATTGACAATGGTTTGTTTTTGTTTTTGTTTTTACAACTTTATGGAGTTAAAGTTGATATACAACACACTCTATAAGATGTACAACTTTCTGAGTGTTGACATATGTATACCTTCAAGAAACGATTGCCATAATCAGGATAGTAAGCATTTCTATTACCCCTCAACTTTCTAATCTATCCCTCCCTCCACTCCTGCTTCCAGGCAATCACTGATCTTCTTTCTGCTACAACAGATTAGTTTGCATTTTCTAGAATTTCTGAGATTTATACATAGTATTTCATTAATCAATAGTTTGGTTATTTTAATTGTTGAACGGTATTGTTTGCCTATTCACCTGTTCATAGGTTGATTTCAGTTTCTATTACTAATAAATTGCTGTGAACATTCATGTGTTCTAAGATTTCTTCCTAGAAACTTGAGGTTTTACATGTATGGTACACTTTGAATTAGTTTTTATGTGTGGTGTGAAGTAAGGTTTGAGGTTTTTTACTTTTTTTCCCCAATAGGTATCTAACTGATCCAACATAACTTGTTGAAAAGACTTTCATTTGAAACCTTTGATGAAAATCAATTGTTCATTTATGTGTGTGTCTCCTTCTGAAATCTTTATTCTGTTCCATTGATTTCTATATCTATATATTTGGTAATATAAAACGATCTTGATTATGATAGTTTTATAGTAAGTCTTTAAATCAGATGGTATAAGTTTTGGGTTGAACATCTGCTTTAATTTCTCCTGGATAAATATGTAGAATTAGAATGGCTAGATTATGTAATGTTTATGTTTAAGTTTTTAAGAAATTGCCAAATGTTTTAAAAGTCGCTGTTGTGCCATTTTCCATTCCCATCAGCGTGAGGAGTGTTTCAGTTGCTCAAATCCTCTCCAACACCTTAAATGTTCAGTCTTTTAAATTGTAACCACTGTAAAAGATGTGTAGTGGTTTCTCATTGTAGTTTTAATTTGACATTCTCTGAAAATTCATGATGACAAGCATATTTTCATATGCTTGATCACTTTTATCTCTTCTTTTACTAAGCATCTGAACTTTTTGCCTATATATTAAAAATTGAGTTGTGTTCTTATCATTGAATTGGATGAATTGTTTATATATTCTAGATCAAGTCCTTTATCTAAAATATGTGCTGCAAATATTTCTCCCAGTCAATGGCTTGTCTTTTTATTTACTTAATATCTTTTGAAGATAAAAGTGTTTTGTTATTAAATCTAGTTTATCAACTTTTTCTTTCATGGCTTCTGCTTCTTGTGTTCTAAGAAACTTTTGTCTACCCCAAGGCTTCAAAGATTTTCTCCTAGAAACTTGACAGTTTTAGGTTTTACGTTTATGATACACTTTGAGTTAGTTTTTATGTATGGTGTAAAGTAAGGGTTGATGTTCTTTACACCATACATATCTAATTGATCCAGCAGTACTTGTTAAAAAGACTTTCATTTTTTCATCAAATTGCCTTGAAACCTTGAAAATCAATTGGTCATATATGTGTGTATTTATTTCTGAAATGTTTATTCTGTTCCATTGATTTCTATGTCTATATATTTGGTAATATAAAACTATCTTGATTATGATAGTTTTATAGTAAGTCTTTAAATCAAAAGGTATAGGCCATCCAAATTGTCTTTAGTTGTTCTTTATTTAGGTTCTTGCATTTTCGTATCAATTTTAGAATTGGCTTACCAATTTATATCTTTAAGAAGTCTACTGGAATGCTGATCTATAAACTGTGATCAATGCACAGATCAATTTAGACAGAATTGCCATCTTAGTGATATTTAGTCTTCCATTCTATGAACATAGTATATATCTCTATTTTGTTAGGCCTTCTCCACTTTTTGTCAGCAATATTTTAGAGGTTTTATAATAGAAATCATGGATGCTTTCATTACATTTATTTATAAATATGTTATGTCTTGGACAATTTTTGAGCAGCAGATGATACAGGCCCTCTTATCAGTGGGCAATAGAACGAATTAGAGAAAGGTAACAGCAAAAACTGTGAAGAGGATATAGCAATATTTCAAGTGAGAAGTCTGGCTGAAGAAATAAATTAGGTGAAAATCCAGTTACAGCAAACACCTTTATGAAGACTGTTTTAGGAAGATGGTGGCACACAGGAATGTTATCTTGGAACCACCAGGAGGGCATACAGCTGGCAGTGTGCAGAACTGGGGGATCCCTAGATGAAAGACAAAGTTCAGAATATTGAATGTAGTTGACTTCCAAATTTAACTGTTATAGAAATGGATTGCTGTAGTCCAAACAAATGACATCTGAAATGCCTCTTCCTTCAAGAAGCCTTCTAAGCAAAGTGTAGTCCTCTCTCCCTTAACGATTATTGATGACACAACTTGTGCTGAGCATCTGTATATTTCAACCCAGGATTTCAGAACTATCAGAAGCCTTGGAAACCACCATCTCCAATTTATTTTTGGGAAATGGAAGCCCTGATTTAAGTAAAAAATCCAATTTTGTATCTAGCACTATGTATACGTACTAATATAGATATTAAAATATGTATTCTTAGATAAGTGTATATATGTACTAATATGCATATTAATATATTCAGTAGTTCCCCTTTATCTGCAGAGGATACATTCCAGGACTACCAGCAGTGGTTGCCTGAAACTGAGGATAGTACCAAACCCTGTCAATACTATATTTTTTCAGTCTAATAATGAGATGGCTCCCAAGTGACTAAAATGCTGTGTATATACAGTGTGGATTTGCATGAATCAAAGGGATGATTCATGTCTCATAAGGGATGGAGCAGGGCAGCACGAGAGATTTCTTTATGCTACTCAAAAAGACTTACAATGTAAAACTTCTGAGTTGTTTATTTTTGTAATTTTCCATTTAATATTTTCAGACTACAGTTCACTGCAGGTAACTGAAACTGGAGGACTTAAAACTGTAGATAAGGTATACTACAGCCACACCTTGTAGATGTTCTGGGATTAGTTCAGTAAAATGCGTCACACAATTTTTTTTTGTTTCCCAGTGCATACAAAAGTTATGTTTACACTACACTGTAGTCTATTAAATGTGCAATAGCATGATGTCTTTAAAAAAATACTATGTATATATCTTAATTAAAAAATACTGGCCAGATGCCTGTAATACTAGCACTTTCAGAGACTGAGGCTGGCAGATCACTTGAGCCTCAGGAGTTCGAGACAAGCCTGGGCAACATGCTGAAACCCCATCTCTACAAAAAAATACAAAGATTAGCTAGGCATTGTGGTGGGGGCCTGTAGTCCCACCTACTCAGGAGGCTGAGGTGGGAGGATCACTTGAGCCCAGGAAGTAGAGGCTGGAGGGAGCCATGATTGCACCACTGCACTACAGTCTAGGAGACAGAACTAGGTATTGTTTCAAAAAATATATATACTTTAGTGCTACAAAATGCTGACACAGAGACGCAAAGGGAGCACATGCTGTTAGAGAGATGGCACCAATAGATTTGCTAGAAGCAGGGTTGCCATAAACCTTCAATTTGTAAAAAAATGCAAAATCTGGAAAGTGCAATAAGGCAAAGTACAATAAAAGGAGATACTCTAGTCCTGTATTCTTTTTGTATTTTTTTTTTTTTTTGAGACAGAGTCTTGGACTGCTGCCCAAGCTTGAGTGCAGTGGCATGATCTTCACTCAATGCAACTTCAAACTTTCAGGTACAAGCAATCCTCCTGCCTGAGCCTCCCAAGTAACTGGGACTACAGGGCAAATCATCACACTCAGCTGATTTTTTGTTTTTTGTAGACATGGGGTCTTGCTTTATTGCCCAGACTGATCTCAAATTTTTGGGCTCAAGCAATCCTCCCACCTCAGCTTCCCAAAGTTCTGGGATTCCAGGTGTGAGCCACAGCACCTGGCCACCTGTACTATATTCTTAGATGAATATTTACATGTACTAATATGAATATGTATAGTCTTTGCATCTAACAATGAACACATATAAATATACAGTCTTAGATGAAGATGTATCATATTATTATGCATATCCTTAGAGGAATATGTGTATGTACTAACATTTGTTAATATACATAGTAATATCCATATTCTTCAGATACATATGAGTGTATTATTTCAAATCATAATCAAGATAAGTTGAACCAATTCATGCTTCTAGAAGAAAATGAAAATGGGGAGGTAAGCCCTAGTGAGGGAAAGGATCTAACACTGACCGTGTATTTAGCATCTACGATGCTGAAACTCCATCTCTACAAAAAAAATACAAAGATTAGCTGGGCACAGTGCCCAGTTAGTCCATGGTTTTGCTAGATAGTCCCTTGATTCTGAATGACTCTGTGTTTAAGTTGGGATTACATAGGTATCAACAACTTTATACAGTTGGTATTAGGTAGCCACCAGCATCCCTTTTAACCCATTAGGTCGGTATCACTCAGAGAGGTTCGACCACTGCCATGAGGTTCTAGTTACTGGCAGACTCCTAGGCAAGTTCCGTGATAGCAAATCCTATGCAGCATTTCCTCTCCTAAAAACGGGTGCCAGTGAGCACAGGGTGGAAAATCATCATGGCTTTATTGGGATTTTTGTTATAAAATGTTCACTTCTCCAATATGACACCTAGAGAACTTTTATTTTTATTCACCTGCATGGAAAAAAATGCAAATGAGGAGCATACCTGCATTTATATTTGATTATTTTCTAGTTAACGCAAGTCATTAAACTGTTTACTCATATTTATGAGGCCAGGATTTGAATTTTTATGTATTCCAGTTAAACAGAGAGCATCTGAACCTTGTGAGCTCTGTGGCAACGACAGCCCGGATCTCCCACGTTATGGCAAAGTAGGGAACAGACCCTCATGCATTCATTTCTGTCCAGTTTGGACCCACTTCTGCTTGGTTCTGTGCCGCCGGCACAAATACACCCAGGCTTCCTTCTCACTCACCACCGCGGGCAAGCAAAGGAGACTGACGTGGACCACAGGCACAAAAAATGGTTGTATAAAGTATCATCAAGGTGAAATTAATTGCCCCCAAACCATGAAAGTAATAACATCTCTGGCAGCTATTTATTGAGTCTTTTTACATATTAGGCACCCTGTAAGGCACTTCACACACAGAAGCTATATATATATATATATATATATATATATATATATATTTTTTTTTTTTTTTCTTAAAAAACGAGCCTATTTTCTTTACCTGGAACAATTTGCCTCCTACCTGTATCTTCCCCTGTCCCATTTTTCAGGTCTTCCTCTCCTCAGGAAGCCTTCCTTGACCTCATCCTAGGAAGATGGTAGATGGCTCCACTCTAGTTTACCAAAGCTGCTCCTGACTTTCTTACCACAATACCTTCCTACCCCCACACTCAATTCACTTTACAATAGTTGCATGCTAATTCCCACTAGACTGGCGGTTCTTTGAGATCAGAGACTGTATCTGGATTACTAAATAATTATTTATAAAATAAATAGCTTATCCCCAACCCGCGTTACTTGGTAGATGCTTAATGTGTTTTAATTAAAAGTCGTGGGTATAATGACCTTCCTCATTTACAGATGAAGAAATCAAGGCCCAGTAAAGTTAAATTACCTGAGAAATATTGAGCTACTAAATGTCAGAGATAAAACTGGAAACCAGGTATGTCCAAAAGCCTCTTCAACTATATTGCAGTGCCATATACATATATATATATGTATATGGTGCCATATATATATATTGCAGTGCCCATATATACATATATATACACACACACACATATATATATATATTTATATATATATATGAAACAATTTTCCCATTCTTCTTGTTTCTCTTGTTTTTCAGGCCATATTCAAGAGAATTACCTTTTCTTATCCCCATTTCTTGGAAAAATATTGTTCTAGTATTATCTTCAGCTCTCTTCAAGAATCAAAACAGTTTAAGGTAGAAGAGATCCATGTGTCCAATTCCTTGTTTCAGAAAGGAAAATGACTTTCCAAAGCTCCCCAAGCCCTCAATAGCAAAGATAAAACTGGAACCAAGTCTTTTAGTCCTATATTGTGGCATCTTACTTGGTGACCAGAGAGTCTGCACAAAGATGAAAATGTGTGCGTGTATGTGTGTTACTGCTTCTTGAACTAAGGAAAGGAGCAGCAATGATAAGTGATGGAGAAGAGGCAGCAAAGCCGATGTTTTATAGGGACCTGTGCACTTCACCAAAGCATATCCAAGTCCCCCTGCTCCTCTCTCACTATGTTGTCCATGGTCATTGCATTTATCTCGTGCTTGCTCATTCTATTTACACCTTCAGGGATGTCTTCCTCTTCCATCTTGTAGGATCTCTTCCAAGCTCCGGTGCAAGTGCACTACACCGCAAAGTCTGTCCTCCATGCTCCAGTGAGAACTCATTTCCTCTCCTGGGTTCTCTCTCCTCTTGGTTTAAAGTTCTGTTCTCACACATCTGCCTTATATTTGGGTTGGATATCCACATGTCTCCAAGAACTGTGATCACTTGAAAGACTGGGACTCTTGGGGTTCACCTCCGGTTTTCCAGAGTTGTGCACACAGTAGGAGCTCAGCTATGAACTGAACACAGCTGCCTACCTGATGACACAGGGGGTTGCTATATATCCCCAGCTCTGCAAATAGATTTTGAAAAATAATTTATGACCATTTATGGGAAGACAAAACAATGTTTTCTGCAAGGTATTTCATTCTAATCACTGGAATCATAGTCCAGGCATGATGTAGTCACTAAAATAACCTATTGAAAAGGATAACCAAACCATAATAAGTTAGCTTCTGACTTCCGCCAAGGTGCTCCTGGGGCAAGCTTAGCATTTGGTCAGCGTCTTCTTCCTGCTCTCTATTATTTTTGGATGACAGTGTGTCACTGAAATTGGGAAGTCAGCATTTTGAGTACAAAGACTGTGGCCTAGCTTTTTTTGCATCCACCATCAAGTCTGTTCCAGAGTCATGCTGCCAAACCCATACTCTAGCAGCTGGAAGCTGATTAACCCAACTGTAGGTGGTCCTGACCACCTGGTTGCTCAGATAGTCACTGACCAACTAAATGGAATAGTCCAAGATTCCAAGCCAGGATGAAGACACTCAGGGTAGGTACAAAATTCACAGAAGGGAAATCTGGTTTTGTTAAGAGAGTTTCTTCCCTTTTTAACCAACAAAATATCTGGTATTTGTTTAATGCTGGTTTCTATGGAAATTTTGACACTTTGGTCACTCCATCCACAAAAACCTCCTCCTCCCCCTCCCCATCCTCCCCCTCCTCCTCTCCATCCTCCCCCTCCCCTCCTCCTCTTCCTCCTCCTCCTCCTCCTCTTCTTCTTCCTTCTCCTCCTCTTCCTCCTCTTCCTCCTCCTTTGGTCACTCCATCCACAAACCCTTCTCCTTCTTCTCATTCTTCAAAGAGATAGTCTCCCTCTGCTGCTCAGGCTGGAGTGTAGGGGCATGATCTTAGGTCACTGCAGCCTCAAAATCCTGGGCTCAAGCTTCAAGTGATTCTTCAGCCTCAGCCTCCTGAGTACCTGAGACAACAGGCATGCATCTCCATGCCTGGCTTATTTTTTCTTATGTTTTGTAGAGACGGGATCTCACTATGTTGCCCAGGCTGGTCTCGAACTCCTGGCCTCAAGTGACCCTCCTACCTCGACTCAGCCTCCCAGAGTGCTGTGATTACAGGCATGAGCTACCATGCTTGTTCCCATTTGCTCTTAATTCAGCAAAGAGATTTTGGGAACAGTGAAGCAGTGGGCACGGTGGAATTGTAGAGACAGGTGATAACCAAGATCCATGCGCTTTGGACAGTAAAAATCAAACAAAAAAGATGAGTTGAGTTGTTTCTATTTGGGAAGTCAGGCTTCTCACAGTAAAGAGCACCCTATCTTCCCAGTCCTCTCAGTTTCTCACAAAATTCACACATTGCGTTGAAGCAGTAATTCCTGGGTTTTCCAGTTTAGCCTTGATGGCACTCAGCCACACTGGCTTTTATTGGATTGCTTGAAAATACCACATTTTCTCCTGCCCCAGGGCCTTTGCATCTGCTTCCTCGTCTTCCTGGAATGTTCTTAGCTTATTTATTTATTTATTTATTTATTTATTTATTTATTTATTTTGAGACAGGGTCTCACTTTGTCACCCAGGGTGGAGTGCAGTGGTTCGATCTTGGCTTACTGCAACCTCCGCCTCCTGGGTTCAAGCGATTCGTCAGCCTCAGCCTCCCCAGTAGCTGGGATTACAGGTGCCTGCCACTGTGCCTGGCTAATTTTGTATTTTTAGTAGAGATGGAGTTTCACCATGTTGGTCAGGCTGGCCTTGAACTCCTTACCTCAAGTGATCTGCCTGCCTTGGCCTTCCAAAGTGCTGGGATTACAAGTGTAAGCCACCATGCCTGGCCTGTTCTTAGCTTTTTCTCTGTCCGAATTTTTTTTTTCCCTAGTCAATTTCTCCCCATCCATCAGATTGCCAGCTCTCCTTCAATGTCACACAGTTTGTTGGGAAATCTTGCCCTAACTATCCCTCTCCTATTCTGCATTAGATCCCGTCTTGGTGCAGGACACTCTCACAGCACTATCTACTCACTGAAGAACACTGATGACAGTTATATATTTACCTATGTCATTATATGATTAACATCTCTTTGCTTCCTACACAGTGAACTTCTTGGGTGAATGATCTGAGCATGTCTTTTTTAAAATTGCATTGCCTGTGCCTATCACAGTGCCTGGTACACTGTGGTGCCCCACAAATATCTGTTGAAGGAATCTTTGAATCATTGTAGAGGGCCATCACTATGCAAAGGATCCCAGCAAGAATCAACTGGTGAAACCTGTCCTGAGAGCTTAGCAAGAAAGTGGTAGAACTGAACCTCAAACCAGCAGCTCTCCTAACCAGAGTCTGGACTTCCCCCGAATCCCCAAACTCAGTTGGGTGTGTGCTCAGCCCCTCATTTCCTTCAGTGACTTTAAGCCAGAGCATGCTTTGTGGTTTAATTTCCTCTCTGAAAAGCAGGTACTATAACAAAATAGCAAGCACTACGGCTGGGCTCCAGAGTAGCACACACTCGCCAGCCCATCCGTGGAAGGCTAGCCACAGACATGGGGAGATTATTAACACAATAAACCATAATTCTGCAAATTTGTACTCAGGGACCTTTTTATTGCCCGGTTGGGGACTATTTAATCTATGGCTTGACTTCTTGGTTACTGGATTACTTGGTTACTAAGTAACCAGGTAATTGACACATGAACCACAAGGATTGACAAAAGATGCTGTATCCAATATTATGTTTTATGAACTTAGTAAAAACTCTAGTTACATATTTAGAGTTTTCAATAAAGTTTATGACATTTTAATATGCACATTCCATATTATAACCAATTTCCTAACAGGTTTCGGTTTCCTCATAATACTGGCTCCGAGAAACCTTTTAGCATTTTTGCCTTTATTGATAATTTTTTTAAAACTCACTGACACCACATAAATGATTCTAAAATTAAAATACCTGAAAATTTTTCCATTGAGCACCAGAACATTCTAGGTCTTGTTCTCCTATTAAATTTTTATCTATGATATGGTGAAAACGTGTTAAAATTTGGCATTTAAAGATCTATATTTGAATTCCCGTTTCATCATTTGCTGTGTGACCTGGCTATACCATGTAATCTCTGAGCCTCAATTTCCTCTTTCACAAGCAATAATCATTCTTCAATTTGCAGGGATATGCCATGAATTATATGAGATGAAATGTGAAGCAATATTGTAACCTATAAAATGCCATATGAATATTTTATTATTAATCATAATGTTATAGAGTGTTCTACTGTTCTTATGAATGCATTCTTACATTTCTGTCTTTGATTCCATATGTACCATACTGGTACATATTGGAACCATATTCCAATAACAGCCTTATACCTACTTTAATGTAAATGTCAATCACTTAAAATATAATTTTGTTCAGATACCTGCTCCTGAGCTCTGATTTGAAGTCCAATAGGAGGGGAAGTGCTGATCTTAATGGTTTGATGTTTTTTTGGCTTCGCTATATGCAGACCGAGTCTCTCTTCACAGCTTCCTATCACTTTGCATAACATCCTCAAGCCAGTCAGGAAGGGAGGTAAGACTTCATGCTCTAAGGGTTGGAGCAGAGGTGGCAGGCAGGCACTCTAAGGTTACTTCTTTGCCATTTCCAGGACAAAGCACTTTTGAGAGACACTGTTTAGAGCTCCCACTTCTTCAGAGCCATAGTTACTTCCTTGATACTTCATTTGTTTTAAGGAGGCACAACGATGTCTTTCATCAGGGATTAAAAAAAAAAAGCCCCGGGGTATTAAAGGCATAAATTTACCCCAAGCTCATATTTGCATCTACAAATTGGATACAATGTATAGATTTCAGTGGGTAAGTACCCAGTGTCATACATTTCCCTCCCTGGAAGGAGGTAAAGGCTTACTAATGTGAACCTTTGGTATCTACAGCAAATAGCAGCATGTTCATAGGTGAGGGCCTATTTGCAGACACCAGACACAATGTCCTCCAGCTCTCTCAGGCAGGCAAGTGGCAAGGAGCCTATTGGAGGGCCTCCATGGGAAAAGACCCCTCTCTATATTATAATTCTCCCATGCATTATAAAGAACAAATGAGAGCTGACATTTGTATGGTACATATCTCTTTAAAAGGTAATGTACATTCATTTCATTTTATTCTCTTCTGATAATCCCCAAAGACAGATATTAGGATCCACATGAGAAAATAGAGGTTAGAGAGGTCAAGTGGCTGGCTTAAGTTCACATAGCCAGGTAGAGTAGAACCAGGGCATGATGAGGTTATTAAGCCATCTTTCTTTCCACTCTACCATTACACACTTCTTAATTATGCCAATTGCCTGTCCTGTTAATTTCAGTTTAGTATCACAGCCCTCCCAGGTTGAAGCTTCCCCATAACCATGTCCTCAGTGTTCTTATCGATACGAAGCTCTACGTAACAAGCATTTTAGATACTTTTTTCCTTTTCCAAATCTAACTGAAAATATCTTGCTAAACCCTGGCTGCTGCTTAATTTGTGATGAACCCCAGCCGTTCTTCTTCTGCCTCCTTTCTTAGACGACAAAGAAGCTTCACAAAATAAGGCATATTTTCCAAATGAAGTAATTCCACTACTGTGATGACGCCTCCCCTAAGCAACTCCACTGCAGAGTTAAATCCTATCGGCATTTCACGTTCCCTTGCTATTTTAGAAGTTTATATAATGCCAGAGTAAACCGTAATCTCTGGGAAAACTTAGCAGAGAGAATGGGGTTTTAGGTTAGACGAGAAAAGCAGAGACAGATTCTTTGAGAAGCATATCAGTTCTAATAGGAACGACATCGTTTGTCCCACATGAAGTCAGAGCGGTCTGACTTAGCTACTTTCAAATCTTAAAAACTGATTTTAAAAATTACTGGATGAACATCATGTAGAAAGAATGCTTTTTAACAGAGCTTTTATGTCAGTGCATCTCATTTACTTCCTGAATTTGCAGCTCAGCTTCTACGCATTATTAATACCATTAGAAGAATGTCGCATATTAGGAGCATGAAAGGCAAAGGGAAGAGAATGAGGCGCCCTGGTTCATCTTGGCATTTTGTGAAGAATAAATGCCACTTCTGAGCAATGCCCAGCCTCCCCCAGAGAAGAATTTAGACCCTGATTCTTTATTTAAACAGGTTCCTGGGGGATGGAAAAGAAGTGAGATACCCAGAAAAAGCCCTCTGAAATGCAGAGCCCCAGGTAAACCCAAGTGAGGGTTTCTAGTACAATGACATCACCCAGCTCTCAAGGGCCACTCCAGGCCCAGGAGTGTTCATGCCCCTCAGGCAGCCTCAGTGACAGATAAGCTAAATAGTAGGTAACACATGCAAGAGTTTCTACAACTTACGGAACGTTTTATATTGCCGTTACAAGGCAGGGCCTGTCCAACAGAAAGGAGGGCCAAGTTTCCTTTCTGATTTTTGAGGCTCTAATTGTATGGAAAAATGTATAAATTCTAAAACAGATTTTATAATTACAATATATTTTTACTGT